>NC_000001.11:39553835-39856865 GCF_000001405.40 Homo sapiens
AATCACACCACTGCACTCCAGCTTGGGTGATAGAGTGAGACCTTGTCTCAAAAAAAAAAAAAAAAAAAAGAAGTAGGGCCTTCACAGATGTAATTAGTTAAGAAAAGGTCATACTGAATTGTTATGGACCCTAAATCCAATGACTGAATGACTGGTATCTTTATAAGAGAAGACAGAAACACATACAAGGAAGAAAGCCATGTGAAGACAGGCAGAGACTAGAGTGATACTACAAGCCAAGGAATTGTGAGGAACCACTAGAAGCCAGGAAGGCAAGTAAAGAGTCTTCCTGAGAGCCTTCAGAGGAGCATGGCCCTGCCAACACCTTGATTTTGGACCTCTAGTCTCCAGAATTGTGAGATAATAAATTTCTGTTGTTTTAAGCCACCCAAATGTATGATAATTTGTTACAACAGCCCAAGGAAACTACCACATCCATCCAAACAGACTGACACCTTTGGTAATCAATGACAAGAGTGACACTAGTCAAATATTAAAAGGAAAACTTCTTACCTCTGCCAACTCAAATTCAACAAAAGAGAATCCTTGGTGCTTTTCTGCAAAAGCAGAAATGGGTTGTTAATATGTGAGCAATAGGAGGAAACACGCCATATCCAGATGTCATTTACAAAATGAAAGTCAAATTTTTAGATTTTTCTTGGTTTATTCAGCAACGCATCCAGAAATATTAGTCATTTCATTTTAAATAAATATACATAAACAATGAACTAATTTTAAACTTTGTACAATTCAGGCTGACTGCAGTGGCTCACATCTGTAATCCCAGCACTTTGGGAGGCTGAGGCAGGCAGATCACCTGAGGTCTGGAGTTTGAGATCAGCCTGGCCAACATGGTAAAACCTTGTCTCTACTAAAAATACAAAAATTAGCTGGGTGCAGTGGCACACGCCTGTAGTCCTAGCTACTTGAAACGCTGAGGCAGGAGACTCGCTTGAATCCAGGAGGTGGAGGCTGCAGTGAGCCTCGATTGCACCTTTGCACTCCAGCCTGGGTGACAAAGCAAGACTCCATCTCAAAAATAATTAATTAATTAACTAATTAAAATAAAATACAGTTGTACCACTATAGAATGTAAACCTGAAGTTGCTTTCCAAGCATTTTGATGACCTTTGTTTATAAAACTTACAGAAATAGAAAAAGTTGTTTAACAATCATTAATTCCTATCAGGCTTTAACTGTGTATAGAGCATTCACCTTACCGCTGGGTCAGGAGACTACTAAAGAAGGGAGCATCATAGTCTTTGTTCCCAGGAAAAACTTATTTTAGCTGGGAGAGACCAAGAGTAGTAGGAATTACTACTTCATAAAACTCAGGGATAGGCTGGGCACAGTGGCTCACACCTGTAATCCTAGCACTTTGAGGAGGGTGGACTGCCTGAGCTCAGGAGTTTGAGACCAGCCCGGGCAACATGGTGAAACCTCATCTCTACTAAAATACAAAAAATTAGCTGGGCGTGGCAGTGTGTGCCTGTAGTCCCAGCTATTCGGGAGGCTGAGGTAGGAGAACTGCTTGAACCCAGGAGGCAGAGGTTGCAGTGAGCCGAGATCGCGCCACTGCACTCCAGCTTAGGCAACAGAAAGAGACTCCGTCTCCATTAAAAAAAAAAAAAAAATCAGGGATAGAAGGGCTCCTGAATGCATTAGTCTTACTGTTGTAAGATATGAAGAGGCCAGGTGCAGTGGCTCACACCAGTAATCACAGCACTTTGGGAGGCTGAGGCAAGAAGACCACTTGAGCTATGATCAATGACACTGCAATCCAGCCTGGGTAGCAGAGCGAGACCCCATCTCTAAAAAAAAAATATAGGTCAGGCGCAGTGGTTTATGCCTGTAATCCCAGCACTTTGAGAGTCCAAGGCAGGCGGATCACGAGGCCAGGAGTTCAAGACCAGCCTGGCCAACATAGTGAAACCCCATCTCTACTAAAAATACAAAAAAAAACTAGTTGGGCATGGTGGCAGGCGCCTGTAGTCCCAGCTCCTGAGGCAGGACAATCGCTTGAACCCAGGAGGCAGAGGCTGCAGTGAGCCAAGATCACGCCATTGCACTCCAGCCTGGGTGACAAAGCAAGACTCCATCTCAAAAATAAATAAATTAATTAACTAATTAAAATAAAATAAAATTCAGTTGTACCACTATAGAACGTAAAACCTGAAGTTGCTTTCCAAGCACTTTGATGACCTTTGTTTATAAAACTTACAGAAATAGAAAAAGTTGTTGGTCTAACAATTATTAATTCCAAAAAAGCTTTAATTGTGTATAGAGCATTGATCTTACCATTGGGTCAGGTGACTACTAAAGAAGGGAGCATCATAGTCTTCGTTCCCAGGAAAAACTTATTTTAGCTGGGAGAGACCAAGAGTAGTAGGAATTACTACTTTATAAAACTCAGGGATAGGCTGGGTGCGGTGGCTCACACCTGTAATCCTAGCACTTTGAGGCAGGCGGACTGCCTGAGCTCAGGAGTTTGAGACCAGCCTGGGCAACATGGTGAAACCCCGTCTCTACTAAAATACAAAAAATTAGCTGGGCATGGCGGTGTGTGCCTGTAGTCCCAGCTATTCGGGAGGCTGAGGTAGGAGAACTGCTTGAACTCAGGAGGCGGAGGTTGCAGTGAGCCGAGATCGCGCCACTGCACTCCAGCCTGGGTGACACAGACAGACTCTGTCTCCATAAAAAAAAACAAAAACAAAAACAAAAAAAACTCAGGGATAGAAGGGCTCCTGAACCCGCTAGTCTTACCGTTGTAAGATATGAAGAGGCCAGGTGCAGTGGCTCACACCTGTAATCACAGCACTTTGGGAGGCTGAGGCAGGAAGACCGCTTGAGCTATGATCAATGACACTGCAATCCAGCCTGGATGACAGAGCAAGACCCCGTCTCTAAAAAAAAAAAAAAAGCTGGCACAGCAGCTTACATCTGTAATCCCAGCACTTTGGGAGGCCAAGGCAGGCGGATCACGAGGTCAGGAGTTCAAGACCAGCCTGGCCAACATAGTGAAACCCCGTCTCTACTAAAAATACAAAAAAATTAGTTGGGGGTGGTGGCAGGCACCTGTAGTCCCAGCTACTTGGGAGGCTGAGGCAGGAGAATCGCTTGAACCCAGAAGGCAGAGGTTGCAGTGAGCCAAGATCGCTCCACTGCACTCCAGCCTGGGTGACAGAGTGAGACTCCATCTCAAAAAAAAAAAAAAAAAAGAAAAAAAAAATGATTTGAAGAACTGAAGGCTCAGTGAGTTTGTGTCCACACAGAAAGTCAGTAGCAGAACTGGGTCTAAAATTCCTAACCTAGAAAATAAAAACAAAAGATCAAATAGAAACTTGCACTGTAATTGTGATACCAATTGAAGAAAAACTTAACCAGGTAAGCAGAGGCCAAGGCTTCACTGCTGAGGCTGAGCTTCCCTGCTACACTCTGCTATTTAACAGCACAGCCGCCAGGAAGGGAGTTCGGGTGGGCAGATAAGGTAGAGTACACCTAACCAGCAGGTGATGTGAAACAAGAACCAAACGTTAAAATTTTTTTTCTAAGAGCTAGGCGCGGTGGCTCACGCCTGCAATCCCAGCACTTTGGGAGGAAGAGGCGGGCGGATCACGAGGTCAGGAGATCGAGACCATCCTGGCTAACACACGGTGAAACCCCGTCTCTACTAAAAATCCAAAAAACTAGCCGGGCGTGGTGGCAGGCTCCTGTAGTCCCAGCTACTCGGGAGGCTGAGGCAGGAGAATGGCGTGAACCCGGGAGGCGGAGCTTGCAGTGAGCTGAGATCGCGCCACTGCACTCCAGCCTGGGTGACAGAATGAGACTCCATCTCAAAAAAAAAAAAAATTTTATTCTAAGACTACCCTCCTGATTCTTACTATACACTTTTTTTTTGAGACGGAGTCTCTTTCTGTCACCCAGGCTGGAGTGCAGTGGCGCGATCTCGGCTCACTGCAAGCTCCGCCTCCCGGGTTCACGCCATTCTCCTGCCTCAGCCTCCCGATTAGCTGGGACTATAGGAGCCTGCCACCACGCCCGGCTAATTTTTTGGATTTTTAGTAGAGATGGGGTTTCACCGTCTTAGCCAGGATGGTCTCGATCTCCTGACCTCGTGATCCGCCCGCCTCTGCCTCCCAAAGTGCTGGGATTGCAGGCGTGAGCCACCGCGCCTGGCCTTTTTACTATACACTTTTTATATTAAATGATGAGAAATCAAAGCCCCCAAATGGTTCCAACTTAAAGTCTAACCTCAAATCCAACAGATTTTTTTTTTTTTTTTTTTTTTTTTTTTTTTGAGACGGAGTCTGGCTCTGTCACTCAGGTTGGAGTGCAGTGGCGCGATCTCAGCTCACTGCAAGCTCCGCCTCCCGGGTTCACTCCATTCTCCTGCCTCAGCCTCCCAAGTAGCTGGGACTACAGGCGCCCGCCACTACGCCCGGCTAATTTTTTGCATTTTTAGTAGAGACGGGGTTTCACTGTGTTAGCCAGGATGGTCTCGATCTCCTGACTTCGTGATCCGCCCGCCTCGGCCTCCCAAAGTGCTGCGATTACAGGTGTGAGCCACCGCGCCCAGCCAGATTGTTAATTTTTGTAAATTTCAACCCATAGCCACACCATCATCCTAGCTCTGCTGTCCTCAGAACCTTCCTATTCCATCTCCAAGATCACCACCATGCTGACCTAGAGAGACATCCCCCTGAAATTCATTATATACCAGCCATACACAGAATGCTCATGACTTAAAATTTTTTCCTATTTTCCTGGCATCAGGAATCTTAAGAGGGACTTTTCAGTGTCACCTGTTTCATAATACAGCAGAATCAGAATATCTGTGATGTTTCCAAAAGGAATAAAAGTAGCACAAAGAACTGTCCTTCACCCCCTTTGCAGATACCAAGAGCATTCTGAATCAATGTCTCCACACTTTTGGTGCAGTTGCTCCAACACCTTGTTAACATGAGCACAGGGAGGAGAGGAAGGGAGGGGTCCCAATACTCTTCTGGGTATAACAAAACCACTTGTGAGATACACTCCTCTCCCTATCCCTCTTCTGACCTACATTTTTTGCCCTGGTTTATGGTGACAATTTCCTGAATGGGATCGCCTTCTTTTTCTCTCCTCCGTTATCCCAAGAAAATACAAATACGATTATATTACTCTTCTGGTTGGTATTCTTCAAAAGCAGTCCAATGGCCAACGGAGAAAAATCCACATTTCTTAGTATAGCATATACTAAGTATGGCCAGACTCTGGGTTTTGACTCTCGCTGCTTGTCTCCATTCAGGCAACAGCCTGGCTCCCACCTTGGCTGCTTGGTTAACTTTGCATCTTTCAAACCCATCTCTGGACTCAGAGCATCCCGAAAGTTTACCCTCACCTCTCCGGATGGGGCGGTCATTCCCCAGTCTGGTTTCAACATCACCGTCCATCATACAATCGCCATCACAGCATTCACCAACTCGTGCAGTGAGGCTGTTCTCGTAATTTCCCAGCTATTCTGGGACCTCCTTCCTCTAATGGACCAGAGCTGTGGAGTTTGTGGAACGAACGAATGAGGGCTGACGTCACGGTAGCAGATCGCAACCACCACTCTGGGTCCAGGGTCAGAAGGGGTAGGGAAAAGGGATCTGGGCAGCTCTAGCAGGCACCACTCACAGGTCGAGAGCGTGAAGCACCACAAGAGACCTGGCCCAGGATGCGTAGGGCCATGGGTCCGCACCCCGCCCACTCTGCCCACCCCCAGCTCAATCTTGGCACTGCCTGCGAGGACCCTGCCTTGCTCCACACCACCCTACCCTTTGTGAACCCTCTCGGCGGCCGCCATCTTGCTTCCAGCGCTTCCGCCGGAAGCCCGCACCGTGCCCCACCCCATCCGGCACCAGATTAAGGAAAGAAGGGGCCGTCCGGAAACAAGGACATCTCCTTTAGATCTGTTAAGGTGACACCAGATTTTTTTTTTTTTTTTTTTGAGACGGAGTCTCGCTCTGTCGCCCAGGCTGGAGTGCAGTGGCGCGATCTCGGCTCACTGCTAGCTCCGCCTCCCAGGTTCACGCCATTCTCCTGCCTCAGCCTCCCAAGAAGTTGTAACTACAGGTGCCCGCCACCACGCCCGGCTAATTTTTTTTGTATTTTTAGTAGAGACGGGGTTTCACCGTGTTAGCCAGGATGGTCTCGATCTCCTGACCTTGTGATCCGCCCGCCTCGGCATCCCAAAGTGCTGGGATTACAGGCGTTAGCCACTGTGCCCAGCCGAGGTGACACCAGATCTAAAGGAGCCTGCCAAGAGGGATGAGCATTCTAAGGACTGCCTGGATGGGGCACTAAGGAAGCACCAAGCAAGCTCCAGGAGGGAAAGCAGGCAAGGCTGGAGCCGCAGGGAAAGTAGGCTGCAAAGGGATGTGATCTTGGCCTTTAGGATGTCATTTTACTGT
The DNA here is from genome assembly GCF_000001405.40 of Homo sapiens. Lineage (NCBI taxonomy): Eukaryota > Metazoa > Chordata > Mammalia > Primates > Hominidae > Homo > Homo sapiens. The sequence goes on from NC_000001.11 coordinate 39,560,270, forward strand.
CACTTTGAACATCAAAGAAACCACAAGCACTGAAGACTTCAGCACCATTTGCTATAGTCACAGACCTCCCATTTTCCCTGCTAGGGGAAAACTTGGTTGCAGAATCTGGGGAACTGGATCCGCTGACTCGAATGCAGCATAAACTGACTGCAGGAAATAAGAGGGGACAGGACACACCCCAACCGAGTTCAGGAAGGGAAGGACGGGGCTCAACTAACCAACTGGGATCTGCAGATCTCACCGTATGTCCTTGGGGTGTGCGCCAACCCCACTCTGCCCCAGATTTTCCTGGGCCAGACCCATGGTCTGCTCTGACCACATCAGATCTCTGTTCCCTCTAAGTTAAATGGGGCTAATGTAACAATCATACTGTAACAGAACAGTGTGGGACAGGATCATATTTAACAGTTCTGTGTATCTTGCTAATCTTTGTCAGCTTCAAGTCAAGAAAGAATAAACTATCACTGGAACCAATTCACATCCTAAAGTTACTTCCAGTGAAAACCGGAATTCATAGAGTAAAACTGTGGTCAGAGACAGAGGCAGTTTTATGGAGATTTTTTTTCTTTATTGGGAAACGTAAGACTTGGGTACATCAAATAAAACCAATTTCTGGGGGAAAAAATCAAAACCCACAATAAAAAAAAAGTTAACACTGTCTGGGCCACAGCAGAACCCAAAGAACATATTCGTATAATTGAAAAATTCTAGGTGCTTCATAATTGACCTTTTGATACAAAATGACCTATTAAATTTGCAATTTGTAATCCTTGGTGTTGAGGTCCATAGGACAAGCTAGGAAGTCTTCAAACCTTGAGTTGAATTCCATAAGGGGTTATTTGGCTTTTGAATCCTGTAAAGAAAAGCACCAACACAAATAAATGCATAATCAAATAATTTAGATTCATTAACATATAGTGGATAAAGGAAGGTATTCTAGAAGAGAGTTTCTCAACCTCAGTGCTATTGACACTTTGGACATTCTGTTGGGTCTGTCCTCCTGTGTACTGTACAACATTTAGCAGCATCTCTGGTCTTTACCACTAGATGACAAGGCTCCTGAGGCCCTTGACAAGAGGGTCATGACTATGCCAAGTCAACCCTCCCAACACACCAGCTCTGGTCCTTACCATGTGCTTTTTCCTTAGCTTATTTTACTGTCTCTTCTTTCCCTATCTGGAGACACCTACAACCATCAACCAGTACTAGTTTTATTATTCACTCAAGCTCCTGCAGACAAAGTCCACAGTCCTCATGATAAGAAGTCACCTGCAACACACTCCGTGTAACTAACTGTACTTATTGTATTCCCAGAGCTAAGCAGTGAGCATATATACAACCTCAGGTCAAACCACAAAGACAATGCTCATAGGAACAATGCTCATAGGAACAAAAATGAAAATAGCCACACATACGGTTTTTCCTTGTCTAAGAGGTAGCAGCAGCAACAGCGCCCACCTTCTGGGCAGCTTCTTTCTTGGCATGATGAGCCTGTAGAACTGCTACAGCTTCATCCACCTGCGAGAAATCTTCAGGTGGTCAGTGAATCTAGGAGAGCTACTCCACCCCTCCCCAGTGCCCAGACCTAGTGGTGGACCAAAGCCAACTGTACAGATGATCCCTAGGCTTCTGGTGCTAACTACTTTCCCAAATACCCACTGCAGCCTCCAGTCACAGTCAAGGCATGACGAGAGGGGTCCTGGGGGCAGCAGATCCCACTTTCTGCTGCACCTGGGCATCCAAGTTTGCCCCCAGTCTTCCCAAGCTGAGAACTGAAGCTGCAGGGTCTGAGCCCCAGCTCACCTTGGAGCGGAGAGACTCGGGGGACTCTAACATGTGCAGCAGCTCAGAGTTGTCTATCTCCAGCAGCATTCCCGTGATCTTCCCAGCCAGATTTGAATGCATTGTTTGGATGAGTGGGAACAAGCGTTCTCCTATGGGGAGGATAGTTAATAAAAAAACAAATCAAATCCCAGTAAACAATGGACACTGGTGTCCTAGCTGGCATCAGGCTCTGGGACCCTCTTCTTCTGCAAGCAAGTGGGTCACTCACCCAGCATCTGCTTCTGTTCCTGGGGGGGTGCTGCAGCCAGCATGGAGGCAGTCAGTGGCTCCTGCCCCTGCACATGGACCGCAGGCTGGGGTGCCTGGGAACCAGGAAAGGCAGTGGGTTAGCACTGAGGAAAGGACAACACCTGATGGTGGTTGAGTGCCTGTTCAATATCTGAACATCTGACTATGTGAAAGAGGAGAGGAGGTGGCTGTCCTTGCTCTAAAGGAACTAATTTCAGTCCTTGAAGGATTGAGGGGTGTGTTGAGGAACAGAGTGGTATGGACATAAACACAACCAATTACAATGAAAATGGCATGCTATCAGAAAGCGAAGTGAAACGTAAATAATAAAACAAACCTATAGTGCTAGGCAAGCATTTTCTGACATTTCCTTAATACACCCAAAGTTACTCAAGAATGAAAAGCCTTGATATAAATAAGGGTAAACACTTGTATATAACCTTTTCCTGAAAATTAGTTTTCCTTTAGGGTAAATCTCAGTGCAGATTGGATCAAAGGGAGTAAATATCAACACATTTATAATTACATTCCACATCACCTTAATTCTACCAAATGTTTTTGTATCAAATGCTTAAAAACGGTCAACATGCAACGTCAATGCTAGTCAAAGCCTTGCAAAGAAAAGGTATTTTACATAGCATCAAGTTCTAGGAAATCCCCAACTTAGAGAGTATGAGACAGGACAGTTAAAGAGTAATCTCCTAAGCAGCTTATGGGCCTGAAGGCTTAGGGTGACACCTCCACAGCAAATTGCTATTAGGCTCTGAAACAAACTAGTTGCATCTAGAGCACAGGTCTAGAGACAGCAAGTTACAGCTTAGAAAATCTAAGCTCTAGGTTCAACCCCTTCACCTCCTACACACACTTTACATCTTTGAAGCTGAACATCCGATCTGTAAGTTGAAGTTATTTCCTGCATTAATGTACCAATCATCTTGCAGAGCAGCCAAGGATCCAATAGGTCATTGGATGCGGAAGTGACCTGGAGGCTCAAACAGCTGAATGAGCACATTATTTCGTACAAACAGAAGAGGAAGCACTGGCTGCCCGCTCTGAGGCATTTCTGAGTGAACTGGCATCAGGCAGAGCACTTTTAAGCCCCTTCTTTCCCACTAGTGAGCCCCTGAAGGGCAGGGACAGTGAATCAGAACATAGCGTCATAACACAGAGCAGGCATTTAATACCTGTTGAAGGAATCAAAAGCACAGCTTCTTTTACATCAAGTGGAAATGGGGGAAATCCTTTTAAGCATTCTGTCTGGTGAACCTCACCTGCAGAGGCTGTATGGCAGGATGAGGGCTGCGGACACTGGAGGCGTATTTGTAGGGGGCAACAGCCCGGGGAGCAGCAGCAGCAACAGCAGCGCGTGGCGCTAAGTTCTGCACAGCTGTGGGAACGCCTTAGGGAAAGAACAAATACAATTAAAGCCCATCAGTCTGGGCAAAGACCCGTCAAATCCCATCTTTCCCCCTTCTGTGTGCATCCAATACCACCTCCAGACTGGCAGCTGTCAGTCAGCCCTTGCTGGGCGGCACCAGCCCCACCAAAGTCCATAGCCAAGCGGTCCGGGCACTCAGACCCTACAACAGACCAGCAAATGCACATCAGTGTTGGCGGCAGATGTCCAACTGGCCACGTCCCACGGAAGGAGAAATTTCAAAGCACGTTTACGCAACACATTGCACAGGGGGCCACTACTACTTTCGAGGATGAGCCAAAGGATAACATACAACTCTTTCCACATCTTGGAATACAAGACATATTCTGTATACACTGTTTCCTTGTATTCCTCACCCCACCCAAAAGAACAAGCTGCCTCTGTGGTCATCCAGCTAGCAAACTTCTACAACTAACCTTTTTCACATAGGTCACCGATGAGCAAAGAATGTTAAAAGCAACTGACACACCTAGAACTCATACTGTTTCTCTGCTCCTGAAGTGGCCACCTAAGCACACAGCTAAGATTACAGAACCAGGACTCGATAAATTCGAGCCCAACAAACTGACCAACCCAGGACAGAGCCTAGTCATCCTGACTCCCTCCTCCCCAGGCCACACTTCTAAAGGCCAGTTTGCTCACCGACTCTCTGAGTGGTAGTAGGGAGGCCACGAGAGGCCGGAGCATTACCAGTTGGAGCCAGATGGCGAAGAGTTGGACGAGGCCCAGACTGGCGTATAGCACTTGGCATTCCTTGGAAGCCTGGTGAAGAGAAAAATTGCACATCATTGAGAAGTGATGTGGACCAGAACCTAGGCTGTGCCTCAGAGTGGGGAAGAAGGAAAGGCAGGGGAGACCAGGACAGGTATATCCTGGGCTGTCAATTACTGTTCCCCACCACCTACCTTGAGGTCTCCCACCTTGCTGCCAGCGTGGATTAGGCCTCATCTGTGCTAACTGGTTAGGTGTATAATATGGAGGCCTTCCCTGAGCCTGTAAGACAGAAGAATACCCAAACACCCCCTTAAGGACTGAACCCATCCTAGAGAAGTATCTCATCTCATCTCACTAACCAGGACCTAAGCTAATTATTTAAATGTTCTTTCTATTCAAGAGCTGAGGGGTCAGCTAATGGGGACTGTTTTATGCTACCACTGCCACTGTGGGTGTGTGTTTGTGACCATGGGTAAGTCCTTCATTTTTACTTGAAGGGTCCTTATTGTGACATTCTAGAACTCTAATAACGAAAAATCCCTCTCCCCAACCACTGCAGAATACTGCCAGCCGGCAGGTTCCCAAGAGCTGTGACCAAACAGCACACCCACCTGTGGGACTGCTGGCACAAAGTAGCCACCCGCTGCAGGCTGGAACTGATTTAAGATGGCATTGGCAGGAAGTGCTCTCATTCCAGCCACTCGTTGCATATACTGGTTGGTCAGGTGAGCCTTTCTCTCTTCCTTCCTCTGGGCCAGGGCAACATATAGTGGCTTGGAGCCCACAATGCGTCCATTCATCTCAGTGACTGCTTTGGTTGCTTCTTCAGGAGATGAGAAGCAGACGAAGCCAAACCCTTTGCTTCTTCCATCCTCCAGCATTACCTACAAAATGAGACCAGCTACTTAAGAAATAAGGTGTCCCTGGCTGGGTGTGATGGCTTGTGCCTGTAATCCCAGCACTTTGGAAGGCTGAGGTGGGAGGGCTGCTTGAGCTCAGGAGGTTGAGACCAGCTTGAGCAATGTAGTGAGACCTCATCTCAAAAAAACAAAGGGCCAGGCGCAGTGGCTCATGCCTGTAATCCCAGCACTTTGGGAGGCCGAGGTGGGTGGATCACGAGGTCAGGAATTCAAGACCATCCTGACCAACATGGTGCAACCCCGTCTCTACTAAAAATACAAAAATCAGCTGGGCGTGGTGGCACACACCTGTAATCCTAGCTACTCAGGAGGCTGAGGCAGGAGAACCGCTTCAACCCGGGAGACAGAGATTGCAGTGAGCCGAGATCGCGCCACTGCACTCCAGCCTGGGCGACAGAGCGAGACTCCATCTCCAAAACAAAACAAAACAAAACAAAACAAAACAAAACAAAAACACCAACCAACCAAACCAACAAAAAAAACAAAACAAACCTACAAATAGGAAAAAAAAGGATGTCCCTGGGTGGGGAGGGAACTATTCAGAAGAACCAGAAAGCCTGGGTTCTGCTGCAGTCACTGAGTCTAGGTCAGGGTTCTGGCACAGGATTTACCCCAGACCAACTAAGTCACAACCTCTAAGGTATCTAGGTGTTTTCTTTGAGTCCCCAGGTGATGCTAAAGTTCTGAAACACTATGATATGGCTAATAATAAAACCAGGAACTCAAAGATGTTTCCTGATACCTGGTGGATAGCTACTCCGGGTAACCACAAAACATCTTGAGAGTAGTACTGAGCAATTTATTTTCATATCTCATATGCTTCAAGACCTCGGTGGACAAACTCTAACAAGCTCTTACCAACGTCAGGATAACACTTTTGGAATACCACGTGTGGACAGGAGTCCTAAAATGTTCAGGTAACCAATGACTGCCACCATTAATTCAATGAGATGACCAGCTCAGAGATAGGCAGCCTAGATTCTAGTCTCACTTGCCTTCCTGAGGCTCAATTTCCAAGAAATACTCCAAACAGCTACAAAACCACAGGTCTACTGGTTCAGGCAGTCTTTTCCCACATTAAGTTCATCATTCACAAATGGCATTCTTCCTAATAGACAAGGTTATTCACTGTCTTCTCTGGTGTGACTGTCATTGTTTTATGTCTTAGTTAATGGCCCAGAGAGCCTCCTGAAGTGGAGGATAGGGAAGTAAAGAAGTGCATCACTCCATAACTCTCTACCAATGAGATGGGCCAGTAAGGTATGTGAATAAAAATGCCACACCATCATAATGAAAATGGGGACAATTCAAGGTATGGCTCTTCTGCTCTCTTAACAAATGCCAACTTGACTACTAGGCAGATAAGCAAGGATAGAAGATCACTCCTTACACTGATGAGGGCCAGTCAAGGGGGGGGTCATAGCAAAAACGAAAGGGTAAGAACTGGGCAAACCCACAGTTGGCCTCTGGCCAACTCCCTACTACAACTGATAACATTGCTTTCCACATTCCCAGGTTGGGAGCAAAGTCCACTAAGAGCCAGGGCAGGGCCACTAAGCCCTTACCAGCCCACGTGGCTTCCCTTCTCATCAACTAAAGGATTTTGTGGCATCTGGTACACCTGTTTAGCAAGACCGGCGTCTGCATCCGGCCATAACTCAAAATGTTCAGATGGCACCAGTTTCCATCCTGCTCCCAAAGTGCCAAGGACAAGCAGTACACCATCCCCATGTAGTCAGCATTCTCTTGTTCAAGGACTAAAATTCCTTATCTTTAAAATGAGGTTCCTACTTACCCTGCTAACTTAGTTGATATGATTATCAAAGAAAATCAAGCAAATGATGCACACTACGAAACATAGAAAAACCTTCCACTCCCCTTTCCTCTCTTTTTAAGACCAGGGTAGAAGTTCCCAAGCCCACCTCCAAAATCTTCAAAATACCTTCATTCTCAAGGAGAAAATGTGGCAGAGCTGTAGAGACAGGCCCCAAGACAAATGGAAAACAACCTGTCTGGATTTCCTCTGCTCATTCTGTAGCACCATCTGTCCCCACACCGGCACGAGGCAGCAAGGAATGGGAAAGATTCAGGTGCTCTGAGTTGGCAAGGAGGGGCTGGGTCAAATTCCTCTCCAGACTCCAGTGCTTGGGAAACAGTGTAATGTTAACCTAATGAAATGTCATTCTCCAGAATGCATCCAGAAATTTTGCTAGAAAAACGTAGTAGCTACTTTCAGAAATGAACATAATTTAAATGCTATTCCTTCAATGGGACAAATGCCAATAAGCCTATAATGGAATACCACTGCTTTCAATCCCCAGATCGCAGTATAATACCTTAGCACTGGTAATTGATCCAAAAGGAGAAAATTCTTTCCTTAATTTCTCATCATCAATAGTGTCATCCAAGTTCTTAATGTAGAGATTCACCCCCTGAAGGAAAAAGATCACTGTTAACTACACTTCTATATCACAAATATTCCCTAAGAAAGTGGTTCCCCAAGGGTGGCCCCAGACCAGGAGCACCAGCATCTTTGGGAACTTGTTAGAAATGAAATTCTCGGCCGGACGCGGTGGCTCACGCCTGTAATCCCAGCACTTTGGGAGGCCGAGGCGGGCGAATCACAAGGTCAGGAGATCGAGACCATCCTGGCTAACACAGTGAAACCCCGTCTCTACTAAAAATACAAAAAATTAGCCAGGCATGGTGGCGGGTGCCTGTAGTCCCAGCTACTCAGGAGGCTAAGGCAGGAGAATGGTGCGAACCCGGGAGGCGGAGTTTGCAGTGAGCCGAGATTGTGCCACTGCACTCCAACCTGGGCGACAGAGCGAGACTGTCTCAAGAAAAAAAAAAAAAAAAGAAAGAAATGAAATTCTTAGGCCAGACCCCAAACCCAATGAATAAGAAAAACTCTGGGGCTGGAGCCCAGCTATCTGTTTTAACAAGCTCTGCTGATGAATCTGATGCAAGTCCAAAGTTGTGAAACTACTGCCCTGAAACTGACAGGATCATCAGTGCACTCACCTTTTGTCACCTCTCCCCACAGCTGTTCTGGTGACCACTCACCCACCCCAGCAGGGGTCTTCTTGAAGCCATGCCAAACAAAGGAGTCTCATTTAAGTAAAAGGAACCTACATGGCTAAAAGCAACAGGCTGAGGCTTCCAAAATAGAGAGCTTCTTGATGAATAAACCCATCTCTTGTTTCTGGTTCTATAATAATCAGTCATATGTAGTAGGTATATATCCTTTTAAACCTCATCTTTTTAGGTAAAATGGGAAGAAGAACACACTCCAAGTCCTCAAAAAGAAAGCCCGCTAAACATAGGGGTGTTCTGCAAATATTTCACAGCAAATCCCATTGCTAGGCTGGGCCAAGACCACCTTACCTGATATCGACTAATTCTCTCCTGTTTCAACTGTTCAAATTTCCGTTTTAACTCTGCCTGCCGTTCTACTTTCTTTTGTGCACGGCCTACAAATATGATTTTACCACTTATTTCTTTTCCATTCATCTCTTCCACAGCCTAGAGAGGAAAAATATGTCTTTAAAATAAAGTTGCAGCGATGGGGTCTTATTCTGGAGGTCTAAGTCCCAAAAAATATTCTTTCTACTATAGGACTAAAAACTAAATTCACTCCACCTCTGAAGTCTGTCACACAAATCCAAACTTCCTCATCTGTAAAGTGAGGTTAATATTTAAATGGGTTATTGATCCAGATAATATAGAAATAGTACAGGTGTATAAACACAAGTGTGCTGACATGAGCCTAGGGCGATATAATATTCCGGCTGCCAGTAAATTCTGCAGGTGCTTTTGTGGGTATTTAAGTGATAAATATTGAGGGTCTGGCACAATGCTTTGCCCACAAGTAGCTGCCGTGCTGTTATCAAATCAGCACTCACTGGGCTTTAGTTCTCTCACCTTTGCAGCATAACAAACGTCTGTCCTATTCTTTCAACAACTGATAGCTGAGGTGACAGGTATGTGCCAAGTGCTTTGTAAACACCTACATGAAGTTAACATGCGGAACCCAGGAAGATGATCCCAGAGTATAGTAATGGTACATCTACTACCAGATACTCAGACCGTCCCAGCTCTAGGTAGGTGCTAGCAAGACCCTACCCATACTCTGGGGCAACCTCTTAAAAGCTTTTCCCAATCTTTGTGGTATACTCACCTTATTGGCATCCTCGTGTTTTTCGTAACTCACAAAGCCAAAGCCTTTGGATTTCCCATTGGGATCTCTCATCACCTTGACACTTAGGGTCTTACCTATTACCAAAGGACAGAACTATTAGTAACACCATCTTGAGCACAGCTCAGGAACAGAAGGCTTCCCTCTGGAAACTCACTTGAAGCAAATCTCTGGAGCAGTGCCCTCATCTCTTAAGAAAAAACAGATGGGTCTGGTAGACTGTGAAAGGAGACAAGGAACCCCAACTTACCAAACTGACTGAATAGCTCTTTCAGACTCTCATCATCCACCTCTTCCCCAAAGTTTTTGATATAAACATTGGTGAATTCCTTGGCTTTGGCTCCAAGCTCAGCTTCCCGCTCTTTGCGAGACTTGAATCTGCCCACAAATCTAAAATGAAACCATGAAGAACAGTAATTACCCAGAGGAATAAAACATGATGTCCAGGGACCCAAAGGAATACAGGTTAAAGACTGACAGGAGAGGTTAAAACACGAGATCCCCATCCACCACCAAGGAGGCTCAGAGATACCCCAAGTCCCCAGCAGAAAGAGAAAAAGGCAGGACTATCCTGTGAGGACCAGCCCCAGGGCTCCTGGCTTAGACCAGGGCTATTCCTACCACATCACACTGCCTTCATGAAGAAACCTGATGGCCATGTTTTTAAAATGTTCATTTCTGTGCAACTATGTAAATGCATAGAAAAGGTCTGGAAGGATACAAACCAAACTGTTAACAGTGGTTAATCCTAGATATGAGATTGTTGGAGTGAAGGGGCACCCTTTGCTTTTTAAATTTATTTATTTTGGTCTGTTATACTTAAAAGAAAATTTATCCATGCACTGACATTTTTGTATTTCTTTTTAGTGATATCTGTAGATCAACCACTGCACACACAGACATTATAAAGATAACCCATCCTCTGGCATACTGAATGACACAAAGGACAAAAATTATTTTGGCTTGTAATAGCCAAGACTTATTGTCTCTTCTTCTCCCCATATGGCTTTGGTAAGTTCCCCCTCTCTGCATTCTACAGTAACAACCACATCAAAGCAACAAGGTCTGTTATGAAGTTTTTCTGCAAAGGGATGGGATTTTTTCATTGTCACCAAGTATTACTGTGGAGCCAGCCTTGTATTAGGTCACTGAGTCATAAGTTAGAAAATGGAGAACCGCGGGGACAATTTGGCATCAACCACTAGCGAGGGACCCATGGACAGACCTGAATCACAGGAAAGCCAAGGTCACACTGCTAGTATACAGCTCCTGGTCAGTCCAGGGCCCTCTCCACTCTGCCGCTGGCCAAGACCCCGACTCAGAGTGAGCTTAGAGCTGCTTTCCAGCCAGCCCCAGTTGTTGATGCTCACAAAACCCACAGACAGATGCCTTTAAGGGAGAGGCGGCAGGCAGGCCATGGCTTGGGCAGGAAGCCCACCTTGGCGAGTCAAAAGGGCTGCCACGGCTCAGGCAGGGAGACTCACCAGCCCTGGAGTGGAGAGGTAGGAGCAGGCCACACTTGGGCCGAGAACCAGTAGCCGCCTTGTGTGTGCCAGTTAATAGCGAGGTGGGGCCACGGCTGGCTCATGCGATGGTTGTTGCTCCGGACTGGGACACTCACACTTTGCGGTCATTGAGGAGCATGCCATTCATCTTCTCGATGGCCTTGTCGGCAGCCTCTTGGGTCTCGAAGTGGACAAAGGCATAACCCTTAGAGCCGTTCTCATCACACACCACCTGTCAAAGACAAGGCGGACCACTTTAGCAGAACTGGCCAGCTCCTGAGACATGAGAACCTCAGGGTATCTTGTGCCTGAGGAGACTCTAGCCCATCCATGGCCAATGGTGGTCAAGTACACCAGTATAATTTTTCTAACACCTAGCACAGCACCAGGTGCCTAGTAAGTGTTCCATTTACAAAGGTAGCCCTACTAAGATGCTTCTATTCCAAATGTTTTATTTTTATCAAAAACAAACAAACAAAAAATACTTAAAATTGGGTGCTGTGGCTCATGCCTGTAATCCCAATGCTTTGGGAGGCCAAAGCAGGAGGATCGTTGGAGCCAGATCGTTGGACAATGGAGACCCTGTCTCTACAAAAAAGAAAAAAATTAAATGAGTGTGGTGGCACGTGCCTGTAGTTCCAGCTACTTGGGAGGCTGAGGTGGGAGGATGGCTTGAGCCCAGGAGGTCGAAGCTACAATGAGCTATTACTAGACCACTGCACTCCACCCTGGGTGACAGACAGAGCAAGACTCTGTCTCTTTAAAACACAACAACACATTTTAAGAGATCTGGGTGCAAACCACGGTGATGCAGAAAACAAAACATTTTCCAAGGCCACAACAGATTTTCAGTGTAGTATGGCATTAAACATATACACCACCACCGTTTAAGTTTTAAAGTGCTCAGCATAGAACAGATACGTAGAAGGAATAGAGTGAATTTATGCTTCTAAAGTGATTAAGTTTCCTCAAGACTAGAGACACTTCTCTGGTCCTCTACTTTCCCCCATCCCAAAAGAAAAACGTGGGCTTTCCAAAGCTAAAGAATAGGAAGGATATTTCAGGCTGAGTAAAGAACAAGGGTATGAAAGCGTGTGCTGGTTACGCTGGGTATGGCCCTGAGATTACCTATGGGAACTTTTAGGATTCCATGTCCAGCATTTTGAAAATTCCCATATCTTGTTCCCCAATTCCAAGATAGTTCTCTGTTTGGTATTTATCTTGTTTTCAAGAATCAATTAATTATTCTGCTAAAATCATTTAATCAATGTTTACCTTGCAGGACAGTATGTTTCCAAAAGCAGAAAAAGTATCATAAAGTGCCTTGTTATCTATAGATTTGTCCAGGTTCTTGATGAAGACGTTTCCCACACCAGATTTTCTCAAAGAGGGATCCCTCTGAGACCACATGATGCGGATTGGCTTTCCCTTAATCACATCAAAGTTCATGGTGTCCAAAGCCCGCTCAGCTGTAAGAGAGAAACACATTTCAATAAGGAGAGAAAACGTCAGCTCCCACAGGCCAACAGCCTAAGAACAGATTACTCCAGGACTTTTCAAGGTAATCACTCTTGATAAAAGGCAACTCTATTAAAATAAAAGGGCATCAGATTCCTCCAGCCTGCACTGTTAGTAAGGGAAGCATAAGTTCCAGCTAATGACTCTACTTCATGACAGAAGTCTAAACACCCTTCTGGGTCTGTGCCCTTGTTGGATAAAGGGGCCACAAGTAAAGATAATCTAAATGGCCTTAATGACACCAAGATCCAGTGATAATACCTCACATTTGACTAAGCTTTACCACTTAGAAGAGACTTTGCAGACTACCACCCACCATGACTCAGGTGGGACAGCTGAAATTATACATTTTACAAAATGAACAAACTTATGTTTAGGGTAACTAAGCTGTGCAGCTAGCTAGTAATTACGAAACTAATACTAGATTATCTGATTTATTTTTCAGTGAGGTATTGCATCAAAGTTATCAAGTCATTTAGTCTGCAATCCACCTATGGAGACAAGTGACAAAACCTGTAAAGCAAATGATCTGGAAAAAAAAAAAAAGGTGCTATCCCTGAATTCAGAATTCAGTCCAGTTTATTTTCAATTTCTGAGAACAGAAATTGACTTAAACAAAAAAGCATCAGTCATCAAAATGGACACAACTGATCACACATGGAAAAGTTCTCTGTACTATCACAAGGATAAAACCACCATACCTTCTGCCTAAGTAGACAGTGCGCAGATGGCAGGCCCTGCACCCACCTTTTGAAGCCTTAATGGAAGTTCTGTAGAATTCTAGGACTTCAGCTACCCTGGGTGCTCAACCAACTTCCCCATCCAACACCTTGGAATGCTTCCTTAGCTTCCCAACCAAGTCCGTGTGTACACCAGAGACAATTTAAAGAACCAAAGGCTGGGCTGGGTATGGTGGCTCACTCCTGTAATCCCAGCACTTTGGGAGGCCAAGGCGGGTGGATTACCTGAGGTCAGGAGTTCGAGACCAGCCTGACCAACATGGTGAAAACCCCATCTCTACTAAAAATACACAATTAGCTGGGCATGGTGGCGGGTGCCTGTAATCCCAGCTACTCAGGAGACTGAGGCAGGAAAATTGTTTGGACCCAGGAGTCAGAGGTTGCAGTGAGCTGAGATCGCGCCATTGCACTCCAGCCTGGGCAGCAAGAGTGAAACAGTGTCTCAAAACAAACAACAACAAAAAGAACCAAAAGCTAAAAAATAACACCACCTGCCAGCCAAAACACTTCTCATCACTAATCGCAACAAGGATGCCCAGATCTGGTGGCCACTTTTCCTTAAGGCTATGATGGCATCTCCTAACGGTGACATCACCCAGAACCTCCTCCATGAGGGGATTTAGACAGGGTCAGAGCAGTGGAACCTGCTCCTTGCCTCAGGACAACATCTCACTTAAAGGGGGGACAAAATTCCCCAACTCTGCCGCTCCACAAGCTCAACTGTTTCATTAGCCGGGAGAATTTATTTTCACTCATTATTTCCAACAACTTTCCCCACCCCCTTCAGAAGGTGGGCCTCATCTGTGTGGGGGGTAGTTGGGAAAAGGGGAGATGACAAGACCGATCCAAGTCAGGAACAGTCCAGGGAAAGAGGACTTTGCTTGTGATGGCTATCAGAGATAGATAGCTGGGATCGCAAACTATTTCATTAATTAGCAGTAAAGGAGCCCACTTCAACAACAGCTCCTCGTCTATTTCCAGACAGCACTGCACAAGGCAAGCCGGCTTAGTCTGACAAATCTGGCTGCACTTATTTATAGCAGGGAGAAGTCCTGCAGAAGTATGTGTTGGCAGACACACTGACCAATAGCTTCTGCTATCTCTAAGTGACACGACTTTTGTTCAAAAGTCAGTAAGGCAGACAACAGCTAATGTGGTACATTATCCCTTAAAAAGACCACACTCAGCTACCTTTGCGCTCCTATGGCCATGGACAGAACTCAGCTTGGAGCACACTGGATTGACAGTAGCAATACCTAGTCCCTCTCAACATGTCCAATTCTCTGGTCTCAGCCGCAACCTGGGCAGGTAGTAACTCTGGGCCTCAGACAGAAAACAAAGGGGGGACCCCAAAACTAGGGACCTGGAGATGCTTTGCCATAGAATGGCTTGTTTCTCCCAGTAATGATCTCTGCAGTTGTTCCCTTTTAATCTGGAGTCACGTGCAGCCTCTGATCAGGTTTCCTCTGGCCTCCCTCCTGCCACGCCTGCAGCATACCTCTCTCCATGCTCCACGCTAAGGCCACAATCTGAGGTGGCAGAGCACTGTGCTGGGAGTCCTAACTTGGCTTCCAACTTTTTGCATTCGTTCTCCTTCTCAGGAGTCCCATTTTCTTCAGATTAGATGAAATAAAAGGGCTCTGACTAGTGCAAAGCACTGTTACAGCTGAGGTGACAAATGACACCAGATTTTCAAGTGACGCTTCCCTAAACTACCTCCACGACACTCTACAGCACAGAGCCTGGATACCATTTGTCCAGAGTAAAGCACTTCTCCACTCCAGTGGCAAACACACAGACCAAGGAGGTGGCCTGGCACACGCAGCTTTTGTGGCACTAACCTAAGTCTCTGCGAAAGTTTAACGCACAGAAACCTTCCCCCTGCTTCCTGCCTGCCCTGACTGATCCTTTATCAGCACAACATCAGGTAGTCAAGGTTAGTAAAGGTGGCGGAGCGGGCAGGAGCTTTACAATGTAAAACTTTCGCGGGGAATTGTGTTTCAAACGTCCCGCCTTTTTGGCCAGCCTGTGAGGGGCACAAGCAAGGATCTCTAACAGCCCAGCCCCACTGACAAGGACCACACGCAGTGGAATGCCAGTGGCTTCACTCTAATCCTGTTTTACAGTCTCCTTGGTTTCCAACCCCACTACCAGCAACACTAATAAGTAGCCCAAGGTCACCCAGTTAGCAAGTGGTAGAAACAAGATTGAAACTCGAGTCATCTGATGCCAGGTCCGCGTTCTCAATCTCCGCACCCTGCTCCCAGCTTCGGTGGCAACATGCTGTCGTGATGCCGCCCTCCTCGGCAGGAGGGCCCTGCCAGAAGACGACTCCCGGGGTCCTCCGGGCTCCCACGCACGTGTGGGCACAGCTTCTACTCACCGTCGGCCGGCTGCTGGAAGTTGACGTAGGCATAGCCCAGGGAGCGGCGGGTGATCATATCGCGGCAGACCCGGATGGACAGCACAGGCCCCGCGGGGCTGAACTTTTCGTACAGCATGGCCTCGGTGACGTCCGAATGCAGGTCGCCCACGTACAGGGAGGCCATGGGGTAGCTGCTGGCCGCAGCGTTCATCTCCCCGCCCCCCACCACCCCGAGCCCCGCCAGGAGGACTTCTTATCGGGCCCGCCGCAGGACAAAGGGGCGCCTTCGGAGCCCGGGCCCGCGCCGCGGCTCACAGGTGGCACCGGCGCGGCGAGGACGAGCTGGAGTCGGCGGGCTTGGAGACGGGACGGAAACGGGAGGCGGGGGCCGGCTCCCACGGCCGCAGCACCGCAGACAAAAGGCTCTCCGCACAATACGGCCCTCCCCGCGACTTTGCACTTCTCCGCGGTCCTGGTGCGAAGCTCCAAATTTCAAAAAATCAAAGTAGGAAAAAAATTAAACGGGGAATCCCCTTCCGAAGGGTAAAAATCCTTTAAGAGGCGACCGGACGCTGCCCACGGCGGCCTCGGGGACACGCGTTTCTCTATAAATATAGGCCTCGGGCTCCGGCGGTTTAAGATTACAACCGCCGGGGCAGAGGGAAACCAAATCTTTGTGGGCGCCGACTCGGCGAGCCCCGGGCGGGCGGCGAAGGGCAGCACGGACACGTGGTGCGCCGGGGCAGGCGCGGGGCGCGGGGCTCGGGGCCCGAGCGGGGGGAGGGCACGGCGGGCCGGGCGGGCGGCTCACCCCCGGACCGACGGACGGAGACCGACGGACGCCAAGCGCTGCGGCGGCGGGCGCGGGGCAGGCCGGAAGCGTACGAAAGTGACTTCCCCGCGGGTTCTCCGAGGATTCGTTTTTTCTTTTCCTTTTTTTTTTTCAGGATTTTGAAGCGTTTTCAGATTTTTTTTATCTTTTTCTCTTTTTTTCCTCAGGCTGCGAAGCCCGAAAGCGGCGGAGGCGGCAGCGACCCGGGGCGGAGAGAGGCGGCCGAGGGAGCCACCGCTCCATTTATACCCGCCCGCCCCGGGCGCTGCTGGTCGAAGGGCGCCTCGCGACCTGGGCGCAGTCGTGCCCGCCCACTCGGCCCGGGGGCCCGAGGCGGGGCGGCCACGCGAGAGCGACCCGGCGCGGCCGCGCGGCGCTACAGCGACCCCTGGCGCCGGGAGGACCGCCCAGCTCGCGGCTGCGGGAGACCCCAGGGCCCCTTTCTATAACAAATAAATCTTAACACCCTCCCACCCATCACCCGGGAATGGAACCTAGGAGCCATTTAACCTGCACACACGCATGAGGTTTAAAATTAAATGGTATGGGGCTGGGTGCAGTGGCTCACGCCTGTAATCCCAGCACTTTGGGAGGCCGAGGCGGATGGATCATGGAGGTCAGGAGATCGAGACCATCCTGGCTAACGCGGTGAAACCCCGTCTCTACTAAAAATACAAAACATTAGCCGGGCGTGGTGGCATGCGCCTGTAGTCCTAGCTACTCGGGAGGCTGAGCAGGAGAATAGCTTGAACCCGGGAGGCGGAGGTCGCGGTGAGCCAAGATCGTGCCACTGCACTCCATCCAGCCTGGGCAACAGAGTGAGACTCCCTCTCAAAAAAAAAAAAATTAAATGGTATGCCAAATTGTGAAATGAAGGTGACATAAAATAAGTTAAAATAAAATAATAGGTGGTCCAATAGGTAAATGTCTGGGTCCAAATACAATAAAGATTTGAGAAGTTTTCAGGATACCGTTGACCTAGAGGTAGAATCGTCAGGAACTAGAAATGCAAGCAGTATCCATGGGTGATGGGATTTTCTGAAAAGATGAGCACATTTTGGTAAAGCTTCAATGAAACCAAACACAAGCATCCCCTCTATTGACATGCTGGTGGCATTCCCGGACATTTAGTTTGTGTTTAAGGGCACAGAAATACTTTCTGTTCCTATGTTTAAAGTTTCTTCTAGGCTTGGATAATTATAAAAAGACTTTTCATCTGCATGAGAGTCTGGCAGGTCATTTGAAAGTCGTATCACAGGCCAGGCGTGGTGGCTCACGCCTGTAATCCCAGCACTTTGGGAGGCCGAGGCGGGCGGATCACTGAGGTCGAGAGTTCGAGACCAGCATGACCAACATGAAGAAACCCCCGTCTCTCCTAAAAATACAAAAAGTAGCCAGACATGGGGGTGCATGCCTGTAATCCCAGCTACTCAGGCGGCTAAAGCAGAAGAATCGCTTGAACCCGGCAGGCAGAGGTTGTGGTGAGCTGAGATCATGCCATTGCACTCTAGCCTGGGCAACAAGAGCGAAACTCCGTCTCAAAAAAAAAAAAGTCATATCACTTTATAGGACTATGTTATATGGGACTGTC
The DNA here is from genome assembly GCF_000001405.40 of Homo sapiens. NCBI lineage: Eukaryota > Metazoa > Chordata > Mammalia > Primates > Hominidae > Homo > Homo sapiens. The sequence continues at coordinate 39,578,164 of NC_000001.11, forward strand.
CACACGCATTACAAGATATATAGCATCCCTTCTTCCATAAGTGCCAGGAACCACCTTTGCCATCACTGTGAAAACCAAAAACAGAAATTGCCAAAAGACACAGACATCCCCCTTCAAAAGCACTGATTTAAGTAAATGACTAAAGAAATATGTGTATTTATATATTAATTAATTCAAATAAATGGTTAATCTGAGCCTACTCTATGCCAATGTCAATACAGGGGCTGGAGATACCATGGTGGACCAGAAGTCACTCCCTCTCTCATGGAGTTTATATTCTAATAACTATATTAAATCAAGAAACATTGGCTGGGCACGATGGCTCACACCTGTAATCCCAGCACTTTGGCAGGCTGAGGTGAGCGGATCACCTGAGGTCAGGAGTTCGAGACCAGCCTGGCCAACATGGTGAAACCCCATCTCTACTAAAAATACAAAATTAGCCGGGCATGATGGCACGTGCCTATAGTCCCAGCTACTTGGAAGGCTGAGGCAGGAGAATCGCTGGAACCCAGGAGGCAGCGGTTGCAGTAAGCTGAGATCATGCTACTGCACTCCAGCCTGGGTGACAGAGCGAGACTCCGTCTCAAAAAAAAAGGAACATTTATGGGAGTGCTCCTTCTATAGATTCCCTCCTCAGGAAAGTCTTCCTAGACCTCCTGTGGTCTAAAGTAGCCGTCAACATTGTTAATCACTATCACACCAACTTGTCTTCTTGTCTTCAAGCCTGTTATTCCTACCCAAAATTATGTTGTTCTATATCTGTTTACCTGTTTAGTATCTATCTTTTCCACATTGGTATATAAGCTTCATGAGAACAGGAATCTAGAATAGTGCTTAACATAGCACGTACTAAATGTTCAGTAACTGGCCAGGCAGGTGGCTCACACCTATACTCTCAGTGCTTTGGGAGGCTGAGGCAGGAGGATCGCTTGAGCCCAGACATTTGAAACCAGCCTGGGCAACAGAGTGAGACCCTATCTCTACAAAAAAAAATTTTCTTTTAATTGGCTGGGTGTGGGGACACATGCCTGTGGTCTCAGCTACTTGGGAGTCTGAGGTAGGAGGATCGCTTGAGGCCAGGAGTTGAAGGCTGTAGTGAGCTATGATCATGTCGCTGCACTCCAGGCTGAGCAACAGAGTGAGACTCTGTTACTAAAAAATAAATAGATAAATAAATATTCAATATATGTTTGTGTGTGTGTGTGTGTGTGTGTGTGTGTGTGTGTGTGTTTTCTTGTTTTTTTTGTGGGGGGGGTATGAAATCTTCCTCTGTCACCGAGGCTGGAGTGCAGTGGTGCAGTCTCGGCTCACTGCAACCTCTGCCTCCCAGGTTCAAGCAATTCTCATGCCTCAGCCTCCCAAGTAGCTGGGATTGCAGGCATGCGCCACCACACCTGGCTATTTTTTTTTTTGAAACCAACTCTCGCTCTATTGGCAGGCTGGAGTGCAGTACTGCGATCTAGGCTCACTGCAACTTCCGCCTCCCGGATTCAAGCAATTCTCCTGCCTCAGCCTCCCGAGTAGCTGGGACTACAGGTGCGTGCCACCACACCTGGCTAATTTTTGTATTTTTAGTAGAGATGGGGTTTCACCATGTTGGCCAGGATGGTCTCAATCTCTTGACCTTGTAATCTGCCCGCCTCGGCCTCCCAAAGTGCTGGGATTACAGGGGTGAGCCACCACGCCCAGCCTTTTTTTTTTTTTTTTTTTTTTTGAGACAGAGACTTGCTCTGTCACCCAGGCTGGAGTGCAGTGGCGTGATGTCGGCTCACTGCAACCGCCACCTCCCGGATTCAAGTGATTCTCCTGCCTCAGCCTCCCAAGTAGCTGGAATTACAGGCACCCACCACTATGCCCAGCTACTTTTTGTATTTTCAGTAGAGATGGGATTTCACCATGTTGCCCAGGCTGGTCTCCGACTGCTGACCTCAGGTGATGTATTCGTCTCGGCTTCCCCAAGTGCTGGGATTACAGGCGTGAGCCACACACCCAGCCTGTGTATTTTTTTTTTTGTTTTTTTGTTTTTTTTGAGACTGGGTCTCGCTCTGTTGCCCAGGCTGGAGTGCAGTGGCGCGATCTTGGCTCACTGCAAGCTCTGCCTCCCGGGTTCACGCCATTCTCCTGCCTCAGCCTCCCGAGTAGCTGGGACCACAGGTGCCCACTACCACGCCCGGCTAATTTTTTGTATTTTTTAGTAAAGATGGGGTTTCACTGTGCTAGCCAGGATGGTCTTGATCTCCTGACCTCGTGATCCGCCCACCTTGGCCTCCCAAAGTGCTGGGATTACAGGCATGAGCCACTGCATGTATTTTTTTTTAAGCAACAAAGTCTCACTGTGTTGCCCAGGCTGGAGTGCAGTGGCCTGATCATAGCTCACTGCAGCCTCAAACTCCTGACCTCAAGCGATCCACTTTGGCTTCTTAAAGTGTTGGGATTACAGGCATAAACCACTGCACCTGGCCTAAATATTTGTTAAATAAACAAATGAATACTAGGCACAGATGAGCAAAACCCACACAAGCTCTGACCTCCTGAAGCTTATTGTCTATTGGGGGAGCTTATTACCTATATTACTTTGGGCAAGCTAGTTCACATCTCTGACCCTCAAATTTCTCATCTGAACTATACTAATAAACCTTATTAACAATTAAAAGGGTTATTGTGAGAATAAATGAATACATATAAATACACATAAATTGTTTGGATTAATTTTTTTTTTGAGATGTCTCACTTTGTCGCCCAGGCTGGAATGCAGTGGTGCGATCTCAGCTCACTGCAACCTCTGCCTCTCAGGTTCAAGCGATTCTCCTGCCTCAGCCTCCCTAGTAGCTGGGACTACAGGCATACATCGCCACACTGGGCTAATTTTTTGTATTTTAGTAGAGACAGGTTTTCACAATGTTGCCCAGCCTGGTTGCGAACTCCTGAGCTCAGGCAATCCGCCCCCACCTCAGTCTCCCAAAGTGTTGGGATTACAGGTGTAAGCCACCATGTGCCCAGCCTTGGATGAATGTTAATAGCTATTACTATCAAGCTACATTTGTACTAAGAAAGGAGGCGGAGGCCGGGCGCGGTGGCTCACGCCTGTAATCCCAGCACTTTGGGAGGCTGAGGCAGGCAGATCACCTGAGGTCAGGAGTTCGATACCAGACTGACGGACATGGAGAAACCCCATCTCTACTAAAAAAACAAAATTAGCCAGGCGTGGTGGTGCATGCCTGTAATCCTAGCTACTCCAGAGGCTGAGGCTGGAGAATCACTTGAACCGGGGAGGTGGAGGTTGCGGTGAGCCGAGATTGCGCCATTGCACTCCAGCCTGGGCAACAGGAGTGAAACTCTGTCTCAAAAAAAAAAAAAAAAAGTAAAATAAAAAGAAAGGAGGGGAGTCCCTAAATGAAGTCAGGGAGAACAGCATCTATAAAGGCCCTAAGTGCCAGGCGTGGTGGCTGCCGCCTGTAATTGCCTGTAATTCCAGCACTTTGGGAGGCCAAGGAGAGCAGATCACCTGAGGTCAGGAGTTTGAGACCAGCCTGACCAACATGGTAAAACCCCGTCTCTACTAAAAATAGAAAATTAGCCGGATGTGGTGGCAGGTGCCTATAATCCCAGCTACTTGGGAGGCTGAGGGAGGAGAATCATGTGAATCCGGGAGGCAGAGGTTGCAGTGAGCCAAGGTTGTGCCACTGCACTCCAGCCTGGGCGACTGAGAGAGACTCTGTCTGAAAAAAAAAAAAAAGCCCTAAGGGAGACAAACTGTGGAGTTGTGGGAAATGAAAGAGATGGCCTTAAAACACTTAGGATTTTATCCTCAGATCAAAGAGTAAAGCTGCAGGATTTTAAGAGCAAAGTGCCTTCGCTCAAATTACTTTTTTCTTTCTTTTTTTTTTTTTTGTTTTGAGAGGGAGTCTCACTCTGTCGCCCGGGCTGGAATGCAGTAGTGGGATCTCCACTCACTGCAAACTCCGCCTCCCGGGTTCACGCCATTCTGCTGCCTCAGCCTCCCGAGTAGCTGGGACAACAGGTGCCTGCCACCACGCCCGGCTAATTTTCTGTATTTTTTAGTAGAAATGGGGTTTCACTGTGTTAACCAGGATGGTCTTGATCTCCTGACCTCGTGATCCGCCCGCCTGGGCCTCCCAAAGTGCTGGGATTACAGGCGTGAGCCACTGCGCCCAGCCCAAATTACTTTTTTCTTTTTGAGACAGGGTCTCTCTCTGTTGCCCAGGCTGGAGTGCAGTGGCACAGTCATGGCTCACTGTAGCCTCAACCTCCTAGGCTCAAGCGATCCTCCTGCCTCAGCCTCCTGAGTAGCTGAGACCACAGGTACACACCACCACACCCTGCTAATTTATTTTTTGTAGAGATGTGGTCGCACTATGTTGCTCATGCTGGTCTCGAACTCCTGGGCTCAATCGATCCTCCCCTCCACGGCCTCCCAAAGTGTTGGGATTACAGGCCTGAGTCACTACACCTGGCCCCCTCAAGTTACATTTTTAAAAAACCTAGGCCGGGCACGGTGGCTCACACCTGTAATCCTAGCACTTTGGGAGGCCAAAGCGGATGGATCACAAGGTCAAGAGATCGAGACCATCCTGGCCAACATGGTGAAACTCCGTCTTTACTAAAAATACAAAATAGCTGGGCGTGGTGGCATGTGCCTGTAGTCTCAGCTATTCGGGAGGCTGAGGCAGGAGAATCACTTGAACCCAGAAGGAGGAGGTTGCAGTGAGCTGACACAATGCCACTGCACTCCAGCCTGGCAACAAAGTGAGACTCTGTCTCAAAAAAAAAAAAAAAAACCTGTCTGACTGCAAATGGAAAAGGATTAGAGGATAGGTACAAGGAGACCTATGAGGCGATGGCTGCTAAGGTGGTGGCCATGGAGGTGGAGGATGTGTGTCAATTAGGGACATACTTAGTATAATTTCTGATTAATTGGATGTAGGAGGTGAGAGAGTGAGGAGTCAAGGACGGCTCCCAAGTTTCTGGGAAACCAAAACAATTTCGATTCCTTGCATCTAAACACAAGGTTATCACTGAATTAGTCTTAGAGGGGAAAGATATGCAAAGCTACCAGAGGAGTCACCCAGACTCCAGGTCTGCAAAATCTAAACAGGCCTTCATGGGACAAAAAGTAGGGTTGGAAGAGGCTGGACAAGTAACCAGGCTAGTGATCTGAAAGGAGGCTTGTGCACATCAGTACAAATCTGCCCTTGCTGGGGTGGGAAGTGGTATGATTTTTTTTTTTCCACTGGGACTGAACCTATTCTTGGTGGGTCTATACTTGAGAGATGGTCTTGACATGTCAAGAGAAAGAATATGTTCAGGGTTGGGAAGAGGAAGAAGGAAGAACTTCAAGGTGGGGAGATGGATATAGAGGCTGCTCTCTGCAGCTATTTTTTTTTTTTTTTTTGAAACGGAGTTTCGCTCTTATTGCCCAGGCGGAGTGCAATGGCACGAACTCGGCTTACCATAGCCTCCGCCTCCTGGGTTCAAGCAATTCTCCTGCCTCAGCCTCCTGAAAGCTGAGGATTTTACACGTAGCAGAAATGTAAGAGCTTTGCCTTCTGGCATCATTTGTTTGTTCACTCAGCAAACTTATGTGGCATTCCTAAGAGCCAGGTTCTCTCTGCTCTGGGTGCTGGGGACAGAACTGTGAGCTAAACGTTCACCGAACAACCTCTTCTTGGAGAGAGTGAGAGAGACAAGCAGTGTGTGTGTGTAAGTTGTTGGAAAAAGCTTTGAATCTGAAGGTAAGAGCAAGGAAACCCCAGCCCCATCCACCCAGCAGGAGGCCAATTCTCCTCACAAAACCTCGATTTCCTGTAAGCAGCAATGGTTCTGCCACTCAGGGAGGAAGACTCTCCTTGTCCAGAGACAGGGTCTCTGAAATCCTAGAGGTCTGGCCCAAGCACCAAGACAGGCTGCACAACTGTAGACAGTAGTTGTCACATCTCCAAGCCTCCCATCTGTGTGATGAGCTCAGTAAGTCCTTTTAAGAATAGAGACCAGGCTAACACGGTGAAACCCCATCTCTACTAAAAATACAAAAACTTAGTCGGGCGTGGTGGCGGGCGCCTGTAGTCCAGCTACTCGGGAGGCAGAGGCAGGAGAATGGCGTGAACCCGGAAGGCGGAGCTTGCAATGAGCCGAGATCGCGCCACTGCACTCCAGCTTGGGTGACACTGCGAGACTCTGTCTCAAAAAAAAAAAAAAAAGAAAAAAAAGTCGGTTAGGTCAAAAGGGCTCTGCCCCTATGAATGGATTAATGCTGTTATCAAAGGAGTGGGTTCCTGATAAAAGGAAGAGCTGGGCCCTTTCCCTCCCCACCACACACTCCCTCACCTTTCCACCTTCTGCCATGGGATGACAGAAGGCCCTGGCCAGATGCAGGCCCTTCAGTCTTGGGTTTCCCAGCCTCCAGAACTGTGAGAAATAAATCTCTGTTCTTTATAAACTACCCAATCTGTGGTATTCTGTTATAGCAGCACAAAACGGATGAAGACACCAACATTTATTGAGCACCTACTATGTGTCAAGATCATTTTCAGACCTCAAACCAGGACTAAATGTGTGTGTGGCATGACCAAGAACCAGATATTAAAAGCTGAAACAAATGTGGAAAATCCATCATCTGTGGAGATCAGGGGTATGAACGAGGAGAATCATAACTGCTATTCTCCTGTTCAAGTCCCCAGGCTGAACACTGGCTACAAAGATGAGTAAGACATTATTCCTTTCCTGGAATTGGTCACAGTCTAGTGACCAACTGACTCCTGGATCAATTATTACATCCCAAGGCATATGGAGATGGGCGCCACAGACAGGGTCTCCAGGCAAAAGAGAGAGGTTTTTTGTTTGTTTGTTTGTTTGTTTGAGGCAGAGTCTCGCTGTGTCGCTCAGGCTGGAGTGCAGCGGTGCAATCTTGACTCACTGCAGCCTCTGCCTCCCGGATTCAAGCAATTCTCCTGCCTCAGCCTCCTGAGTAGCTGGGATTACAGGCACGCGCCACCACACCCAGCTAATTTTTGTATTTTTAGTAGAGACGGGGTTTCACCATGTTGGTCCGACTGCTCTCAAACTCCTGACCTTGTGATCCACCTGCTCGGCCTCCCAAAGTGCTGGGATTACAGGCGTGAGCCACCGCGCCTGACCAAAAGAGAGAGATTATCTGTACCAAGGGTGATCAGGGAAGGCTTCCTGGAGGTGGTCATGGAGCTGGACCTTTAGAAGATAGTTGCTGTTGTTGTTGTTTTTGTAGAGACGTGGTCTCACTATGTAGTTCAGGCTGGTTTTGAACTCCTCAAGAGATCCTCCCACCTCAGCCTCCTAAAGTGCTAGGACCACAGGTGTGAGCCACCACGCCTGGCCAAGAAGATAGTGTTTTGGAGTGGAAGTGGGAAGAGCATTCTGCAAACAGAAGGCCAGAGGCAGACAAGCCATTTATTGGCTTGGGTAAGTCATTTCCCAGTCCTTGGCCTTAGTTTCCTCATCAATGGATTAGAAATGGTATAAGATAATATATGTAAACCTTTACACGGTGCTAGGCACACAGGAAGCATTTAATGTACAGTGGATAATAATACTATATTATTATAATGTGACATTTTCAAGGTTGCTGTGAGCAGCTGAATAGGACTAGAACTCAGAAGTGTGTATGTGTGTGTGCATGTGTCTAGTGAGGAAGGAAACTGCAAAGTAAAGTTGAGATCTTGCAGGGGTCCTTGAATGCCATCTACAGTATGGCCTTTCCCAGAAGTAATTGACCCAATACTATTATTTGGAAATAATGACAGAAACAGACAATACTACACAGTGCTTCCTACACGCCAGGCACTGCTGTAGGCCCTGTGGAGTAACTGGCCAAGATAACAAAGCTGGCAAGAGTGGGTTGAGACTTAAATATTTTATTGCTCTAATTCCAATGCTGCCTACAATCACTTGAGGGTAGGAGTTCAAGACAAGCCTGGGCAACATAGCAAGACCCCATTTCTACAAACATTTAAAAAATTAGCCAGAGCCGGGCACGGTAGCTGATGCGTGTAATCCCAGCCCTTTGTGTGGCCGGGCGGATCACCTGAGGTTGGGAGTTCAAGACCAGACTGACCAACATGGAGAAACCCCGTCTCTACTAAAAATACAAAAACATTAGCTGGGTATGGTGGTGCATGCCTGTAATCCCAGCTATTCGGGAGGCCGAGGCAGGAGAATTGCCTGAACCCGGGAGGCAGAGGTTGCAGTGAGCCAAGATTGCGCCATTGCACCCCAGCCTGGGCAATAAGACCGAAACTCTGTCTCAAAAAAAAAAAAAAAAATTAGCCAGGCATGGTGGCATGCACCTATAGTCCTAGCTACTTGGGAAGCTGAGGCAGGAGGATCACTGGATCACTTGAGCCCAGGAATTTGAGGCTGCAGTGAGCCGTGATCACACCACTACATTCCAGCCTGGGTGACAAAGCAAGACCCTGTCTCTAAAAATAAATAAATAACCAAAAACTAACATTTACTGGGGCTTACATGCATCATTTTCTTTTCTTTTCTTTTTTTTTTTTTTTGAGATGGAGTTTCTCTCTTGTTGCCCAAGCTGGAGTGCAATGGCGTGATCTCGGCTCACTGCAACTTCTGCCTCCCGGGTTCAAGCGATACTCCTGCCTCAGCCTCCCGAGTAGCTGGGATTACAGGTGCACACCACCATGCCCGGCTAATTTTTTTTTTTTTTTAGTAGAAACAGGGGTTCACCATGTTAGCCAGGCTGGTCTCGAACTCCTGACCTCAGGTGATCTGCCCGTCTTGGCCTCCCAAAGTACCGGGATTACAGGTGTGAGCCACTGTGCCCGGCCTCATGATTTTACTTAATGTTCACAACAGTCAAGGAAAGTAGGTATCATCACTACTTTGCAGAGAGAGACCTGAGGCTCAGGCAGTTGAGTAAACTGCTTATGGCCTGGCCCCTGGCAGCTGGTAGAAAAGTGTGGCAATCACGGGCCGGGCGCGGTGGTTCACGCCTGTAATCCCAGCACTTTGGGAGGCTGAGGCGGGCAGATCACAAGGTCAGGAGATCAAGATCATCCTGGCTAACACGGTGAAACCCCGTCTCTACTACAAAAATACAAAAAATTAGCCGGGCGTGGTGGTGGGCGCCTATAGTCCCAGCTACTCAGGAGGCTGAGGCAGGAGAATGGCGTAAACCCAGGAGGCAGAGCTTGCAGTGAGCCAAGATCCCGCCACTGCACTCCAGCCTGGGCGACAGAGCGAGACTCCGTCTCAGAAAAAAAAAAAAAGAAAAGAAAAAAGAAAAGAAAAAGAAAAGTGTGGCAGTCACGGAAGTGTGCTACTCCTAACTCCTTCAAGAGACGCTGCCGTGGGGTGTGTACTTGATTGATAGCTATTGTCCCTTTGGATCCCCTGTCACATTCACGTAGGGACTATGCTTCCACCAGGCCACTCCAGCCAATGGTGAGCATAGTGGAAGCATAAATGCCAGCCTATTCCTGCCTGGCATGGGACTCTCCTAATACATATCCATTGCTTGAGAACTTATCTACCAGGACAACATTTTCTTAAAACTGTGCTACAGTGTGAAGCAATTTGTACCCAACCTTCTCTTCCACTTTTTTGCAAAGCTGACAAAGATTCTTGGCTTGGCCAAACTTTAGTCAGGTTTTTTTTTTGTTTGTTTTATTTGAGGTGGAGTCTCGCTCTGTCATCCAGGCTAGAGTGCAGTGGCATGATCTCGGCTCACTGCAACCTCCGCTTCCTGGGTTCAAGCAATTCTCGTGCCTCAGCCTCCCAGGTAGCTGGGGTCACAGGTGCATGCCACCACGCCAGGCTAATTTTTGTGTTTTTCGGTAGAGATGAGGTTTCGCCATGTTGGCCAGGCTGGTCTTGAACTCCTGACCTCAAGCAATCTGCCCGCCTCGGCCTCCCAAAGTGCTGGGATTACAGGCGTGAGCCACTGCGCCCAGCCTAGTCAGACTTCTGAAACTTCTCCTAGGCCAATCCGTGCACTTCCTTGTAAAATACAGCTTTAATAAAAGAACGCTGCTGAGTCAGTTTAGCCAACCCCCCCGACCCCAATCCGTAATATCAGATTCCTTATTTTCCACCATCCCCAAGGTGATGTCTGATCACCCAGGCCTGCATTCAGCAAGAATCCTGTTAGGTCTGTTTAGCCAGAATTCTCCTTACTTCTGATACTTCCTCTTAGAAATTTTCCATCCACTGACCCCCACCCTGCTCCTTGGCAGTAAATTCCCTCTTGTCCATGCTGTATTCAGAGTGGAGCCCAATCTCCCCCACTGCAAGATGGTCCTGAGTAAAGTTTCCTTACCATGTTTTAACGAGTATCCTTGAACAATTTTGTTCTTTAACACAACTATCAGACGTGCATCATGGTATGAAGGCTTGCCCCACCTACTTCTACTCCCTTCCCCTCCCTTTTTCCTTACAGGAATTCCCCAAATAAATTTCTTGCACATCCTACCCCATTTTGGTGTCTGTTTCTGAGGACCCAAACTAACACAGACTCTCAACGATTGTGCCTCTTGTGGATGGCCCTTAAGGTAGACAAAGCATTTCTTTTTTTTTTTTTTGGAGACCGAGTCTTGCTCTGTTGCCAGACTGGAGTGCAGTGGTGAGATCTTGGCTCACTACAACCTCCACCTCCTGGGTTCAAGTGATTCTCCTACCTCCTCCTCCCAAGTAGGGGGGATTACAGGTGTGCACCACCATGCCCAGCTAATTTTTGTATTTTTAGTAGAGACGGGGGTTTCACCATGTTGGCCAGGATGGTCTCGATCTCTTGACCTCGTGATCCGCCCGCCTCGGCCTCCCAGAGTGTTGGGATTACAGGCCTGAGCCTCCACGCAGGCCTTCCTTTTTTTTTTATGGGGTCTCACTCTGTTGCCCAGGCTGGAGTGCAGTGGCACAATCACAGCTCACTGCAGCCTCGACCTCATGGGCTCAAACAACCCTCCCACCTCAGCCTCCTGAGTAGCTGGGACTACAGGTGTGTGCCATCATGTCCAGCTAATTAAAAAAATTTTTTCTGGGGCCTGGTATGGTGGCTCACTACTGTAATCCCAGCAGTTTGAGAGGCCGAGGCGGGTGGATCACCTGAAGTCAGGAGTTCAAGAGCAGTCTGGCCAACATGGTGAAACCCCATCTCTACTAAAAATACAAAAACTAGCCAGGCATGGTGGCGTGCGCCTGTAGCCACAGCTACTCGGGAGGCTGAGGCAGGCAGATTGCTTGAACCCAGGAGGCGGAGGTTGCAGTGAGCCAAGATTGTGCCACTGCACTCCAGCTTGGGCGACAGAATGACATGCCATCTCAAAAAAAAAAATAATATTTTTTTTAGAGACGTGGTCTCACTATATTGCCTATGTTGCCAAGCTTGGTCTTGAACTCCTGGGCTCAAGCAATCCTTCTGCCTCAGCCTCCCAAAATGTTGGGATTACAGGCATGAGCCACAGTGCCCTGCTGGCAAAGCAGTTCATACCCACAAATTCATCTCATGTCAACAGGAAGCATGTTCAGCAACCCAGTTCCTGAGCACCTGGGACCAGGAGCCTGTCATGAAAGTCTGGTGACCAAAAGCAGGAAGAGGGATGCTCAGGAGAGAAGGGGACTTGCATGCTGCCCAGGATAGCTCTGCAGGCAAGCGGCTCAGCTTCCTGACCCATGATCTGGCTCTGACCCAGAAACAGATCCAGAGAAAAGAAGCCTCAGCAGTCTCCACTTACAGCTGTACCAAATCATCCCTTAAAAGTAGCCAGCTGGCTGGGCGCGGTGGCTCACGCCTGTAATCCCAGCACTTTGGGAGGCCGAGGCAGGTGGATCACGAGGTCAGGAGATCAAGACCAGCCTGGCCAACATGGTGAAACCCCGTCTCTACTAAAATACAAAAAATTAGCCGTGCATGGTGGTGCGTGCCTGTAATCCCAGCTACTCGGGAGGCTGAGGCAGGAGAATCACTTGAACCCAGGAGGCTGAGGTTGCAGTGAGCCAAGATCTCGCCACTGCACTCTAGCCTGGCGACAGAGCGAGACTCCATCTCAAAAATAAACAAACAAATAAATAAATAAATAATAAAAATAAAAACAGCATCCAGACTCTTTACTGTGGTTTGCAGGCCCTGCATGTGCTAACTGATTCTTGCCTCCTCAGTCTCATTCCACTTCATGCCTTCTTTATGATGCTCCAGCCACACAGCTCTTTTTTCTGCTCCTTGAACCCTTTGCATTTCAGGGCCTTTGCAAATTGCTCTTCCCTCTGCGTGGAAGGCTCTTTGCCCGATTCTTTACTGCCTGGCTCATCTTCACTCTGTAGGTGCCCCTTCAATATCACCTCCCACCAGAGGCCTTTCATGCCAATCCCATCTAAGATAGCACCGCCTCCACTTTGCTTTGCTACTTACCTTCTCTGCCTATTGTTCTCTAACAATTCTAGCACACCTGTCTTACTAGACTATAAACCGCACAGAGTCAGGCGACAATGTCTTCTCCACCATTGTGTCCCTACTGTCTAACACAATGTCTGGAATGGAGTAGTTGCTCCAGAAATGTTGGCTGAGTGAACAAATGACCACATAGGCTAGTGAGTCATCAGCATTTGCATGATGGCAGAAGTCGGCGGAGAGGAGAAGGTGAAACACTGGAACCCTTTGGAATGCCTGCACTGAAGGGCCAGTGAGGGGGCTGAGGAGTAGCCCGAGGGGTGGCAACGGTGGCAGTGGTGCTAGCTAGGTGGGATTTCCAACTGTAAATCCAACCAGGGAGGCTTTTCAAGATGGCAGTGACTAGAGGGTGTTTGTTGCTGAAGATAAGCTGGTTGAAGGGAGAAGATGGAAGATCCCGGAGAGAGTGAAGTGTCATGTGGCGAAGTTCCCAGGGAATAAGGAGGGGGTGGGACCTGGGGCTCTAGGGGAGGCATTCAGCCAGGACAGAAGAGTGTGTTGCCTTCCACTGTTCCTCCCAAGGAGGAGAGGAAAGAAACAAAGGATGGGAGGAGGATTCTGGAAAGGGGAGGCAGCTCCTGGTGGATGACCTGTTTTCTGGAAAAATTGGCTGAGAATGAGGGGTGCTGAAGTGGGCAAAGGGTGCAGATCATATCTTATTTGCCTTTCTGGAGCATTTGATACCATTGCCTGCCTCCTCCATGGAATGTTTCCCTTCCTTGGCGTCTGTGAGTTGACTTACATCTCCCCAACTCCATTTCACAAACACTGGTGTCTTCTGGGACCAGGCTCTGTGCTACGTTGCTGGGGATACAATAGAGACCAAAACAGCCCTGACTTCCACCTTCCTAGAGCTTATGGCCTAGTGGGGAGACAGATATTATTCAATTATTCACACAACTTCTTTTACCTCTCCAGTTGCCCCTTCTCAGAAATGTCTTTACAAGTTGGTCTTTCTCTATCATCCCTTACACGGTCCTGTTTCTTACTGTTAGGTGCTCTCTCCCCATGTAATATCAATGGTTCTTAAAGTGTGGCCTCTGGGCCAGCAGACTCACAGTCACCTGGGAATGCCCAAGACTTACTGAATCAGGGCCAGGCACGGTGGATCACACCTGTAATCCTAGCACTTTGGGAGGCCGAGGTGTGTGGATCACGAGGTCAGGAGATCGAGACCATCCTGGCTAAGACGGTGAAACCCCGTCTCTACTAAAAATACAAAAAATTAGCCGGGCCTGGTGGTGGACACCTGTAGTCCCAGCTACTTGGGAGGCTGAGGCAGGAGAATGGCACGAACCCGGGAGGTGGAACTTGCAGTGAGCCGAGATCACGCCACTGCACTCCAGCCTGGGCAACAGAGCGACACCCTGTCTCAAAAAAAAAAAAAAAAAAAAAAAGACTTACTGAATCAGAAACTTCAGGAGTGGGAGCTCAGCTCAGCAATGTGTGTTTGTTTGTTTTAAGATACATGATGGTGGGAGTCTCACTACATAGCCCAGGCTGGTCTTGAACTCCTGGGCTTAAGCGATCCTCCTGCCTCAGCCTCTGGAGTAGCTGGGACTGCAGGCTCATACTACTATGCCTGGCAGCAATCTGTGCTTTAGCAATCCCTCCAGGTCATTCTGCTGCAAGTGCAAGTTTAGACCTGACTCTGTATGCTGCTCTCCCTGGGTGGTTTCCTCTAATCGCCTGGCTTTGATTACTATCCACGCCAGTGACCCCCACAGGTGCATCCACAGCCCAGCTCCACTCTAGCGAGCTCCAACATGCTCCCTGGATGAACCATGGGCCACCTGAAGTTCATGAAGCCCCAGGCTGAACTGAGGGTCTTCCCCTGCCCCTCCTCTTGTGTCCCTGCCTGGTGTATTCAACACCGCAGGCACTTCCTCTGGGCCCTGATGGTGACACTCAGGCCTTTAGTCTCCAGGCTCTCCTCCAAGCACTCCTCCCTGGTGTATGACATCCCCTCCAGCTACCCTGGCCCTTTGGGTCTTTGCATTAGCTGTATCTTTATTCCAGGACTCACTTTCTCTGGCTGGAGCCTTTCTCATCCTCCAGGTCTCAGCTCACACATCTCCTCCTCATGGAAGCCACCCTTCCTTAGTAGGTGCGTCTGTTTCTCTATCGTGGTGCTCTGCTTATTACCATCCCAGAACATATGAAAATCCCAGAACATATGAAAATAAATGAATAAATTCATTTATTTGAAGGGTAAGCTCTATGAGGGTAGGGGTCTGGTAGGTCTTGTTTGTGCTTCAGTTCCCAGCATCTTCAGTTCCCAGCATAGGGCAGGTACTCAATTGGTCCTTCCCATTCACCCAATTGCCCACATCACAAGAGCCTGGGCATAAACCTGTTTCTCTTTTCACTCTACTCCCCCATCCAGCCACATCCTGCTCATACCTCATGGGATCCCTAGGCCTATCCTAATTCTCCCTTCCACTCCAAACAGTCTCTCAGCCTGGGTCTCTTCCCACCCCCTTCCATTCTCCCACAGCAGCCAGAGGCATCTTTCTTTCTTTTTGTTTTTCTTTCTTTTCTTTTCTTTCCCTTTTTTTTTTTTTGAGATGGAGTTTTGCTCTTGTTGCCCAGGCTGGAGTGCAATGGCCTGATCTCGGCTCACTGCAACCTCTGCCTCCTGGGTTCAAGCGATTCTCCTGCCTCAGCCTCCCGAGTAGCTGGGATTACAGGCATGCACCACCACGCCTGGCTAATTTTGTATTTTGAGTAGAGACAGGGTTTCTCCATGTTGGTCAGGGTGGTCTCAAACTCCTGACCTCAGGTGATCTGCCTGCCTCAGCCTCCCAAAGTGCTGGAATTACAGGCGTGAGCCACCGCGCCCAGCCAGCATCTTTCTAAAATGCAAATCCAGGCTGGGCAAAGTGACTCACACCTGTAATCCAGACACTTTAGGAGGCCAAGGCAGGAGGATCATTTGCAGCCAGGAGTTTGAGACCAGCCTGGGCAACACAGCAAGACCCCTGCCTCCACACACACACACACACACACACACACACAAAATTATCTGAGCATGATGGTGCCTGCCTATAGTCCCAGTGAGAGGACTGCATGAGCCCAGGAATTAGAAGCCGTAGTGAGCTATGAGCACACCACTGCACTCCAGTCTGGGCAACACAGTGAGACCTTGTCTCTAAATAAGTATGTGTGCGTGTGTGTGCGTGTGTATGTATGTTTATATACATATGTATGTATGCATAAATAAACAAATCTAAATCCAGTCCTGCTCAATTGCTTCAGTAACTCTCCATTGCCTTCAGAGTAAACTTTGTTTTTTTTTTTCCTTGAGATGGAGTTTCATTCTTTCACCCAGGCTGGAGTGAAGTGGCGTGATCTTGGCTCACTGCAACCTCTGCCCCCGCCCCCCGAGTTCAAGTGATTCTCCTGCCTCAGGCTCCTGAGTAGCTGGGATTACAGGCGCCCACCACCACGCCAGGGTAATTTTTGTATTTTTATTAGAGATGAGGTTTCGCCATGTTAGTCAGGCTGGTCTTGAACTCCTGACCTCAGGTGATCCACCCGTCTTGGCCTCCCAAAGTGCTAGGATCGCAGGCATGAGCCATCATGCCAGGCCCAGAGTAAACTTTAAATGTCTTAACAAAGGCTTCCAAAACTGTCTTTTCCTTGTCTCTGCTTTCCTCTCCCTCCTTCTCCAATCCATGACTGTGCTTACCACCTTCCAGCATTGCTCCAGTCTTTTTGAAATCTTCAGCTCAGAAATCGCCTGCTCTAGAAAGCCTTCCTTCCCTTCTTTGGGTGGACGTCCTGGAATTGCTTCCTTTCCCCACTGCATGGGGGGTGCCAGGTTGTGTCACTCTTGGTCACCATTGCACCCTGGTATCTAGCTCATGGTGGGCACATTGGCGCATCCCCCTTCCCCAACTCCTTCATCATATACCTTGTGAACTGGAGGAGTACAGGGCAGTTTTGCAGCAGTCTTAAAAGCGGAGAGATTTTGTTGTTTTGCAGGAGATGGAGGAGCAATGGTTTAGAAGCAGCAATGGGGAAGGGCCCTTCCCAGAGGAGGCTGGGAGAGCTGACAGAAGCCCTTAGGGAAGCAATGTCAGAGGGAGTCAAGTCTTCCTGAAGGTAGAAAGCTTGGGAGTGAGGAAGGCTATGAGGGATAGGTCATGAGGGAAAAAAAGCAGTATGGCCCAGTGGTTAAGGGTGTGGACTTTGGGCCATGTAGACTTAGGGGTCATCAATACGTAGGTGATAGAGTGATAGACATCATATAACTTCTGAGCTGGGAGGATCACATGAACCCAGGAATTCACTAGCCTGGACAACATAGTAAGACCCTATCTCTAAAAAAAAAAAAAAAAAAAAAAATTCGCCAGGTGTGGTGGCACACACCTGCAGTCCTACCTACTCGGGAGGCTGAGGTGGGAGGATCATTTGAGCCCAGGAGTTTGAGGCTGCAGTGAACTGTGTTCACACCACTGCACCCCAGTCTGGGTGACAGAGCCAGGCTATATCAAAAGAAAGAAAGAAAGAGAAAGAGAGAGAGAGAAAGAAAGAAATCATATAACTCAGTTCCTGAAACATGCACAGAGTGGCCTGTCTGTGGATGCTGTTGTTGCTGCACTGGAGACCACAGGGCCTGACTGGGTGTGACCCAAAGTCCCGACTGTGGTCAGCCTGACTGGCCCAGGGATCTGGGCTCTCACAGGGGCACTGGACACACCGTCCTGAATCCTGGAGCTGACACTGAGACAGGAGGATCACAGGAGGATCACAGGAGAACCCACTGAACTGGCCTTGAGTCAGCACAAGGACACAAAAGAAAGAAGATTTTGGTTTTGGAGGGCAGGGCTTGTGTGGGCACTGGTGGGAAAGCCCAGCTCCCTTCTCCTCCTGAACACCCAAATCTGATCCCCCAGTGGTTCCTCCCGGATGCCTGCAACAGCCTCCTTCTCCGTCTCCCCTGTAATCCACTCTACACATGGTAGACAGAGTCCTTTTTCAGAAATGTAAGTGAGACCATGTCGCCAGCCTCTCACCCAGCTGAAATCCTGCTAGAGGCTTCCCAAGGCTCTTAAGAAAGGAGCTGGCAAAAGTCTTTTCCAAACTGAGGTGATAAGGTGGACAATTTTAGGTGGATGTGGAAGGACATTTTAAAATTTCACCTGTGAATTAGAAAAATAGAAGTGTTATGTCATTCTTTAATTTCATGAATATTCTTGCTTAGGAGGATATAAAGGGAGCCAATTTAAAGAAAAATATTAAAGAAATGATAGTACAAGAGGAGCCACCATCGATGGTACTAGAACAAGGCTCAGGAAATTAGACCTCTCTTCAGTTTCATCGGGGGCTGTCTGTCCCTCCCTCCCTGGCTCTAGCTACACTGGTCTTGCAGGTCCTTGAAGATGTCACATGCTCATCTGCCAGGAACGTTCTGGAATGCTCTTCCCAATCTCACCCTTGCACTATATTCCCATCTTTTGCTAAAATAATGGCCCTCAGATCGTGGCTCCAGTGTCCCTCCCTGGGAGTCTCGTGATCAGGGGACCCTGCCGTCGTTATCTCATGGTCCTTCTACTTTTTCTTCATAGCACTTACTGCCATTTGTGATGATCTCTTGTGTGTCTGTGATTACATCTATGCCCCCTCTAGAATGTAAGCTTCTCAAAGCTGGACTGTGTCTTGCTCACCCTCTATGCTCAGGGCCCAGCCGGGCCAGGCACGTGCTAAGCACTCATCTGAATGCAGCATGTGCGAACAGATGCATGCACCCAGTTACTCACCCTGGTGGCTCCTGCCTCAGTCCCTGGCATGTTGACACCACTCAGATTGTGGCTGCCCCTGTGGAGTTAGGAATTGCCTCGGCATCAGCCTTCGAACAAGGGGCTCCACGCTGTCATTTTGCACCTGGCCTCACAAATGATGTAGCTGATCCTGAGCAGAAGATTGAGGAAGGTGGAAAGTAAGGACACTGGGGTGGATGACCCCTTTCAGAGCACGCAGAGAAGGCAGGAGACATGGGGTCAGGACAGTCTCTCCCAGCTTGGACCTTGTGCTGGCTTTTCTTTGAGGAGTCATGGAGATTAGATCTAGGACCTCTTCCTGGGCAGGGGAAGGGTCCCAGAAGAGCCATGCGGGTGGGGTCAGAGTTTCTGCCTTGGGTCTCAAAGGGCCTCAAGCCTGCGCCCCCTAGCCATGGCTTGGCCTCTTCCTCCTGGCCTCTCCCCACACTTCAATGTTTGCTTATCCTGGACCCCACAACCCCCTTATGCTATAGGAAGGCATAGGTCCAGAGTATGCATTGTTTTAGTTTAAACATTTAAAATATAGAAAGCTCAGAGGTGAACTTAACTAACGCCCATGTGCTTACCACTCAGAATAAGCAACTGTTAACATTTTTGCTTCAGATTTTTTTTTATATAAAACAAATAGAGCATCATAGACAGAGCTGAAGTTCCCTTTGTTCCTCTGCCCAGTCCAATTCCTCCCCTCCTTTCAATCCCAGGAGCAGTTGTTACTACTAATCTGATGTGTTTCCTTCCAATCTATTTCGATGAGCAAAACAGAATGTGTGTTAATGGAAGCATTATTCCTCACAGCCAAAAAAAAAAAAAAATGGAAACAATCCAAACGTCCATCAACTGATAAATGGATAAACAAAATGTGGCCTATCCATATAATGAAATATTATTAAGCAATAAAAATAAATCAAGTGCCAATCCATGCTAACATGGATCGGCCCTTTTTTTTTTTTTTTTTTTTTTTTGAGACAGGCTCTGGGTCTGTCACCCAGGCTGCAGTGCAGTGGTGCGATCTCTGCTCACTACCACCTCTACCTCCTGGGCTCAAGCCATCCTCCCACCTTAGCCTCGCAAGTAGCTGGGACTACAGGCACGCACCACCACACCTGGCTAATTTTTGTATTTTTTGTAGAGATGAGGTTTTGCCATGTCACCCAGGCAGGTCTCGAACTCCTGGGCTCAAGCAATCTGCCTGCTTAGGCCTCCCAAAGTGCTGGGATTACAGGCGTGAGCCACCACACCCTGTGTGATCAACCTTGAACACATTTTAAGTGACAGAAGCTAGATGCAAAAGGCTACGTATTATATGACTACATTTATACAGAATAGGCAAATCCACAGAGACAGAAGCAGATTAGTGGTTGCCAACGGGGAAGAGCAGAATACAAGTGGCTGATTAACGGGTGTGGGACTCCTTTTTGGGGTGATAAAAATGTTCTAGAATTAGGCAGTGGTGGTGGTTGCAAAACATCTGCAACCACCACTAAGATGGTTTTCCTTTCTTTTTCAAGGTCGTATAATATTCTCCTATGTGAATAAACCACATTTTCTTTATTGTTGCATCATCAATGACCATTTTTGGGTTGCTTCTAAACAACAGAAAAAACACTGAATTATATACTTTAAAATGGTTAAAATGATGACTTCTATGTACTTGAAAAAACACATAACATTGTTTACCCTCTGACCCATTTTAAGTGCAGGTTCAGTAGCCTTAAGTGTATTTAAAGGCTTGTGAAACAGACATCTAGGACTTTTTCTGGCTGCAAAACTGAAACTGTGTATCTACTAAACATGAATTCTCCCTCCCCCACCTCCACACTCAGCAATCACCTTTCCACTTTCTGCTTCTATAATTTTGACTGCTTTAGATTCTTCACATGAGTGTAATCATACAGTATTTGTCCTTTTGTGACTGGCTTATTTCTTTCTTTCTTTTTTTTTTTTTTGAGACAGAGTTTTGCTCTTGTTGCCCAGGCTGGAGTGCAATGGCATGATCTCGGCTCACTGCAAACTCCGTCTCCTGGGTTCAAGCAATTCCTGGGTTCAAGCGATTCTCCTGTCTCAGTCTCCCGAGTAGCTAGGATTACAGGCACCTGCCACTACGTCCAGCTAATTTTTTGTATTTTTAGTAGAGACAGGGTTCCACTATGTTGGCCAGGCTGGTCTCGAACTCCTGACCTCAGGTGATCCACCCACCTCGGCCTCCCAAAGTGCTGGGATTACAGGCGTGAGCCACCGTGCCCCGCCAGATCAACCTTGAAGACATCTTAAGTGACAGAAGCCAGATGCAAAAGGCTACCTATTACATGACTACATTTACACAGAATAGGCAAATCCAGAGACAGAAAGCAGATTAGTGGTTGCCAAGGGGGAAGAGGAGAACACAAGTGGCTGATTAATGGGTGCTGGGCTCCTTTTTGGGTGATAAAAATGTTCCAGAATTAGGCAGTGGTGGTGGTTGCAAAACATCTGCATATACTAAAAACCACTGAGTTGTGTACTTTAAAATGGTTTAAATGATGACTTCTATGTACTTAAAAAAAACACGTAACATTGTTTACCCTCTGACCCATTTTAAGGGCAGGTTCAGTAGCCTTAAGTGTATTTAAAGGCTTGTGAAACAGACATCTAGGACTTTTTCTCGCTGCAAAACTGAAACTGTGTATCTACTAAACATGAATTCTCCCTCCCCCACCTCCACCCTCAGCAACCACCTTTCCACTTTCTGCTTCTGTAATTTTGACTGCTTTAGATTCTTCACATGAGTGTAATCATACAGTGTTTGTCCTTTTGTGACTGGCTTATTTCACTTAGCATAATGTTCTTGAGGTTCATCCATGTTGCAGCATGTGACTGGATTTCCTTTCTTTTTCAAGGTCGTATAATATTCCC
Source organism: Homo sapiens (assembly GCF_000001405.40). Classification (NCBI taxonomy): domain Eukaryota; kingdom Metazoa; phylum Chordata; class Mammalia; order Primates; family Hominidae; genus Homo; species Homo sapiens. The sequence continues at coordinate 39,599,302 of NC_000001.11, forward strand.
CTATGTGAATAAACCACATTTTCTTTATTGTTGCATCATCAATGGCCATTTTTGGGTTGCTTCTACCTCTTGGCTATTGTGAATAATGTTGTAATGAATGTGGGTGTGCAACTATCTCTTTGAGATCCTGCTTTATTTCGGACAAAAACTAAGAAATGATATTTGCTGGATCATATGGTCATTCTATTTTTAATTTTTTGAGGAACCTCCATACCGTTTTCCATAGTGGCTGCACCATTTCCCATTCCCACCAACCCAATGTTCAGAGAATTGGAACCCAGGGCATAAGGGTTCCAATTGCTCTGCATCTTCATTAAGAGTTCTTATTTCCTGTTCTTGTGATAGTGGCCATTTTAATGGGTGTGAAGTGATTTTATTTATTTGGATAATTTTTACACCTGATCTTAGCCCAAAGGCCAAGAAGTTATATCATTTTAATAATTTTACAAACTGTAATTTAAAAATATTTGTCTGTAGACATATTACTGCAACTCGTTTTGTCACATTGTATTTCTACATACAGAACTGGTTCATTTATTTTACTTTATTTTGTGTTTTTTTGAGACGGAGTCTCTGTCACCCAGGCTGGAGTGCAGTGGCGTGATCTCAGCTCACTGCAACCTCTGTCTCTCTGGTTCAAGCGATTCTCCTGCCTCAGCCTCCCAAGTAGCTGAGATTACAGGTGCCCGCCACCACGCCTGGCTAATTTTTGTATTTTTAGTAGAGACGGGGTTTGGCCACATTGGCGAGGCTGCTCTTGAACCTCTGACCTCAGGTGATCCGCACGTCTCTGTCTCCCAACGTGCTGGGATTACAGGCGTGAGCCACCGTGCTCAGCCGGTTGTGTGGTTTTAATTGGCATTGTTTTTCCTTTATTTCTAGTTTTTTTTTTCTTTTCTTTTCCCTTCCTTCTTCCTTTCTTCCTTCTTTCCCTTCCCTCCCTTTTGGTCCTTTCTTGCCTAGTCGTGGACCTTTATTGATTTTTATTATTATTATTTTTTAGATGGAGTCTAGCTCTGTCACCCAGGCTGGAGTGCAGTGGCCTCATATCTGCTCACTGCAACCTATGCCTCCCGCGTTAAAGCGATTCTCCTGCCTCAGCCTTCCGAGTAGCTGGAATTACAGGCGCCTGCCACCACGCCCAGCTAATTTTTGTATTTTTAGTAGAGGCGGGGTTTCACGGTGTTAGCCAGGCTGGTCTCGAACTCCTGACCTCGTGATCCGCCTGCCTCGGCCACCCAAAGTGCTGGGATTACAAGCATGAGCCACGGCGTCTGGCCCGACCTTTTTATATCCACGTGGATCTGGAATCAGTTTGTCTAGTTCCATGAAAAACGCTGGTAAGTTTGTTTTGTTGGAATAGCTTTGGAATTACAGATTTACTTATAGGTTAACTGCCACATTACTATATTGAATATTTATATCCATGAACAAATTAAATATTTCCATTTATTTAGATTTTTCTTAATTTTTTAGAGAAGTTTTGGGTTCACAGCAAATCTGAGTTTCCACACATCCTTTGCCTCCCCGCCAACCAACACACAGCCTCCCCAATATCCATATCCCCTATTTCCCACATCAAAGCGGTGCATTCCTGACCAGAGTGAAGCATTTGTTGCAATTGATGGACCTGCAATGACACATCGTCGTCCAAAGTTTATGGTTTACATTAGGTTTCACTCTTTGTGTTGTACATTTTATGGGTTTTGACAAATGTAAATGACATGTATCCACCATTATAATATAACACAGAATGATTTCACTGCCCTAAAAACCTGTGCTCTGGGCCAGGCGTCGTGGCTTACGCCTGTAATCCCAGCACTTTGGGAGGCCGAAGAGGATGGATCACCTGAAGTCATGTGTCCAGAGTTGGTTCTTGATGGTGGGTTCGTGGTATCGCTGACTTCAGCAATGGAGCTGCAGACCTTCATGGGGTGTATTACAGCTCTTAAAGATGGCACAGACCTGGCCGGGAGCAGTGGCTCACGCCTGTAATCCTAGCACTTTGGGAGGCCGAGGCGGGCGGATCACGAGGTCAGGAGATGCAGACCATCCTGGCTAACACAGTGAAACCCCCTCTCTACTAAAAATACAAAAAAATTAGCAGGGTGTGGTGGCCGGCACCTGCAGTCCCAGCTACTCAGGAGGCTGAGGCAGAATGCTGTGAACCCGGGAGGCGGAGCTTGCAGTGAGCCGAGATGGCGCACTGCACTCCAGCCTGGGTGACAAGAGAAAGATTCAGTCTCAAAAAAAAAAAAAAAAAAAAAAAAAAAAAAAAATATATATATATATATATATATATGGCACGGACCCAGTGAGTGAGCTGTAGCAAGCTTCATTGGGAAAAGCAAAAGGACAAACCTTCCACACCACGGAAGTGGACACCAGCAAGGTGCTGTGGCCGGCTGGGGTGGCCAGCTTTTATTCCCTTATCTGTCCCCGCTCATGTTCCATTTCTGTCCTATCAGAATGCCCTTTTTTCAATCCTCCCTGCGATTGGCTACTTTTAGGATCCTGCTGATTGGTGCATTTTACAGAGCGCTGATTGGTGCATTTTACAATCCCCTTGCTAGTTACAGAGTACTGATTGGTGCGTTTTACAATCCTAGCTGCGAGTGTTGATTGGTGGGTTTTACAATCCTCTTGTAAGACAGAAAAGTTCTCCAAGTCCCCACTCCACCCAGGAAGTCCAGCTGGCTTCACCTCTCAAGTCAGGAGTTTGAGAACAGCCTGGCCTACATGGCAAAACCCTGTCTCTACTAAAAATGTAAACATTAGCCAGGCGTGCTGGCACATGCCTGTAGTCCCAGCTACTCAGAAGGTTGAGGCAGGAGAATGGCTTGAACCTGGGAGGCAGAGGTTACAGTGAGAGGAGATCATGCCATTGCAAAACAAACAAACAAACAAACAAACAAAAAAGTACAACAACAAAAAAATCTGTGCTCTGCCTATTCATCCCTCCCTTCCCCTTAACCCATGACCACAACAGTCCTTTTTACTGTCTCCATAGTTTTGCCTTTTCCAGAATGTCAATTAGTTGGAATCATGCAGTACATAGCCTTTGCAGATTGGCTTATTTATTTTTATTTTTTACTTAAGATGGAGTTTTGCTCTGTTGCCCAGGCTGGAGAGCAATGGCACGATCTCAGCTCACTGTGACCTCTGCCTCCTGGGTTCAAGCGATTCTCCTGCCTCAGCCTCCCAAGTAGCTGCAGGCGCACACCACCACGCCCAGCTAATTTTTGTATTTTTAGTAGAGACAGGGTTTCAGCATCTTGTCCAGGCTGGTCTCGAACGCCTGACCTCAGATGATCCACCCGCCTTTGCCTCCCAAAGTGCTGGGATTACAGACATAAGCCACTGTGCCCAGCCTCAGATTGCCTTCTTTCACTTAGTAACATGCATTTGTTTCCTCCATTTCTTTCTGTGGCTTGATAGCTGATTTATTTTTAGAGTTGAATTAATATTCAATTGTATGGATGTACCACAGTTTCTCCATTTACCTACTAAAGGACATCTTAGTTGCTTCTAAGTTTTGACAATTATGAATAAAACTGCTATAATCATCCATGCACAGGTTTTCTGGGCGGATATGTTTTTAACTCATTTGGTTAAATATTAAAAAGCATGACTGCTGTGTTGTATGGTAAGAGTATGTTTAGTTTTGTATTCCTTTACATTTAAAAATGTTTCATAGTTTTCTGAGAAAACATCTAGCCATCTTTTGTTATATGTATATTTTGTATATTGATCAATGCAGATCAATATGTTACATGTATATTCCTAGGTGCCTTATAATTTTTGTTGCTATTGGAAATGCATTATAAATAATACATTCTTTCTTTTTTTTTTTTTTTGAGACAGATTCTCACTCTGTCGCCAGGCTGGAGTGCAGTGGTGTGATCTCGGCTCACTGCAACCTCTGCCTTCCAGGTACAAGTGATTCTGCTGCCTCAGCCTCCCGAGTAGGTGGGACTACAGGTGTGTGCCACAACGCTCACCTAATTTTTGTATTTTTAGTAGAAACGGGGTTTCACCATGTTGGCCAAGATGGTCTTGATCTCTTGACCTCGTGATCCACCCACCTCGGCCTCCCAAAGTGCTGGGATTACAGGCGTGAGCCACCCCACCCAGCTTTTTTTTGCTTTTTTTTTTTTGAGATGGAGTCTTGCTCTGTCCCCCAGGCTGGAGTGCAGGGGAGCCATCTCGGCTCACTGCAACCTCCGCTGCCCGGGTTCAGGCGATTCTCCTGCCTCAGCCTCCTGAGTAGCTGGGATTACAGGCAAGCACCACCACACCTGGCTAATTTTTGTATTTTTAGCAGAGACAGGGTTTCTCTATGTTGGCCAGGGTGGTCTCAAACTCCTGACCTCGGTGATCCACCCACCTCAGCCTCCCAAAGTGTTGGGATTACAGGTGTGAGCCTCCAAGCCCAGCCACATTGAGAGGTGAAGCCACCTGGACTTCTGGGTTGGGTGGGGACTTGGAGAACTTTTCTGTCTTACAAGAAAATTGTAAAATGCACCAACTGGCACTCTGTAGCTAGGATTGAAAAATGCACCAATCAGCGCTCTGTGGCTAGCTAGAGGTTTGTAAAATGCGCCAATCAGCACACTGTAAAATGGACCAATCAGTGCTCTGTAAAATGAACCCATCAGCAGGACATGGGTGGGGACAAATAAGGGAATAAAAGCTGGCCACCCCCCCCCACCCCAGCCAGCCACCACAACCGGCTTGGGTCCCCTTCCAAGCTGTGGAAGCTTTGTTCTTTCACTTTTCATAATAAAACTCGCTGGTGCTTACTCTTTGGGCCCGTGCCATCTTTAAGAGCTGTAACACTCACCGGGAAGGTCCACAGCTTCATTCTTGAAGTCAGTGAGACCAAGAACCCACCAGAAGGAACCGACTCTGGACACAATATGTTCTTATTTGTTGTTACTCCAATAAGCAATTAACAAGAGTGCTGTCAGAATGTGTGGGATGATCTTGTATTCAACTAACCTGTCAAATACTCTTATCAATTCTAATGCTCTGCATGTAGATTTTTATTTTCCAAATAGAAAATGAATCATGCATATAAGAATGGTGTTACCTCTTCCTACTTCCTAAGCCTCTGATTTCTATTATATTTATTACATTAGCTAGAAATGCCCATCAAATTTTGAATAAAGGGCATTCATATTTTTAACTTTTATGGGAATGCTAGAGTTTCACCGTTGAATTTGATGTTTAGGAATTTGGCAAATATCCTTTATAGGGTTAAGGTATTATCCTACTAATCCTAATTTGCTAAGATTTGAAAAATGAATGAATTCATCAAATGATTATTTATTTAAGTGATTATATACTTTTTATCTTTTAATGTATTAAGGTTCAGAACAGGAATTCTTTCCCTGTTGTTAACCTATCCTTGCATTTTTGGCTAAACTCTACTACATATTTGCTTCTAATTTAGATGTCATATGGATTCTGTTTTATTATTTAGGATGTTTGTATCTATAACCGTAACTAAGCTTGTTCTAAAATGTTCTTACCTTTAATTGCCCTGTCGTGGGCTGATGACAAGGGCATACTAGTATTACAAAACAAGTTAGGCAGTTTTCCCTTCTTTTCCACCCAGTAAAAACAGTTTGTATAAAACAGAATGTATTAGTCAGGGCTCGGCGTGGTGGCTTACGCCTGTAATCCCAGCATTTTGGGAGGCCGAGGCGGGCAGATCATTTGAGGTCAGGAATTTGAGACCAGCCTGGCCAACGTGGTGAAACCCCATCAATACCAAAAATACAAAAATTAGTTGGGTGTGATGGCACATGCTTTTAGTCCCAGCTACTTTGGAAGCTGAGGCACGAGATTCTCTTGATCCCGGGAGGCGGAGGTTGCAGTGAGCCGAGATAGCGCCACTGGACTCCAGCCTGGGTGACAGAGCAAGAGCCTGTCTCGAAAAAAAAAAAAATGTATTAGGGCTCTCCAGAGAAACAGAACCAACAGGACTTATTTTTATTTATTTATTTTTTTTTTGAGATGGAGTCTCGCTCTGTCGCCCAGGCTGGAGTTCAGTGGCACAATCTTGGCTCACTGCAATCTCCACCTCCCGGGTTCAAGCGATTCTCTTGCCTCAGCCTCCCGAGTAGCTGGGACTACAGGCGCCTGCCACCAGGCCCAGCTAATTTTTGTATTTTTAGTAGAGACTGGGTTTCATCATATTGCCCAGGCTGGTCTTGAACTCGTGACCTTGTCATCCGCCCACCTTGGCCTCCCAAAGTGCTGGGATTACAAGCGTGAGCCACTGCACCCGGCCAGGACCCATTTATTTATTATGAGAAACTGGCTTATGTGATTATGAAGGTTGAGAAGTCCCAAGATCTGCAGTTAGCAAGCTGGAGACCCAGGAGAGCCAATGTGTGTTCCAGTCTGAAAGTCTACTGGCTTGAGATCCAAGAAAAGCCAATGTTTCAGTTCAAATCTATAGAATGGAAAAGACCCATGTCCCAGCTCATACGGTCAGGCAGGAGACATTGCCTCTTACTTGAGGGAGGGGTGGCCTTTTTGTTCTATTCAGGTCTGACTGGATGAGGGCCACCCACATGGGGGCATGCAGTTTGCTTTATTCAGTCAAGTGTTAATCCCATCCAAAAACAGCCTCACAGATACACTCACAATGTTTGACCAAATAAACCGAGCAGTCCATGACTCAGTCAAGTTGACACATAAAATGAATCACATAGTGAGAATATATTCTTTGAAGGTCTGGACAACTGAGCTGTGAGTCCCAACAAGCCTGTTATCCTTTGCTCATTTGTTTGGGTGTGGAAGTGTGGGTGACGTATTTTTCATCAGGGTAATTCCCCTGGAGCCATTCTCTCCTACAAGGGCCTACATGGGATGATCCTCCCTGGCTCCTTTGGAGAAACCCTGATCTTAGTCCTTGAAGACTAACAGCATCCAGGAGACTAAAAAACGATGGGCTGTTTTATCTGTAGAAACTACTAGCCTTTGGGCGACACCATTTGGGGAGTTTGTATTTATCATAGCAGTTATGCCGTTATTCCAACTGACCACTAGAGGGCAGTAATGGCTTATAAAACCGGATCCAGTGTGACAAAAGGGCTTTAAAGAAGCTAACGTATGGTGGATTAAAAGGTAGATTTTTGCCTGTAATCCCAGCACTTTGGGAGGCCGAGGCGGGCGGATCACGAGGTCAGGAGATCGAGACCATCCCGGCTAAAACGGTGAAACCCCGTCTCTACTAAAAATACAAAAAATTAGCCGGGCGTAGTGGCGGGCGCCTGTAGTCCCAGCTACTTGGGAGGCTGAGGCAGGAGAATGGCGTGAACCCGGGAGGCGGAGCTTGCAGTGAGCCGAGATCGAGCCAGTGCACTCCAGCCTGGGCGACAGAGCGAGACTCCGTCTCAAAAAAAAAAAAAAAAAAGGTAGATTTTTTTTTTTTTTTTTTGCCCGGGCGTGGTGACTCATGCCTGTAATCCCACCACTTTGGGAGGCCGAGGCGGGCAGATCACCTGAGCTCAGGAGTTTGAGACCAGCCTGGCTAACATGGCGAAACCTCGTCTCTATTAAAAATACAACAATTACCCAGGCATGATGGTGGGCACCTGTAATACCCAGCTACTCGGGAGACCGAGACCGGAGAACGTTTTGAACCCGGGAGGCAGAGGTTGCAGTGAGCCGAGATCACGCCCCTTCACTCCAGCCTGGGCGACAGAGCAAGACTCCGTCTCAAATGAAAAAAAAAAAAAAAAGAAAAAAAAAGGTCGATTTTTTTCCCCCTTCTCTGTCCTTAGGAACTTCAGACTTCAAGAATCTAAGAAACTTGGTCGGGCACGGTGGCTCATGCCTGTAATCCCAGCACTTTGGGAGGCCGAGGTGGGCGGATCACGAGGTCAGAAGATCGAGACCATCCTGGCTAACATGGTGAAACCCCATCTCTACTAAAAACACACAAAAAATTAGCCAGGCATGGTGGCAGGCGCCTGTACTCCCAGCTACTCGGGAGGCTGAAGCAGGAGAATGGCGTGAACCGGGAAAGCGGAAGTTGCAGTGAGCCGAGATTGCACCAACGCACTCCAGCCTGGGCCACAGAACAAGACTCCGTCTCAAAAAAAAAAAAAAAAAAAAAAAAAATCTAAGAAACTTGTTCAGGCCAGGTGTGGTGGCTCATGCTTGTAATCTTAGCACTTTGGGAGGCCGAGGTGGGAGGATTGCTTGAGCCCAGAAATTTGAGACCAGCCTGGCCAACATAGGGAGACCCCATCTCTACAAAAAAATAAAATTAGCTGGGCCTCCTGGCGCGCACACTTGTAGTCCCAGCTATTCAGGAGGCTGAGGCAGGAGGATCTCTTGAGCTCTGGAGGTGAAGGCTGCAGTGAGCCGAGATCATGCCACTGCACTCCCACTCCATCCTGGGCAACAGAGTGAGACCTTGTGTGAAAAAATAAAAATTAAAGAGAGAGAGAAAAGAAAGTTGTCCAAATCATATATTCCAGTACACAGCAAATCTGGAATGTTAACCTAGGTTTTTCTGACTCCAAATTTCATGGTTTCTGGTGTGGGTACAAATCAATTATTCTTCTTTCATTCTTTTTAAAAAAAATTTGGCCGGGCGCGGTGGCTCACGCCCGTAATCCCAGCACTTCGGGCAGTCGAAGCAGGCGGATCACGAGGTCAGGATATCAAGACCATCCTGGCTAACATGGTGAAACCCCATCTCTACTAAAAAATACAAAAAATTAGCCGGGCGTGGTGGCTGGAGCCTGTAGTCCCAGCTACTCGGGAGGCTGAGGCAGGAGAATGGCGTGAACCCGGGAGCTGGAGCTTGCAGTGAGCGGAGATCGCGCCACCGCACTCTAGCCTGGGAAACAGGACAAGACTCCGTCTCAAAAAAAAAAAAAAAAATTCATTCACTCATGGAAAGCAGCATAACAGAGTGGCTAAGAATTCAGTCTCTGGAGTCAGACCATTTGGATTAAAATTCTGGCTCTTTCACATACTAGCTAGCACCATAAGTGATCTGTGCCTCAATTGTCTGATCTGTGTATGGGGATATTAGAACTTACCTTGTAAAATTATTGCAAAAATGAAATGATACATTAAAAGTGTTTAGAACAGCTGAGTGCAGTGGCTCACGCCTGTAATCCCAGCACTCTGGGAGGCCGAGGCGGGCGGATCAGTAGGTCAGGAGATCGAGACCATCCTGGCTAACACGGTGAAACCTCGTCTCTACTAAAAATACAAAAAAATTAGCCAGGCGTGGTAGCGGGCGCCTGTAGTCCCAGCTACTCTGGCAGCTGAGGCAGGAGAATGGCATGAACCCGGGAGGTGAGCTTGCAGTGAGCCGAGATCGCGCCACTGCACTCCAGCCTGGGCGACAGGGCTAAACTCCGTCTCAAAACAAAACACAAAAAGTGTTTAGAACAGCGTATGGTCCTTAATAAGTACTTAAATTCAAGCTATTATTAACTCAACCAGTATTTCTTAAGCAACTACCCTGTTCTAGTACCACTGTTCTAGGTACTGGGGTAGCAATCATACTCGTACAGAGCTTACCTGTTGGAGCTTATATTCTAGAAAGGGAGATGGACAACAAAATAAGAAAAGTTTGTATTTTTTTCCCCATGAATATGAACGAATATGGCCAAAAATAGAGCATGGAAGAGGACTGGGAGTGCTGGTGGAGGAAGGCTTGCTACCTAAATGGGGCTGTCAGAGGCAGCTGCTCTGAGGCGACATCCAGAAAAATCCAAAGGAGGTGAGGCAGCCAGCTAGGAGGCTAAGACTCATGCGCATGCGTAGGAGCAGAATATTGCGCAAAGAGGAGTGAGGATAAGGGCTGGAGGCTGGACCACACCGGCCTTCAAGAAAGGGGAAAGGGACCATGTGATGCTAATTTTATGTCGTCTTGGCTAGGCTGTGGTGCCCATGGTTTGGACAAACAAGTCTAGCTGTTGCTACGAAGGCAAACTTTGGAATGTGATTAACATTTAATTAGTAGACTTTGAGTAAAGCAGATGACCCTCTATATGGTGGGCGGGCCACTCGGTTGAAGACCTTAAGAATAATGACTACGGTCTCCCGAGGAAGGAGGATTTCTGCCTCCAGACCGCAACATCGAAATTCGACTTGAGTTTCCAGCGTTCGCGCTTGAAAATGCAACATCAACTCTTCCTGAATTTCCAGGCTGCCAACCTGCCTGCCCTGTGGATTTCAGAGTTGCCTGTCACCTGAACATCAAATGAGCCAGTTCCTTAAAATAAATCTCTCTTCTCAGGAATGCTCTAATACTGGCCACGGTCGCAGAAGGGAGGGAAGAATGGGGCGAGGACGATGAAACAGGGCCAGCGGTGAAGTGAGGTGGGGAGCCGATGGTGAGCCTGGAGCCACTGGGAGGGCGCCGGCCTTTGCACTGGTTGGGAGTCCCTGGAGGGCTCAGAGCAGAAGGGAGACTCGGTGGCCTGCAGTGTTCAAAGCGCCCTCTGGCGGCCGGGAGGAGCGGGGGCTGCAGGGACCCGGGTGATGGGAGGGAGCCTCCGGAGGAGGCGCAGGGGCGAGGGGACCTGGTGCGGGCTTGGACCTCGGCCGTGGCGCCCACGGTGAGACACGGACACTTTCTGATGTATCCTGAAGATGGAGCGGAGAGGATGTGCGGGCACTCTGGGTGCGGGCTGTGAGAGAAGAGGTGTCAGGGTCAACTCCAGGGCTTTCGGGCTGAGTAGCTGGAAGAACAGAGTTGCCATTTCCCGAGAGCAGGAAGATTTGGGGAGGAGTCTGTCCCGGAGCCGGCCGCGGGGGCAGGAGCTGGGCTTTGGACGTGTTCGTTCTGGACGCCTCTGGGCCTTGGCTGCTGATGTCCAAGCCTGCACCCTCAGGGGCCTGGGTTGCAGATGTGAATTTGGCGGCTCTGAGCCGGGCCTCGTCCCGACCACACAGGGAGGACAGCAGAGCCTGCGCGGGACCGGGGCCTGTGCTCCTCCCTCTGCTCCTGCAGCGCGGGCCTTGTCCTCAGAATTTCTCCCAGCCGCCCTGCGCCTCCCCAGGCGGGGTCTCCCACCAGGAGCACCGTCCTGGGGCCGAGGCAGCGGGGGTGACACTGACTCCTGCCCCCGTTCAGTGCATGGGGCCAGGCCCTTCAGGTCAGTGACTCACAGACAACAGGAACAAGCTTAGAAATCTTCAAACCCAGTCACCCATTAACTGGGTCCTGAGTGAGGCCCAGCAGACAGGCCTCAGTTTCTCACCAGAGCTGGCACCAGTTGGTCCAGGGAAGGCAAGTGGGTCTTGTCTCCTATGCCTCCCTTGATGAGTTAGGTTTAGCTTTGGGCAGGGATGTCTTACTGTGTTCCAGAATTGGTGGGTTCTTGGTCTTGCCGACTTCAAGAATGAAGCTGCAGACCCTCACGGCGACTGTTACAGTTTTTAAAAATAACGTGTCCAAAGTTTATTCCTTCTGATGTTCGGACGTGTTCAGAGTTTCTTCCTTCTGGTGGGTTCGTGGTCTCCCTGGCTTCAGGAGTGAAGCTGCAGACCTTTGCAGTGAGTGTTAAAACTCTTAAGGCAGTGCGCCTGAAGTTGTTCGTTCCTCCCGTTCGCAGTTGTTCATCTCTCGCAGTGGGTTTGTAGTCTCGCTGGCCTCAGGAGTGAAGCTGCAGACCTTCACCACGTTACAGTTCATAAAGGCATGCAGACCCAAAGAGTGAGCAGCAGCAAGACTTATTGCAAAGAGCAAAAGAACAAAGCATTACACATGCTGAAGAGAAACCCAAGCAGGCTGCCACTGCTGGCTTCGGCAGCCTGCGTTTATTCCCTTATCTGACCCCACCCACATCCTGCTAATTGGTCCACTTTACAGAGAGCTGATTGGTCCAGTTTACAGAGCTGATGGGCCCATTTTACAGAGCTGATGGGCCCATTTTACAGAGAGCTGATTGGTCTGTTTTGACAGGGTGCTGATTGGTGTGTTTACAAACCTTGAGCTAGACACAGAGTGCTGATTGGTGCATTTACAATCCTTTGGCTAGACACAAAAGTTATCCAAGTCCCCACTAGATTAGCTAGACACAGCACTGATTGGTGCCTTTACAAACCTTGAGCTAGACACAGAGAGCTGATTAGTGCATTTACAATCCTTCAGCTAGACACAAAAGTTCTCCAAGTCCCCACTAGATTAGCTAGACACAGAGCACTGATTGGTGCGTTACAAACCTTTAGCTAGACTCAGAGTGCTGATTGGTGCATTTACAATCTTTTAGCTAGACACAGAGTGCTGATTGGTGCATTTACAATCCTCTAGCTAGACATAAAAGTTCTCCAAGTCCCCACCAGATTAGCTAGATACAGAGTGGTGACTGGTGCATCCACAAACCCCCAGCTAGACACAGAGTGCTGATTGGTGCATATACAATCCTCCAGCTAGACATAAAAGTTCTCCAAGTCCCCACCTGACTCAGAAGCCCAGCTGGCTTTGCCTAGTGGATCCTGTGCCTGGCCGTGGGCAGAGTTGCCCACCAGTCCCGCACTGCGTGCCCGTGTGCCTGCATTACCAAGGGTGAAGGGGCAGTAATCCAAAAGCAGTGGCTGCCAGGGGGACAGGCACAGTGGGTGGCTGTTTGTACTGGATATTGGCCATTTGCAATTTACCTGCAAATCCTTGTGGGCCTGTGCTTCAAAGGGGCCATCAAGTCACTGTGCAGTGGCGGTCAGTCACCCAGCTTTCTGACATCACAAGTTGAATGAAAAGCTTTTAGTCCTGAATCAACAGGAAGAGCTCTAAAGCCTGCAAGGGGCTCTGTCTCATTCCCAGCCCAGCTATAGAAACAGGCCTCTCAGCAGCCCTTTGGGGAGAGATTCAGTGGCACAAACAGAATTTGTGCCGTGCTGAGGGCATGGCTGGCCACTGCAGCCCCACAGGTGTCTTTCTTAGTGGGCACATGATCTCAATTAACTGGGAGGACTGTGGTTTTTTTTGGTCTGTTTTGTTTTGTTGTTGTTGTTGTTGTTGTTGTTGTTGTTTGAGACAGAGTCTCGCACTGTCACCCAGGCTGGAGTGCAGTGGTGCCATCTGGGCTCACTGCAAGCTCCGCCTCCCGGGTTCACGCCATTCTCCTGCCTCAGCCTCCCCAGTAGCTGGGACTACAGGCGCCCACCACCACGCCCGACTAATTTTTTGTATTTTTAGTAGAGACAGTGTTTCACCGTGTTAGCCAGGATGGTCGCGATCTCCTGACCTCGTGATCCGCCCACCTCAGCCTCCCAAAGTGCTGGGATTACAGGCGTGAGCCACCGTGCCCGGCCTTTTTTTTCTTTGTGGAACACATCTGTAACCTTAGAAGATGAAAAATTAATTAACCTCTGTTACCGGTGATGGAACTTTCTTCCTTAGAGTGTCCTTGATGAGGATACTTATGTAACATAACCTCAGGAAGATTTAGAACTAAGACTAGCATGCTAAACCAAAAATTTAAATCTTAGCATTGGCCGGGCATGGTGGTTCACGCCTGTAATCGCAGCACTTTGGGAGGCCGAGGCAGGCGGAACTCTTGTGGTCAGGAGTTCGAGACCAGCCTGACGAACATGGTGAAGCCACGTCTCTACTAAAAATACAAAAATTACCCAGGTGTGGTGCTGCGTGCCTGTAATCCCAGTTACTGAGGAGGCTGAGGCAGAAGAATCGCTTGAACCCGGGAGGCAGAGGTTGCAGTGAGATGAGATTGCATTACTGCACTCCAGACTGGGCTACAGAGTGAGACCCCGTTCTCATAAAAAACAAAGACAAAAAACCTTAGCATTAATATTTCTGTTCAAAGAAATAATCTAGATACATTTAGGGTTTTTGTTTTGTTTTCTGTTTTTGTTTTTGAGACAGGGTCTCACTCTGTTTCCCAGGCTGGAATGCAGTAGCTGGATCTCAGCTCACTGAAACCTCTGCCTCCCCGGCTCAAGTGATCCTCCCACCTCAGCCTCCTGAGTAGATAGGATCACAGGCGTGCGCAACCATGTCTGGCTAATTTTTAAATTTTTTGTGGAGATGAGGTCTCACTATATTGCCCAGGCTGTTCTCAAACTCCTGGGCTCAGGCAATCAGCCTCAGCCTCCCAAAGTCCTGGGATTACAAGTGTGAGTCACAGTGCCCAGCCCTAGTTTTTTAGATAAACAGATTTTTGAGAGAACTTAAGATTCATCCTATTTATAACTTGGATTTACTTGATGTATAAGAATGATTTAAATCTTCAGGAAGGTTTTGTTTATACAGATAACTGAGCGTCCTGTGTGGGAGCCGCGGGAGCTGCGTGAGGGGAGAAGAAAAGGCACACACACAATACCTTTAAGGGTAAACAAGCTTTATCCCACGTAAATGGCAATGCAGATATAATAAGCAAATGATATAATAAGGAAATTAATATAATAAGCAAATTGATATAAGTAAATGACATAATAAGCAAATTGCAATGGGAAGGGGAGAAGGGAAAAGAGATATACACATATTTACACTCACCAGACTATGGAGGATTCACCACCAGACTGGGAAGCAACAGCCTGGGCTCCAGAGTCGGCCACTCATCCATGCACAGATGAGGAGAGGTCTCATGAAGCTTCAGCGCAGCTGGGACCCTAGCTCTTTTTGTAACGAGTTGTTTGGCATGAGGTCCGGTCACGAGGGCCCTTCATTATCGGTCTCAAGGAACACAAAAAGGTCAACTTGTTTTTGCGATTGTGTGTTGTTTTTCAATAACTAATGTATAGGAATAGATTGAAATAGAGATTCCTCCGAAACAGTGCTGGATGAACGCCTCAAGGGGCTCACACAACCTGTTCAGGGACTTGGTGACCATTGTTTGTGTCCATGTTCAGTTGAGTTCAAATTTAATATTTAACTTTTCTTCCACACTGAGATACTGAAAAAGAAAATCAAACCTATTCATTTACGTTTGAAGATATAAAGTTGTAAAAAGCCCCTTAGAAGCATTTGCTAAAATCTAGATTTTCAAACAAGGTTTGTAAGCTGAATTTTATTTATACTTTTTAAATATTTTATTATTATTAAATTTTAATTTTTTGTAGACATGGGGTCTTGATATGTTGCCCATACTGGTCTCCAGCTCCTAGCCTCAAGTAATCTTCCTGTCTCGGCTGCCTAAATTGCTGGGATTACAGGTGTGAGCCACCACGCCTGGCCAATAGGTTGAATCTTAAGGTTAAGAAAGAATTAGTAGTGTTTTGAACTAGTAACTTTAATAAATAGAAACTAATTGTTTACTCCAGAAATAAACTTCCAAATAGTCTTTTCTGTGACTGAAAACCATCCTCAGGACTCAACCCAAATATGCATCAAAAGGTGAATGGATAAACAAATTGGGATCTATCTGTACAATGGAATACTACACAGCAACGAAAAGAAAGAGCAACTCATTCACAGAACTTGATGAATTTCTAAAGCATTACACTAAGCGAAGAAAGCCAGACTCAAAAGTTTCCCTGCTGTCTAATTCCATTTATACATAGACAAAACCATGGTGGGCCAGGCGTGGTGGCTCACGCCTGTGATCCCAGCACTTTAGGAGGCCGAGGTGGGCGGATCACAAGGTCAGGAGTTCGAGACCAGCCTGGCTAACATGGTAAAACCCTGTCTCTACTAAAAATACTAAAATTAGCTGGGCATGGTGGTGTGTGCCTGTAATCCCAGCTACTGGGGAGGCTGAGGCAGGGGAATGGCTTGAACCCAGGAGGTGGAGGTTGTAGTGAGCCAAGATTGTGCCACTGCACTCTAGCCTGGGTGATAGAGTAAGACTCCGTCTCAAAGCAAAAACAAAAACAAAAACAAAAAACAACCATGGTGGCAGAAACACAGAAACCAGATCAATGCTTGAGACTGGAGGAGGTGATTGGCTGCAAAGGGTTTAGAGGGAGTTTCTGGGTGATAGAAATGCTCTATATCACAATTATGAGGTGATTGCCTGAGTGTTTACACTGGCATGACTCAGCAAATTTTACATTTAACATTGGCGAATTTTGTTGTACATAAATTACACCTCGATAACACAGATTTTTAAAAATAATACTATCCTGGAGACTACCAGAACCCTCCGTATTCAACATGAGGCATGAAACAGGACCATTTTTTTGGAGAATAATGTGGGAAAGGGGAGGGGGCTGTGAGGAGAGAGGCCAAGTAATCACAGAGTCACCATGGAAACCAGGAGAGCCAGCCGGGTGCAGAAGTAGAGTAGGTTCCCCCACTCAAAGTCACCGTGATTGAATGACTCTTTTCTTTTTCTCTCTTTTTTTTTTTTTTTTTTTTTGAGACAGAGTGTCCATCTGTCCCCCAGGCTGGACTGCAGTGGCGCAATCTCGGCTCACTGCAAGCTCCACCACCCGGGTTCACACCATTCTCTTGCCTCAGCCTCCCGAGTAGCTGGGACTACAAGTGCCCGCCACCACGCCTGGCTAATTTTTTGTATTTTTAGTAGAGACGGGGTTTCACCGTGTTAGCCACGATGGTCTCGATCTCCTGACCTCGTGATCCGCCCGCCTCGGCCTCCCTCAGTGCTGGGATTACAAGCGTGAGCCACTGCGCCAGCCTGAATGAGTCTTTTCTAGCAGGTGTAGAGCAGGAGTCAGGTTTCGCCTGGTGTATTAGTTACTGATTGCTATGTAACAATGACCGTAAACCTAGTGCTTTCAACAATGCCCATTGATTATCTTATAGCTTCTGTGGCTTAGGAGTATGGCTTGGCTTGCTTAGCTGGGTCCTTGGCTCAGTATTGCACAAGGCTACACGCAGGTTGTTGGCCAGGCTCACCTGGAGGATCCTCCAGGAGAAAAGCCACTTACTCAGGTTGAGTAACTTACTCAGGTTGTTGGTAGAATTCATATCCTTGTGCCATATGACTGGGCCCTGGCTTGGGCACCTGGTCTTTTTCTGGCTGCCAGCTGCAGGCTGCCCCTGAAGCCCTTGCGGCCACCCACAGTTCCTGCCACGGGGGCTTCTCCAACATGGCTGATTACTGCCTCCACCCAGCAAGGGCGTCTCTGCCTCCAGCCGGCTGAGTCAATTTTTTTTTCTTTTTTTTGATGGAGTCCCACTCTGTTGCCAGGCTGGAGTGCAGTGGCACGATCTCGGCTCACTGTAACCTGCGCCTCCCAGGTTCAAGCGATTCTCCTGCCTCAGCCTCCCAAGTAGCTGGGACTACAGGTGCACATCACCATGCTCAGCTAATTTTTGTATTTTTAGTAGAGACGGAGTTTCACCATGTTGGCCAGGATGGTCTCGATCTCCTGACTTGGTGATCCACCTGCGTTGGCCTCCCAAAGTGTTGGGATTACAGGCGTGAGCCAACTGCACCCGGCCCTGAGTCAGTCTTATACAAGGTAAGGCAGTCATGGGAGCAGTATCCCCTTATCTGTGCCACGTGATGCAGCTTGCTCACGGGAGTAACATCCCTCACGTTTGCCATATTCTTTTGGTTAGAAGCAAGTCATGGGTTCTGTCCGGATGCAAGGGGACCACACAAGGCATGGACATCATGGGGCAGGGGCAAGGAGCCACTCTGAAGTCTGTTCCACACCTGGTGACGGCAATGGAGGGAGAGATGGTTAAAGGAGAGAGGCTGCTTGCAAGGGGCAACGACAGAGATGAGGGTCAATGGGCCACTAGCTAGGGAGGGAGGGACGTGAAGCCAGGAATGGCTGGTAAGCGGGTGGTAAAATCAGTGGTTTGAAGACCTCCTTGAAGGGGGAGAATTTCTGCGACAAGGATCCTGAGCAGAGGAAGAGGAAGGAAGGGAAGTGGTGGCTGGAGAATGGGATGTTTGAAATCAGGATTCCTGAAATGAGTGGCTTTGAGTGATGGTGGGTTCTGTGAGGGATGATTGAGGGGGTGGGAAGGAGGTCAGTGGGACTGAGGGGTCTAATGGCCTGCCTGCCTCCACCCTATCCCATCTCAGTTGGCTCTTCCCACTGGGCCCCCAGGCCCCTCCTCACAGGGAATGCAGGTTATGAATCTCCTCTTCTCTGGACCTTCCAATGCCCTCTTGCCTGCCTCAGAGAAAATCTAAACCCTTCCCGTGACCCGCTCCCCTTCCCCCTGGTGGACTGTCTCCTGCCACTCTCTCCTGCTGTCTACACTGCAAGTCCACTCTAGGGTGGCCCTTGCTGCTCCCGGCCTGGCCTCCCTCCCCTCAGAGTCTCATGGCCCCCTCCCTCCCTGAAGTTTCTGTCCACGCTACCTTTGGCCTTCTCTGTCCATCTTATAGAAAAATACCACCTCTCCCATCACTCTCTGTCCCCTAATCTCCCTTTACCATCAAACATGGTACATATATATTTGCCTAGTGGTTTCTCATTTGTCTCCCCCAACAGGAACGCCAGCTCCATGCATCTGGGGTTCCGTTTTCTTCATTGCTGTATCCAGCACCTACAAGAGAACCTGGCACAGACTCGGTGCCCCATGAATATTACTGGATGGAGGCAGACAGAGCTGATCTCTGTGTCCTGAAGGGTTGGTGAGTTGATACTGATGAGTCAGAGGCCAAAGCCTTGTGATATAAGCCAGGAGCTGTTGAGAGGCCTGGATACCCTCTCTCAATTGTTTGGAAGGAGTGGATACAGAAGATACAGCATTTCACAGGCTGTAGAACTTGACAGCTAAGAGCTCTGACCCCTAATAGCTGTGTCTCCTTGAACAAATTAGTTGATCTTTTTGAGCCTCTGTTTCCTTATCTGTAAATTGGACACAATAATCAACTGAAACCTAAATCAGGGAGTCATGCAGATAAGCCCAGACTCTGCATGCAAAGCCCTTGGTACAGTGCCCACCTATGGTGAGTGCTTGGTAATTGCTGGGTAACATATATTATTTCTCTGTGGCTGTTTGTGATTGGATTTTCCACTATGATCCAAATAAGCTTTGCTTTTTTTTTTTTTTTTGAGATGGAATTTCGCTCTTGTTGCCCAGGCTGGAGTGCAATGGTGCGATCTTGGCTCACTGCAACCTCCGCCTCCCAGGTTCAAACGATTCTTTTGCCTCAGCCTCCTGAGTAGCTGGCATTACAGGCTCCTGCTACCATGCTCAGCTAATTTTTGTACTTTTTAGTAGAGATGGGGTTTCACCATGTTGGCCAGGCTGTTCTCAAGCTCCTGACCTCAGGTGATCCACCTGCCTCAGCCTCCCAAAGTGCTGGGAATACAGGCGTGAGCCACCATGCCTGGCCAAGCTTTGCCAATTTAAAAGAGACGAGGTCTCACTAATGTTGCCCAGGCTGGTCTTGAACTCCTGAGCTCAAGTGATCCTCCCACCTTGGCTTCCCAAAGTGGTAGGATTATAGGTGTGAGCCACCATGCCCAGCTCATTTACTGTTTTTCTGATCTAGGGCAGATCATTTTACTTGAAATAAGATTCAGTTTCCTCATCTGCATAATGGAGATAATAATTCCTGCCCTGGCTCCCTCAGTTAAACTGTTGTCAGGTGTGCATGAACTAACACATGTGAAAGCACTTTGAAATGTTAGGTTGCTGTATGATATGAGGTATTAGTATTTTTTCTTCTGGTTGATTGGGTCCTTTTAGGGTTGCTGGAGTTTTAGGCAATGGATGGTTCATTAGTTTTCTTTTTTCTTTTTTTTTTGTGTGTGTGTGTGATGGAGTTTCGCTCTTGTTGCCCAGGCTGGAGTGCAGTGGTGTGATCTTGGCTCACTGCAACCTCCGCCTTCAAGAGATTCTCCTGCTTCAGCCTCCCGAGTAGCTGGGATCACAGGTGCCCACCACCACACCCGGCTAATTTTTTGTATTTTTATTAGATATAGGGTTTTACCATGTTGGCCAGGCTAGTCTCGAACTCCTGACCTCAAGTGATCCACCCACCTCAGCCTCCCAAAGTGCTGGGATTACAGGTGTGAGCCACTGCGCCCAGTTGGTCCATTAATTTTCAGAGGCTCTAATGGAATACATGGGGTGCCCAGAATATGGGGGGTGACTATACTGGACTTCTTGGAGCAGAGCAGTGGAACCCAGATTTTGCTGAAAGCCCTGAGCAAAAGCATAGGCTTGAAATGGCCCTTGGGCTGAGGGCAGTGTAGGTCAGTCAGCCAGCTTTCTGAGCTTCAGGGGCTGAACAACAGCCTTGCTCCTTTTGATTCCCACATGAAGCAAAAAGAAAGAGTCCAGAGATCCTGGTGTCTATCTTTGGATATCCAACACCTGCCCTGTTTTCACCTGCCACTACCAAGTAATTAACGAGCGCCTCTCAGCAGCCCAATCCATGAGAGATTCAACTTTCACAAATCACCCCACAGCCCTCTGAGGTCATGGCCTTGCACCAGAGCTACAGGGCTCATTGTGTCTTGGGCAATGGGGAGGAGAAATCAGTGACAGTCAACAGGACAGGGAAGGTGTATGCATCGGCCAGTACCTCTTGCCTAGGCCAGAGCCAGGATGGTGACAGGAGCCCCTCAGGATGCCACATGGTACTCAATCCCTCCAGGTCATGCTGATCACCAGGCAGCTTGTGGCCCTTGGCCATCCTAAAGCAACAAAACTTCTTGTCTTACACTAGGTTTTCTGAGGGAGTTCTCTGGGGAGGCAAGCCCAGTACAGACACTGCTCCGCTGGGAGGCATCCAACCCACCCTTGTGGGATCAGAGTGGCAGGTGGTGCCTCTATACCTAGTTCCTCAAGCTCAAAGTAAACTGACCTCCAGGTCAATGTGTGCGTGTGTGCGCACACACCAGTGAGTAGCTTCTAATGTCCTTAATTCCCTCATTCCTCTCACTTTTTGAGCCATGAGGTAAAGGTGAGGGGAGAGAGACTATCTGCCAATATCCATTCACGTGTATTTCAAAGAACTGGCTCAAATGCATTTCCAGCCTCCTTTGCAGTTTGATGCAGCCAACTAAGTTCTCACAAGTGAAACATGGCTGGAGGGAGATGTGCTCCTTCTGAGTGTTTAGGACTGTGGTCAAGGCTGAGTGTGGTGGCTCACGCCTATAATCCCCTCACTTTGGGAGGCCAAGGTGGGAGCATCACTTGAGTCTAGGAGCTCAAGACCAGCCTGGGCAACATAGGGAGGCCCTGTCTCTACAGAAACTAAAAAAGTAGCCAGGTGTGGTGGTGCACACCTGTGGTCCCAGCTACTTGGGAGGCTGGGTATTCCTTGGGCCTGGGAGGTCGAGGCAATAGTGAACCAAGATCCAGTGAACCAAGATCCAGCCACTGCACTCCAGCATGGGCAACCAAGCAAGATTCTGTCTCAAAAATAAGTAAATAAATAAAAAATAAAAAAGACGGTGGTCATGTCTCTACCAGGCTCTCTTCCCTTTCCTGTTGGCTTGAACTTGTGGACACCTAGCTGCAGCCTTGTAGGCACAACAGTGCCCTAGTGGGTGGTGAGGGATCAAGACAGAAGGAATCCGGGTCTCAGGATGTCTGTGTTGAATGGAGCTTCCTGCTGACTTGGAAAGTTCACCAGGCAGTTACATGGGAGACAAATAAACTTCCATCTTCTTTCATCCACAGAATGATTGCTAGGCCTCTTTGTTATAGAGGCTGAGCCTTACCCTTCCTTACTAAGCACAGGGGAGAAGAGCATGGCAGAACCAAAGGCTTCCCAGGCTAACACAGCAGTCCAGCCCCCAGGCCTGCATGGCTGCCATGGAACATCGCCAGGATTGCATCCCAAGGGGAAGCCTGGGAAGGAAGCAGTGTCCTGTATTGGCTAAGACTGAATCAGACAGGCCTAGGTCTTAATTTTGGCTGGAATATTTATTAGTGTTGTGAACTTTGGGCACTTTCACTAACAAATTGAGTCTCAGTTTCCTCTTCTGTAAAATGGTGATGATAGCGGTAGTTACTCACAGAGCTATGTGAGAATTTTATGAGACAGTGTAGATCAATGGCTCACAAATGTTTACTGTTATTAATGGGATCAGCTAATAGACCTGATTTTTCCTACTGTCTCTCTCCAGGAAGGAGGGAAGGAGGCTAATGTCTTGAGTTTTCCACAAAGTCATAAATATTCAGTGCTAGTAAATTACAAGTTCCTAAGGCTTTCAGCACACCTAATATTTCTTAGGCACCTACTATGGGCCAGGCACTATGAGAGGGACCAGGGGACAGAGAGGCCCCTGTGGAAATTAATTTCTGCATTGCTCCTCAGAAAGCATTAGCTTTCTCCAGGCCTACAGGTTCGAGTCCAGTCACCTACTGAATGCCAATCTACCTCAGCTTGGAAAGAAATCCCAACCCTTCTTCCCGCCTCCTGATGAGGTGCCTGGGCCCCACCCCACGCAAGTTAAATCATAATCTCTGGGGCCTGGGTACCGATATTTTTATTTATTTATTTTTTGTTATATTTATTTATTATTATTTTTGAGACAGAGTCTCGCTCTGTCGCCCAGGCTGGAGTGCAGTGGTGCGATCTCGGCTCATTGCAACCTCTGCCTCCTGGGTTCAAGCGATTCTTCTGCCTCAGCCTCCTGCGTAGCTGGGACTACAGGTTCACACCACCATGCCCAGCTACTTTTTGTATTTTTAGTAGAGACGGGGTTTCACCATATTGGCCAAGCTGGTCTCAAACTCCTGACCTCATGATCCACCTGCCTCAGCCTCCCAAAGTGTTGGGATTACAGGCATGAGCCACTGCGCCTGGCCACGGATATTTTAAAATAGCATCTAAGTGTTTCCCATGAATAGGTGGAGCTGAGTCTGAACACTGCTCCTCCCCAGTCACCCCACATCACTCCAAGTGCCAAGTTTCTTTTTTTTTTTTTTCTGAGATGGAATCTCACCTGTCGCCCAGGCTGGAGTGCAGTGGTGCAATCTTGTCTCACTGCAACCTCTGCCTCCCGGGTTCAAGCAATTCTCCTGCCTCAGCCTCCCAAGTAGCTGGGATTACAGGCGTGCACTATCATGCCCCGCTAATTTTGTATTTTTAGTACAGATGGGGTTTCACTATGTTGGCCAGGTTGGTCTCGAACTCCTGACCTCAGGTGATCCACCCGCCTCGGCCTCCCAAAGTGCTGGGATTACAGGTGTGAGCCACTGTGCCCGGCCAAGTTTCTTAAACAAGGTCCCACCTGAGCATTCACTTGGCAAAATCTTCCAGGGCTCTCACTGCCTATAGGCTGAAGCCCAGACTCTGCATGATGCTCCTGGCCTTTCAATTTGGATCCAGCCTCCTCTCATTGATGACACTAACGGCTAAGATTGGTGGAGCGGTTCATGTGACCCAGGCACTCTATTGAGAGCTTTACATGTTATCTCATTCAATTACCACCTAACCTTAGGAGATGATGTCTTAGCTCAGTTTCCTCATCTGTAAAATGGGACATTCCAAGAAAAGCATTAGGTACAGTGTCTGGTACACAGTTATCACTCAACCAATAGTAGCCATTACTGCATCTTCCCCGCTTTATTGATGAGAAAGTTGAGGATAAGGGAGGTTCAGTAACTTGCCCAAGACTACATACAACTCATTAATAAAGAAGTCTGGCTTCAGTGCCCAGGCTAGCCCACCTCTCACCCTGTCACTGAGGGCCCGTGCTCAACTCAGAGCCAACGTCTACAGCTCTCCTTGATGAGGTCTCCAGGTCTTTGCACATAGAATGGTTCCCTTCCTTCTCCTCCTGGAAAGCTTCCTCCCAGAGCCCCCTACCCGCTTGACACCCCGGGCAGGGCCACATACCCCAACTCTGCTCCCTTCAGCCTTCCTAACAAACCTCCCTACTCTCATCTCACCAAACTATCATCCTGATGGAGGGTGTGCCCCCCACTCAAAGCAACTGTGTCCTTCCCAGCTCTGGCTCCACTGTGCCTGGCTGGCACAGAGCAGACCTCTGTGTTCGTTGGATTTGTTGCGAGCCAAATCCATCACAGAGCCAAGCCAAGGGTGGAGAGCAATGCCTGCTGGCAGGACAGCCTGCCTGCTCCCAGCTGTCAGTGTGCACTCGGAGTGGACACTCGCACTTGCCTTTGGCCAGGGCCTCCTGGCCACTTGCCAGAACTTCCAGTCCCTTGGCCCTGGCTCTCCCTCTGCTCTGCAGCCTCCCCGCAAAGTTGGCCAGCAGGGGGTTCACACCTAAAGGGGCCTGGACCATCCACGGCATGAGTCCAGAAGATATCTCACCTTCTCAGTTCACTTCTTCAACAAGTATTTATTGAACGCCAACTATGGACCAGGCCCTGTGCTCAATGCTGGGTACAGAGTGGAGACTGAACCAGGCATGGCACCTGGCCTCATGAGCTTACACTCGAGTGGGAGGCACAGTCAACCAACAAGTAAATTACACAAATGGATATGCAGTGGCAAATTCTCCATGAAGGGAAAGAACAGAGGCCTTGTGATAGAGGAACTCCACAAGTAAAGTAGTCGAGGAAGGCCTCTTGGACGAGGCAACGTTGAAGCCAAGGCCTGAGGGTCTGCAGAACTCAGCCATGCACAGGGTAGGGGAAGAGCATTCTTGGCAAAGGGAACAGCATATGCAAAGTGCTGGAGGTGGGAACAAGGCTGGAATGTCGAGGAAATGAAGGAAGGGCAGGTGGCAGAAGCTCAGGGAGCAAGTCTGGGACTGGCAAGAAATGAGGCTGGAAATGAGGTTGGGACCAAAAGAAGACCTTTAGAACAATAGGGTAAGAGAGTGAGGTTTTCAAACTAAAGATGATACGATATGACCTGCAGCTTTCAATTTCTCTCTGCTGCTACTGAGAACTGATTGACAAAGCAAGAGGGAAGACCTTTCTGAGGCCAGGGCAGTGATCTGGGGGAGGTGATGTGGCCTGGCCAGGATGGCTGTGGGTGCAGACAGAAGTGGATGGACTCCAGAGATAGTTTAGAAGTAGAATCTACTGGAAGTTTCCAGAAGCACTAAAAAAATCTTTATTGGATGTCCGCAACAACCCATGCAATGGGGTAGGAGTTGGAGACACCAGGAAGGCTTGGGGATAGAAACACAAGATGCAAGTCCTTGACCACAGAATCAGATCACACAGTCACCTTTCCTTCCACAATATCCCAGGGACAATGAAAGCAAGTTCAACCAAGATGCTGAAAGAGCTGGATCATTCCCATCTCATTTCAGTGGCATCACAGATTCTTTGGAGTTGCATGCTTGCAACGTGGAAATGTGTTTCCCACAGCCCCACTAGGGATTCTCAGGCTAGGAAGTTGCCAAACTGCAAGACTACATCACTGACCTGGTATCCCAGGAGCAGCAGGAGAGGAGGAGGAGGAGGAGGAGTTGTCCTTGTTCCTGTCCTGAGTGGGCCCCTTCATGATAACGGGGAAACTGGCCTTTGCCTTCTGTTACCTCCTCTGTCCCTGTCCCCAATCCTGGGAGCATGTGTGAGTTCTGTCTTCCTTCTACCACAGTCTCCCCTCTGCCTCCCTCCGGAGCACTCCCTGCCAATGACCCACTCTCTAAAATGATCCCCCCTCTCCTTGCTACTGCACATCTCAGATGGGTCCAGGAGGACAGCAGTCTGATGGAATTAGCTCACACTAAAAAATGAAAGAGGTGCTTTCCTCTTTATCTCTCCTTGAGGAGTCTGTCTTTTCAAAAGAGCTTTCTGGGTCACTCAATGATCTCCTCCCTCTTATCCACTTCTTTGAAAGGGCCCTTTTCCCCAAGGTTTCTGCAAACTCACTTTTCAGTCTGTGGAGTCTCCTCAATGCAGCCTCTGGGGAGGGTGGTTCCATCAAAGGGAGGAGGTGGGAGAATCTTCCCAGGGGTGACAACTGAAGTATCTAACCAGTGTGGAATGAGCACCAGTGAACTGCTGGCTCTGGGACTCCACAGCCTTGGATCGGCCAGGCAGTAACCAGATCGTAGGAGTCCTGGGGGAAGTGCCAGGCGGTGGGGGGCACCTGGAGTCACTTGGGGGAGTAGATATTTACCAACGAGTACAGAAGGGTTTCTGCATTTTATCAACTGGTGTGGCAACACTGGTCCCACTGGGTGTCAGTCCAGGCTCCGCTGTTCTGCTGGGAACGACTGCTGGACCATTTGTTTCCTCTGTTAGAAAAAGTGGCCTAGGGTGGAGCCGGGGAATGAAATGGCTTCTGAGCAGAGCCAGCTCTGTGGAGTCCTGGTGAACAGGATCTCAGGCGCTCGACCCACTGCATGACCTTGAAGGGCCAAGGTGCCTCGAATCATCCTTTCTCTTGCCCCTCCTTGCAGTTATTTTTGTCCAGCCTGACAGTCCTTGGCTGTTCCAGCAGTCTGGGCTCTGTGAGCCGGATGCAAACCAGGCAGCACAGACGTCTGGTGCTGAATCCCAAGAGGTTCCTCTCTGCGCACCATCACATGGGGCCACGGCCCCTCTGCACTGTGCACCCAATGGGGAGGGACCACACGCCTGGAGGATGGCGACTGTAAGACGTGGGGGCTGGGCTCTCCATTGCTCAACCCTGGCTCCTGTCTGGGAGAGCTGTCCAAGGCCTGGTGTGAGGACACCCTGTCACAGAGTTTTGCTGCTGCCTAGAAACCTCCCAGCTGGGTTTACCAGGCCAGCTGTGTGCAGGGACCTGTTAGTCAGTGAGAGGGTGGGTGTCTGCTGCTGGGAGGAGGGTGGGAGCAGGCTCTGCTGGGCCCCCAGTCTCCAGGCCTTGGCTGTGGTGGAGAAAGGGTCTGTCCTGTGGTTCAGTGTGATGGTGTGGCCCAAGGACAGGTGGGAAGGGGCAGACAGGGTTCCCAGGAGACCTCTTTGTAGCCCCTGCTCAGTTACTATCTCCAGGAAGCGAGGCAGACACTATGTTCCAGCCTCTTGGCGTGGGAAGGCTGCAGCCAGTCAGTCATTGCTCCTGACTGGGGTCTGACCGCCCCAAGGAACAGCCTGCCTTGGGTCCTGGTGCCCTGCAGGTTAAAGCTTTTTCCCAGACCCAAGGTTCATGCCTGCTGCTGGTGTGCAGAGGGCAGGAGAGGGGTCTGGGCGGATCTCTGAGGGTCTCTCCCAGGACTCATCTGTTCAGGTGAGAAATGGAACCAAGCCTCTGAGACCAGAACAGCTCCAGGAGAGCTGGGTGGATAAGCTGGGATAACAGTGAGAAGGAGAGATGGGTTGGAGGAGGAGGGGGCCTCTGATGGCTGGAGAACGTGCCTTCACATATGAGCCAGTCCATGAAGCAAAGCAGAAAAGGCAGTGCCCTTTTTTGGGCTCCTGGTAAAAGAACCTTCCTTATTCCTTGGGGCGGGGTGGTGAAGGGGCAGCTCAGAAAGCCCCGATTTCAGTGATTTCAGAGACCCAGGAGTGGTAGAGCATGGCTCCCGCTGGCCTCCCAGCTGGCCCTGGGGAGGATGAGTTGGGGGTGGGAACAGCCACGTAAGCAGCCGACCCTGTAGGACCAGGGGGTGTTGGGGAGGAAGACTGCAGGAGGGGAGCGATGTGGCTGCTCCTGGCAGCCCTGCTGCTGGGGGCGACAGGCACAGGGGTCGCTGGCCTCTCTAGGGGGCGGGCCCTCCGGGTGGAAGATGCCCCTCGACTGGGCAGCACATTCCTCCGGGCTGGCAGGATGATGCCTGTGGCTCTGCGAAGGGGAGCGGTTCGGAGGGCTGGGATGGGGTAAGCAGGAGAGGAGACACCGGGGAGGACAGGGCTGGGCACTCTTCCCAGGATGGCGAGCTGGTTGCTCAGGGCTGGCAGCCCTGGACAGCTATGGAAGAAAGACCAGGGCCAGGCAGGGAAGGCCAAAGGGCCAGTGGGCGTGGGCGAAGGCTCCATCTCGGCTGCGTAGCTGTTGAGGTGGGAGAGAAGGCGAATCCGGACGGGGTCTGCACGGCTGCTGGGCCCTTCAAGGACCCCCAGGTACCTGATGACCTCAGTGAGGCACTCCCGAAAACCAATGCTCCGGAAGTCAACTGCCAGGGCTCGGGCATCAAAGAATCCTGCAAAGGGAGGCGTGATGAAGGTCATGCCAGGTGTGGGGAGAAGCATGGAGCCTGGGTCTGACTGTCTGAGTTCTGGACCTGCCTCCTCCACTCACTCCCTGGGCAGCCGTGGCCATGTCATCCTGCCTCTCTGAGCCTGTCTCCCCATCTGCAAAGTGAGAACAAAAATCCCTTCCTGGGGTGGAGGATGATGGGTTATAATGATCAATGAATTCACTAAACTATGAAGCATTATAAAATGTAAAATATTGCTTTCATCACAATTCATGATTAATGCAAAGAAAAAACTTTGTGGCCAAGATAACTTCATTGAAGTAGATACTTGACAGATATGAAAGGTTATGCACTTGGAGGTGTAGAACAACTCTGCCTGCTGAGAGGGGCAGATGCCCAGGAAGGGAGGTGGCGGCAGCAGCCATCAGAGTGAGGAGGCCCCTTGGAGAAGGCAGCGTAGTGTAGCAGTGAAGTGTGAGGTCGTCGGAAGCCAGGAGAGCTGGGTTCAAATCCTGGCTCTGCTACTTAACTAGCTGCCTGATTGTGGACAAGTCTCTTTATCTCTCTGTGCCTCAATTTCCTTAGCTGTAAAATGGGGATATAGCAGTGCCTACCGTATAGAGTTATGAGGGTGAAATTAAAATAGTGCACAGAAAATGCTGAATAAATGAAAAGTTAGCTATCACTTATATTACTGGCTTGGCCTTGTTGGCATCTGAGTTTGTCCCTTGGCTCAAAAGGCAATCTGGAAAGCAAGACCCCACTGTGATCCTCAGCTGCTGTTATCGGCCAGGGACCCTCTCTTTGATGGATAACCAGGTGAACTTCCTGTACAAATATTCACATCCTCACTGCCTCTCCATACCTGTTCCTCTCTTGACCACCTTCTGGGCAAAGACACAACAACCCCAGCCAGCACTGGTCTCATGACGATGGCAGCAAATATCTAGTCCTTGGTTCATGGCCCCCACAGAGGAACAGCTCAGCTGGAGACTATGTTTGGAGTCAGGTCAACTTGTGGGTGAGAACCAAATCTGCTATACACTTAGCCATGTAAGTTCAAGCAAATCCCTTCACCTTTCTGCGTTTGCTGTTCTTTTTTTCTTTTTTTATTTTTTTTGAGATGGAGTCTCGCTCTGTCCCCCAGGCTGGAGTGCAGTGGCACGATCTTGGCTCACTGAAATCTCCGCCTCCCAGGTTCAAGAGATTCTCCTGCCTTAGCCTCCAAAGTAGCTGGGATTACAGGCAACAGCCATCACAGCGACTAATTTTTGTATTTTTAGTAGAGACAGGGTTTCACCATGTTGGCCAGGTTGGTCTCGAACTCCTGACCTCAGGTGATCCGCCCACCTCGGCCTCCCAAAGTGTTGGGATTACAGGTGTGAGCCACTGCGCCTGGCCTTTGCTGTTCTTTTCTTTTTCTTTTTCTTTTATTTTTGAGACGGAGTCTCGCTCTGTCGCCCAGGCTAGAGTGCAGTGGTGCGATCTCGACTCACTGAAAGCTCCGCCTTCTGGGTTCATGCCATTCTCCTGCCTCAGCCTCCCGAGTAGCTGGGACTACAGGCGCCCACCACCACACCCGGCTGATTTCTTTTTTTGTATTTTTAGTAGAGATGGGGTTTCACCGTGTTAGCCAGGATGGTCTCGATCTCCTGACCTTGTGATCCGCCTGTTTCGGCCTCCTAAAGTGCTGGGACTACAGGCGTGAGCCACCGCGCCCGGCCCGCTGTTTTTTTCTAACATTTGCTGAATTCTTACTAAGCATTTCATCAAGTTATCTAATTTAATCCTCATAAAACCCTCTAATTATTCCCATTTTAGAGATGAGGAAACTGAGGAGGGGAGAGGTTAAATCATTTGTCTAAGGTCATACGGCTAGTAACCAGTAGAGCCCGATTCAAATCTAAAGCCTATACCGTGAACCACAGTTCTGTCTTCCCATTAGTTCACAGTCAGAAAATGGTGGTAACACTAACCCCCATCTTGCAGGTTCTTGTGAGAATCAAATGAAACAACACAAGTGAAAGCATTTTAAAACTGTCAAATGATATCCACATATTAGTCACTACTTTTCTTTTCACTGGATAACCATAAATGTAATTTGAATCTCCCCCATTGGTTCATTAGAGATGGAAGTCTCCACTCTTAGCAATGCATTTTTTTTGGCAGAAGTTCCCAAATGGACCACCTGCACCAGGATAATTGGGTGGCTTGTTAAACTTGCAAACTCCTAAACTTCAATCTAGACCTACTGCCTCAGAATCTCTGGGGGATGACTCCTGATTCTGCCTGCCCCAAGGTGACAATGGTATACACTGAGGCTTCAGAAGCACCAGAATGGGCCACTTAAAATGCTACTGTCCTCTTCTGTAGCAGTAAGTTAGGTCTCTGGAACTTAGGTCTTTGTGGCCAAGGCCTGTGGAGCTTTCAAGGTTTCCCAATTTTGAAATCACCAAATACACAGAGAAACTTTGAGTAGACAGAATTTCTATTTGTCTGGAAGTGTCTTTAAAGCCACTGTTCCCTTACTTTATTGTAACTGATGGGCTTAAAATAACAAAATGAGTTAATTTGTGTCCTGCTACAATCCTGAGACCTGTGGTGAGCATGATATGTCACCCCAGTTCTGCCAAGGACCCCACAGTAGCCCAGAAGGCTAGACCAGTGGGTAGGATACCAGGCTCCTCCCTGGGTTAAGGGGGGTCAGATTGGGATCCCAGTGAGAATTAGCTCATTCAGGTGAATTCTTAATGAGGTCCTGGGTTGGACAAGAGTGGGACCCATAGGAACAGTCTGTTACAGAAGAAAGCGCCTCCCAGGTCTAAGACTGGAGGGAGCTGAACTGAGGAAAAGGTTGCGACAAATGGAGACACTGAAAGTGGAGAGGGAGATGCTGAAAGGAGAGAGAGAAGCTTTGCAAATGTTCCCTCCATTGACTGAGCTCCTCAGAGTGGGCAGCGTGTGGACTTTGCTCACCAGCATATCCCCAGGGCCCAGCCTCAAAATATTTGTTGTATGAATGACGCCTGAAAGAGAAGAGCATGGGTACCTGTCCCACCAGTGGCATGGAGCATTTTCAAGTGATCCACCGTCATCTGCAAGACCTCGGCTTTCTCCAGCTTGGAAGAGCCCTGCGGGTACAGAAGACAGAAGGGTGGAGCCTGCAGCTGACCATGTAGCTGTGCGGTGTCATCAGCACTCACTGTCTCGATTTTCTCACCTTCCTCCCACTCCACTGCTGCCTGCAAATGGGCTTCTGCTTTGGCCAAGTTCTCCAAATCTAGAACATTCTTTTCAGTTCTCCTCTCAGACCATCTGTCCACTGTACAGCTGCCGATCATCTTTCCTGAAACCACTCCTCCCTTGACTTGCACGACACCACTGTTTCTGGGCTCTCCTTTCACCATGCCTCTTGATCTGCCGTCTCTTAACACAGTACTGTCCCTTCTGTGTCACTTCGCATTCTGCTGCTCCCTGCAGAGAGGCTTGTCACCTCCATGGCTTTAGCCACCATCCTCAGAATGCCTCTTAAACCAGCTCTTCAGGGAATCCAACTTCAGACTCAATGTGCCCAAGATCTAGCTCATCATCTTATCCCCAGACCACTTGTTCTTCCTCTTTTCTCTCTTGGGAAATGCTTCCTAAGCTTTCCAGGTGAAGCCTGAAGATCAGAGGCTCCATGGGAGTCCCTTGAGGGCAGATACTAGGTCTAGTTCATGGCTGGTCCTGTGATGGTTTTAGTGAACATCTGTGGGATGACTGACTTGTTCTCACCAGCATAAAGGAAGGCAGAGGACCCGTGACCTATGCCTTGGTGCATAGGGTGAGAATTTCTGAGGCTGAGTCCACTGTCTGATTCCCCGCTGTAGTTCCCCCACCTAACATGCTCAATGGTAGAGTGCTCACTCCCTGAGCAGCCTTTTCCACTTTCAAGTCACTCTAGAAATGTCTGTAGTGCAGAGGGATGAGGGCTTGAGAATCACACAGTCCTGTGCCCTGCTATTTACTAGCTGCGTGATCTGGTGTAAGTTACTTCACCTCTCTGTGCTTCAGTTTCTTTACCTGTGCCATGGGCATAATAATCCCTAACCTTTGGGATCATTTTGAGGAGTCAATTCAATGGGATGATAGACATAAAGACACCTGAGACACCTAAGTATAAATTTCCATTCCTTTTACCCTGGCCAGTGACAGATATTGGTAAATGATCACAGCATCTCAGGCAGCTGCTACCAATCAACAAGAGATGCCATGAGAAACGAACCTTATCTGCCACCCACACAGTATTTCCTCTAGCACAATCAGCAATGTCACATACCTGTTTCTCAAAGGCAGTGGGGACCAAGCGTCGCAATTCAGAAAGGCTACTGTTGATGCGGTCTCGACGCCGTTTCTCTATGATCTAAACAATCATGACAAGAAGTTACTCACAGGTGTGTCATCACAGTTTCCAAAGTGCCTTGATGGTCATCAACTCATATTTACCCACACAGTATTTTTGTGAGGGAGATCAATCTAGTCTTACTTTATGGTGGAGAAAACCAAGGCCCAGAGAAGGACAGTGATTTGCTTAAGGTCACACAGCAAGAAAGCGCAGAGCTGGGAGTACAACTCAGATCTCTTGTCTCGGTCTATAGGGGTGATATTCAAGATGTTTAACCACTGGTACAGCAGGGCACAGCCAATCACAATGAGGACACCAGCCACGGTGCTGGAGCAGGCCCTGGAGGCCCGTGCTGGGCCAGGAGGGTGACCCCGTCATCTGTGAGGTCATGAGATGGTTTGGGGAGTCCCACGTGTTGCTCTCTCTAGCTGCAGGGCCCTTCCACCCACACACTCTCATTCTTCCCTCCAATACTGGTAGCAGAACACCGGGAGCAGGACAGATATGACCCCATTTTACAGATAAGGAAAATGAGGGCTGGAAGGAAGTGGTTTGCCTAAGGGCTTACAGTCAGTGAGTGTCAGGCTGCTCTCTGCCAGACCCCAGGTGTCTGGACTCCCAGTGCAGAAACACAGCTGCATCCTGGGAGGAAAGTGGGGCTGAACATGATGGACAGATGACAGCGGCAAGTGGGGATCCTTCTTCTGTCCCCTCCCCCACCCCGGCACACTGAGGGGGATGAAAGTTCTGGACTCAGAGAGGAGACAGAAGATAGGAACAACAATCATAATGGCCTATTGTGTGTCTGCTATTGTTTAGAGCATTACATTAATGCACTTAATCTGTAAAGCAGCCCTTTGAGGTGGGCCCTCTCATTATTCCAGTTACACAAAGGAGCAAATCAGGCTCAGAGAGGTTAACAGGCTTGCCTGGAATCACCCTGATAGCTAGTGACAGAGCCGGGATTTGAACCCAAGCAGTTAGCTTCATGGTGAAATTTCTGCCTAGGGTTCTCCCCGCCGCCAGACTGCAGGGGATTCATGGCAACCCTTTGTTGGTCAACTCAGAGGCTGAGACGGACACTCACCCCTCTGTGTTTCTTCCTGGCTTGCATCTGCGAAGAGCTGGGGGTGGACAGCGGCCTGGCCATCTGGCTGGAAAGGAAAAGAAAAGCTGATTTTTCAGGGCTGGGGGACAGTCTCCCCGGCCTGGGCCGACCTCGGGCCAGGAGGAGCCACAGGCTGGGCCTAGAAGGAGCAGCTTGCTCTCCCCTTCTTCCTGGGGGCTCATTTCAACCCGGGTCAAGTCCTCTCATGCACTCTGGGCCCACTTTGGGCTCTTGGTCCGGACCTGCTCGGCCTCGCCCTTCGCCCCTCGCTCCTCGCTCCTCGCCCCTCGCGGCGGCCGTCGGGGAACCGCGTACCGCGGCGCGGTGGCTCCGGCTCCTGCAACCCGATCCCCGGGGGCGGGGCGGGCGAGGGCACTGGCCGGCGGCGGCGGGGCTGGGCCGGGCGGGTTGGGTTTCAGAGGGAGCCGCTGGGAACGAGCGTGGAAAGAGCAGATGCCGCTGCTTCCCACGGGCCGGGCGCGCCGGCCGCCCGCCCTCCGCCCCGCCTGCAGCTGCCGCCTCCTCCCACGCGGTGCGGCCGGGGGCGAAGGGGAGGCGGCATCTGGGTCACAGGCCCCTCTCGGATGCTCTGGGACACTGCCCTGGCCTCCCAGAAGGCCCCGTCCCTCCAACCTCGGCCTCTCCTCCCACTCCGGGCCTTCCCTCTGCGCCCCGGTTGAATGATGGATGTTTGCTCACACCCCAGGAGCTCCCATTACAGAGAAGAGGCTCAGCCCTGGGGGGGCTTTTCCTGCCCAGACTCTGACCAAAATAATCTCCAGCCCAACTGCTAACCCTTCTTCAGGTTTTCTGCTTCAGAAGCTCTCTTAGAATGGTGAGGATTCGCTGGGTCCACTGAGGCATCATTCATTTGGCCAACACTTCTAAGGCCCTATTCAGGCCTGGGTGGGTGCTGGTGCACTCAGCCAGACCCCAGCCCTTCCCTTCCTCAACTCAGCTCCAGTGGGCAGACACTGCACCAACAAACAACAAACAAGGTGACTCCCCTGCCGTTTCAGAAGACACAACGCCACACATCTGAACAGGAATCTGCAAGCTGGCCTTCACCCACACCTGCTCCTGCTGCCCCTGGGTTTCCCCATCTCAGTGAAGGTACCCCAGTTCTGCAAGGTGGAAAGCTGATGCTGTCTTTGATTCCTCCTCCTCCTCACCCCCACCTCATCAAAACCTGCCCACGCTATGTCTAAAATATATCTCACGTCTGTCCTCTTCCTCTCCGCCACTTCTCTCAATGCTACGCCTTTATCATCTTTCATCTGGGTGACTGCAAGAGCTTCTTGTTGGGTCCTTTTACACCCTCTTTTACTCTCTACAAGCCTATCTCCACACTGCAGGCAGAGTGATCATTGAAATCTGATCATATCACTCACTTAAAACTCCTCAGTGGCTCCCCAACTTTTGTTTGTTTGTTTTGGGTTTTTTTTAGATGTAGTCTCACTCTGTTGCCCAGGCTGGAGTGCACTGGCATGATCTTGGCTCACTACAACCTCCGCCACCCGGTTCAAGTAATTCTCCTGCCTCAGCCTCCGAAATAGCTGGGATTACAGGCACCCACCACCACGTCCAGCTAATTTTTGTATTTTTAGTAGAGACGGGGTTTCACCATGTTGGCCAGGATGGTCTTGAACTCCTGACCTCAGGTGATCTGCCCGCCTTGGCCTCCCAAAGTGCTGGGATTACAGGCATGAGCCACCATGGCTGGCCCCAATGTTTTTTAAGATCAAGGCCACCATCTTTCAGGTGGTCCAACTGGCCCCTGTCAACCCCTCTAGACTCAACCGTCTTCTTCTGTATGCCCCAGCCTATGAATGCACCAACTCCTTCATTCAGTTGCATGCACTGTCCCCTAGCCTAGGTCCACCATCTTTGGTTCACCCATCACCCCAAGCCCCAGTCCCTTTGCCCCATAACTTCTACAACCCATCAGATCTCAACTCAGATGGCACCTCCCTGGGGAGCCTTTTCTAACATTCCTCCTCCCACTAGTGTCCCCTGCTCAATACTCTCCTAGCACCCTGCTTTCACAGCATT
Organism: Homo sapiens; assembly: GCF_000001405.40. Taxonomy (NCBI): domain Eukaryota; kingdom Metazoa; phylum Chordata; class Mammalia; order Primates; family Hominidae; genus Homo; species Homo sapiens. The sequence continues at coordinate 39,634,722 of NC_000001.11, forward strand.
TATGCCAGTTCATTGTTTTATATTTATATGGTTATTTGATTGATGTCTATCTCTCCAACAAATCCATAAGCTCCATGAGGCCATGAACCATGTCTGTTACATTCACTATTGCAGCTTCAGTACTCAGCAAGGGCTTGGAATACAGCAGAACTCATGGTAGAGCTTTCTTCTCTCACCCATGTCTTTGGCATCACTGGGGAACAGAGATGTAAGCACCATAAAATCTATGGCCTAGGACTTTGTGGAATGGGGGCGTATATGACTTAACACAAGGGTCCCAGCCCAAGGGTCCCAACCCTTTTGGCATTTGAATTTGGATCATTTTCATCAACTGCTCAGAGAAGGTTGCAGAAGAGACCAGATAGCATTTGTCAAATCCTACTGCTATGTCTCTGGCTTTGTCCAGACACATCTGGAAAAGGATATCTCCCACCCAAACATCTGGACAAGCCGACCTGGTAAGAGGTCTATAATAGCTCCTGGGAGGGAGGACCCAGCAAGCTAGGTCCAGGGCTTGTAAGGCCAGATCTTGAGATCTATGGGGCAGCTTGTTTACAAAGCCTCACTGGTTCACTGGGGACAAACCCCAAGAGCCAAGACACACTAAGAAACACGGCCTTTGTTCCCCCCAGCTTGATAAAGCGTCTTTCCGGGTATTAGGTTAGCCTTGCACACGTCACTGCCTCTCAGCCTGATCCCTCCGCTGGGACCATCTGTTGGAGGCTGACGCACCCATTTCAGGGCAAAGCAGTGCTGCCATTCCTTTTTCCAATCTCCTGGTCAGCTTGTCCCTGTCGTATTATTTCCCCCCTTCTCCTCTTCCCATATCTCAGAGGCAAACCTCACATTACAGTTTTCTTGGCAACATTATATGTCTTTCCCTCCTTTGAGCCTTACAAAAGCCCATATTACAGATGAGGTTGCTGAGCTTCAGGGAGCTAAAGCAGGTTGCCCAGCCTACCCAGCTGCTAAGGAGCAAAGCCAGCAGGGAATCCGCATCTTCTGGCTCCGCTTCAGCATTTTTTCCCTTCTAATTCCTACTTCCTGTCTGTCTGAATAGCCCTCCGGTCCCCTTATTTTTAAAGTTCCCAAGAGCCCAGCCAGAGCTCCCTTCCAGCCCGCGATCTGGCCCTGACAGTGGGATGAGGTGTGGGATTCTCTTGTCTGAGAATCTGAAAATGACACAGATTTTCATGGACCCAGAGAAGATATGTTGACCATCAAGATCTGCTCCATAGGCCTCTAGTGGCTCCTAGCCAGAATTCTGGGGCGGTCTCTTATGGGGGGAAGCTTTCCAGGTGGTCCTGACCACCCTCAGTGCTGACTTCCCCTGGGAACTCCCCCGTGGAACCCTTGCAGATGACCCTAATCATTTTGTGTCAGCCAAAGGCAGAATCACAATGTCCCAAATGAAGGAATCTCAGAGAGAACTGAGTCCATTTGTAAAATAAGGAAACTCAGAGGGGAAGGGATCTTCCCCAGGCCACACAGCAAATTAGAGGAAAATCGGAACTACAGCCAGGTCTACTCTAGTAGCTTTTTTTTTTTTTTCTTTTCTTTTTTGAGACAGAGTCTTACTCTGTCACCCAGGCTGGAGTGCAGTGGCACAATCTCAGCTCACTGCAACCTCCGCCTCCCAGGTTCAAGTGATTCTCCTGTCTCAGCCTTCCAAGTAACTGGGACTACAGGCACGTGTCACCATGCCCAGCTAATTTTTTGTATTTTTAGTAGAGATGGGGTTTCACCATATTAGCCAGGATGGTCTCGATCTCTTGACCTCGTGATCCACCCACCTCAGCCTCCCAAAGTGCTGGGATTACAGGCGTGAGCCACCGTGCCCGGCCTCTAGTGGCTTTTAATCTGGGGCTTTTGCCAGTGCACCCCATATATACATCATCCCGTCATGTAGATCTCAGAGCCAGTGCTTTTTGTTCTATACTGCACTTCCACATCCATTTGTCTAATTTATTGCACAATAGCACTGTAAGTGAAGTATTTTTTGGGCCATTTCACATTTAGGAAAAATAATCATTTTACAGGTGGAGTGACAGAGACACTGGAGTTAAGAATCACTCCAGTAAGTCCAGTCTTCACACTTCCGGTCTTTTCATTAGACCATGCTGTCTCATAAATATGTTGCCCCCCAACTGAATGGTGACCGCTTTGACAGCAACGTTTATTGGAAGTTACTTTGTGCCAAAGCAGGGAGCTATGTAACTTTATGTATGTTACTTCATCAAACCTTATCCTGCGAGGCAGGAGTGCTAATGTATTCCCATTTTGAACGCGAGAAAACTGAGGTTCAGAAAGGGGTAAAAGTCACTGGCCAAAGTTAATGGTGGTAAAATTCAAACTCAGGTCTATCTGACTCCAAGACCACCACCTTATATTGTGCAGGAACAGGACCCTGATCCAGTGTCTGACATGTGGCAGGTGCTCATTAGATGTTTGCAGAGGGAGAGGAGAGGCTGTACTCTCAGTTTGGACTCATCCTGCGTCATGGGGCCAGGTTGAGATGAGAGCTCTGTGGGTGAGTTTCACAGATGTGGCAGGACTGCCACCAGGCAGATGCCACAGTGATGGTGGAACACACCCTGCTCTTTACTCTCACGTTTCTGAGTGTGGGGGTTTTGCGCCCTGCCCCTGACCCCGAGAGGCTGGCTGCCTCCGTCCTGCGGCCTTTGTCAGTGTTTATCTGCTTTCTTTGTACATGAAGCTCTTCTTCCCTGAGAGTTCCCTGAGGGCAGAGGCTGAGCAGGATACATCTGGGCCCCCTATGCCCAGCCCAGGGTCTGGGCCACAGCAGGCATCGTTCAGTGCTCCCTGAATTGAAGCATTGATGTCTGCTGGGGGAAGGGCCCTTTGGTGAGTGCTACAAAGGGGCATCTATAAGTCAGCCTCTGCCAGATGTCCAGCTGCTTTCTCTCCTCAGAGGGGTCTGCTCCTCTAAGAACAGTGTCTAAAAATGGGCTCTGTATATATAGGAAATGCTGTATGTATAGGAAAAAACTGCCCACTGATCCTTTATGCCTCATGTAAGCAGTTGCCCAGATGCTACTATCTTCAAGAAGCCCTCCTTGCCATCTTTGATTAAGAGTGACCTCTCTTTGCTTAAGTGCCCTCACAGCCCACAGTCTGTCTCCTTTCCATCCTGTCCATGGTGTTTTTATGACCTGGCAGGTCACTGACTGGGCTGCAAACTTGTGGAGGACAGAAGCCAGCTCTGATCAACCTAGTTCTCTGGCATCAATTTTGTGCCTCTGATCTATGAAGACCCAATGCCATTGAATTTGAGACCCCGCTCCACCACCACCACGTGGTGCTGTGCCCTTTCCTGGCCCTTAACAGGCACAGGCTAAGATAACTGCTTTTCTAAATAGCAGTTTCTGCTAAACAATTAAGAAAGGCTAATACGTTGCATAGCGAGTTGTGTTATACTCCCTAAAAACAAATGTACAGGCTGCAAGAGGAATATCTATTATGGCATTTTCCTGGGATTTGAGACTGAGGCAGGATCCTTGGATCTCAGAAAACTGGAGAGCACTAAAATTACAAAATGTCCTCAAAAACATCCCTAAGAATTAACTGGGCCTGGCTCACTGGCTTATGTCTGTAATCCCAACACTTTGGGAGGCCAAGGCAGGAGGATCACTTAAGCCCAGGAGATCAAGGTTGCCATGAGCTATGATCATGCCACTGCACTCCAGCATGGGCAACAGAGTGAGACCATGTCAAAAAGAAAGAAAGAAAGAATTAACTGAATTCCCCTCCAATTCTGTTCTAGAGAGTCAAGTCTAGATGAGCCAAGAGAGATGAAGTATATCCCTTTCTTTTCCACTGCTGTCTTTGTTTTACTGATGGGGAAACTGATGACAGACTCTGTCAGGGAAACCAATGGCCCAAGACCACATAGTGAGTTGGTGGCAGATTTGGGGCTGGGACCCAGGTCTGCAGACTCCCAGTCAGCCCTGCAGCTCTTTCAGGGTGCTGGGAATCACATGGTGTGTACCTAGGCATGTGCTGTGCTAAGCCCTTGACATACTTTGCCTCATTTGGTTTTCCCAATATTTCCATGAAGTTGGTTCTATTATTCATGCTCATTTAACAGATAAGGAAACTGAAGCTTAGACAGTTTACAGAACTGCGAGGTAGCAGAACTATACAAGCGCAGTTTGTTCGACAGGTTTGAAGCAGGTCAGACTATCTACCAGGAGCTGAAAGACACTGGCAGTATGGGGGCACGATAGGAGGAACATTGGAATTAGAGTCTAGGCCCTTGCAAGTCGCTTATTATTTTCTTCAATACTAAGTCCCTAAATCCAAACTCCAATTTGCTCAAAGGAGGACAAATTTTCTTCTTCCTGAAATAATTTGTGGACTACATGAAAACTGCATCCAAACTAGGGTAAAATTGGGAAAGGATGGGGTTACTCTGCATCGTCAGCAGATTCCAGACAGGGGCCAGAGTACCATCAGTCTATGAGAGTTTTCTAAGATCTCCAGGGAAAACCTGCCAATGGCCTCCCCTAGGCCACTTCAACAGATAGATGATAACCCACTAGCCACCTGATCCCCCGAGCTGAACTCTCCCTCCCTGCCAGCATCCCCAGCCCTGCACGACCGAGAGCGCGCAGGATCCAGGCACTCGTGCGTGTAACGGCACGGCCCGCACACGCCCCCTACGCCGACACCTGTGGCCCCCGCGCTCACCTGCCTCTGCCCAGGCGGTGCTGGAGGGCTGGCCCGCCTGCTCGGCGAGCCCGTCGGGCCGACCCCCACCCCGCTCGCCCTCCGCCTGCTCGGTCCCCGCATCCCGGCCCTTACCTCAGCTGGCCCTCTTGGCCCACGTCGATGGGTCCGTCGGACTCCCCGTCGGAGCCGCTCGGCTCCTTGGGTCGCTTCATGGCGAACGCAGGCTGCCTGGTCTCAGCCCCGCGGCTAAGGCTCCCAGTCGGGAAGTCAGGCCCCGCCCCGGCCCCGCCCCGGCCCCGCCTCGGGGGCGCCGCCACCGCCCTTTCCCAGGGCCCTTTCCTGCGCCGCAGCTCCGGGCGCCCAGGCGCCCCCTCGCCCCCGCGGTGACGCGCCGCCGAGCCGTGGGAAGGCCCTAGGCGGTCGCCGCCTTCATCGACGGCTGGGAGGTCCGGCTCTGCTCCGCTGTCTCGGCTGCCGCGCGCTGGGTGGCCTTGGGCAGGTGCCCTGGGAGGCCCCGCGGGGAAGCCAGGAGTCCCCGTCTGTCCCTGGGTCGCCTGGGCGCTGCTGGCCTGTAGAGGCGCCGCTTCGATGCCCGGGATTCCGCAAGGGTCAACCCTGCGCGCTCCTGCCTCCTGGTGTTCTGGAGGCAGCAGACACATCAAGTTTGTCGAAGTTAGTCGTGGTGGTTGTGGCCTGATCCTCAGCAAGAATTCCCCAGCAGCAACTCCATAGGGGCCCAAAGCAAGTGGAATAGTGTGGTGGGGGCAAGGGGAAGACACTTACACTTCTGAGAGGTGGCAGTCACCCCCAAAAGGGACGGCTGAAGTTGTGGCCACCGCATCTGAGAAAGCTGGGCTCTGGCCGAGGTCCCTAAAGGCCTGGCGTGGTGGCAGTGGTGGGTTGTCCCTGGGAATCAGTTCCCAGTTCACCAGAGGTCGAGTTGTCCTGGGCGGCCAGGAGGCCAGGAAAGGGCTCCTTCTAGACGCTATGGCAGGGCCTCAAAGTGGGAGAAGGAGAGGAAAAGGGAAGATACCTTCCAGCCTCTCTTCCTGGGGCCTCTGCTTCTGGCAACCCATCAAACTGTTCACTCAGGGAGGGCTCTAGCTGCCCTGTCCTTAGGGGGACTTGTGGGAAGTTCTCAGATTCACCGGTCATCCTCAGGCGCCCAGTACCTCAGAGAAGCTCCTAAGGCTCCAAAGGAAGCTGCATGAGAGCATCCTGGAGCTGGACTTCTTGGGCAGGGAAGAGGAGATAGAGGAGGTCTTGGTGTGCTGGGTTAGATATGAGAGGTCTTTTCCTTTTTACCCGCCACCAGGTCAGGACCTGAGGGAAGCCACCCCTTCAAGTGGGAGAATCGGGTTGGTCATCTGAGAATAACTGTGCTTCCATCCCCACAGCAAGGCCTGCTTGCTGGGGGACACTTGATTACTTGATGGGAAAGAATGTTCCTGTGCCCCCGTCCACACACATCCACAGACACAACCATTTGGCCAGGTATGCAAACACATACACACGGACAGACTTACAAATATATACTGGTAGGCGCAACTGTCGTGAGCAATCAGTACCAGGAAGCCCTGGTGGTCGCCCCAGCCACAACTATGGACTCTCATTCCAAATGCCCTCAGCACTCACATCACTTCTGTGGGCACATGCCAGTCAGTGGAAACCTCAACTAACAGAGAAGTTGCACAATGTGTTATGCATTCCCTGGAAAGGCGGAAGTCAAGGAAGCCTCCCAGATAGCTGCCCTGTGTAATTGGCTGAGATAGCAAAGATTGGAAGAGGAGCAGATTTGCAGGGGAAGGTCAAGGGCCCCGTGATGGACGTTTCATGTGAGATGTCTTGGATCATCAAAATACAGTGCACAGTTAAATAGAGGGTATGGAGTTCAGAACAGAGGTCTCAGCTGGATATTAAATTTGGACGTCATTAGGTAATTGATGGCATTTAAAGCTATGGGAGCAGATGGGATCATTCAGAAAACGTGGATGGAGACAGAGCAGGGGCCTAGCTAAATACTTAACATTTGGTGAGCCCTTATTATAAAACCTGAAACTATTCTAAGTCTTTTGTAAATATTAACTCATTTAATCCTTGACAACCCTATAAAGTAGTAATATTATAATCCCCACTTTACAAGTGAGAAACAAAGGCTGAGAGGTAGACTAACTCCACCTAAGGCCAACAGGCAATAAATGGAAGGGCTGGAATTCAACAAGGCAGTTCAGTTCCAGAGCCAAAACATTAGGCTTTATTACTTTATACAGTACTCCCCCTTCTTTTAAAAATAAAGACAAGGATTCACTCTGTCACCAGGCTAGAGTGTAGTGGTGCCATCGTAGCTCACTGAAACCTTGAACTCCTTGGCTCAAGTGATCCTCCCACCTCAGCCTCCTGAATAGCTCAGACTACAGGGGCATACCACCATGCTCAGCTAATTAAAAAAACAACATTTTGCCAGGTGTGGTGGCTCACGCCTGTAATCTCAGCACTTTGGGAGGCTGAGGCAGGCGGATCACAAGGTCAGGAGATCGAGACCATCCTGCCTAACACGGTGAAACCCCATCTCTACTAAAAAATACAAAAAATTAGCCAGGCGTGGTGGCAGGCACCTGTAGTCCCACCTACTCGGGAGGCTGAGTCAGGAGAATGGCGTGAACCCGGGAGGCGGAGCTTGCAGTGAGCCAAGATGGCGCCACTGCACTCCAGCCTGGGCGACAGAGTAAGACTCCGTCTCAAAAAAAAAAAAAAAAAAAAAAAAATTTTTTTTGGTAGAGATGAGATCTCACTATGTTGCCCGGGCTGGTCTTCAACTCCTGGGGCCAAGCAATCTTCCCACCTTGGCCTCCCAAAGTGTTAAGATTACAGGAGTAAGCCACTACACCCCGTCAATTATACAGCTCTTAAACATTGTGATATATTATCCAGTACTGAGCCTAGAGCTATGCCATCAATATAATAGCCACGAACCCCCTATGGCTATTAAGTACTTGAAATGTGGCTGGTCTGAATTGCTGTATGTGCAGTGAGTATGAAATACACACCAGAATTTTTTTAAGTGTGAACTATCTCATTGATATTTTTTGTTATGATTACATGTTGCAATGATAATATTGTATAAATATTGGATGAAATAAAATACATTAGTAAAGTTAACTTCCCTTGTTTTATTTTTAGGTTTTTAAAAATGTGACTACTAGAAAATGTTAAACTGCATATTTGGCTCCCATGATATTCCTATTGGATGGTGCTAATCTGGTGCAGGGTTTCTTAACCTCAGGACTACTGGCATTTTGGGTCAGGTCATTCTTTATTGTGTAGGGCTGTTCTGTGGATTGTAGAATGGTAAGCAGCCTCCCTGGCCTCTATCCACTGGATGCCAGTTATACCCGCTCCAGTTGTGACCATCAGAAATATCTCCAGATAAAATACCAAATGTCCCTTGGGGGAGAAATCGCCCCCAGTTGGGAACCGCTAGTCTGGAGAAACTCCAAGATTTAAAGGTTGTAGAAGAGAAAGAGCTGCCAGAGAAGACTGAAAGGGCAGTGGAGGAGAGTGGGGTGTGTGTGGGGGGGTGTGGGCAGGAGCCAAAAGAGTGTTTCAAGGACTTGGTCATGATCCTTTTAAAATGCCAGTCAGATCATGTCACTTCCTGCTCAAAACCATCCACACGCTTCACATCCCATTTGAAATAAAATGCCAACTGCTTACCATGCCCTATACACAGAACAACTGTAATAACCTGGGCACCTTTGAGAGTGAAAGGAGGCAATACTAATAATCATGCCAGGGCAGTTCAGGGCACACTGGAGGTACCATCTCCTAAGCTCAGGCCCCTGCCCATCTCTCCAGCTTCATCCCCAACCACTTTCTGCCTTGTCCACTCACCCACGACAGCCTTCTTGCCATTTGTATTGGGCCATTCTCACATTGCAGGGGCCAGAGCTTAGGATGACAAACATATAGCAACACATATAATGTAATGTCAGTGATATTAATAGATGCTGTGAAATAAGATAAAGTGAGGTGGAGACATAGGGTGACTGGGGGATTGGTGGCTATTTTACTTAGGGGTCAGGAGATCGTCTCTGAGGATGAATCACTTATGCAGAGACCCGAATGGAGAGAGGGAATCTAAGAAGATCTGGGGAAGAGGATTCCAGGCAGAAGGAACAGCAAGTGGAAAGCCCTGAGGTAGGAACAAGCATGGAATATCAATAGAATGGTGATATGGTTTGGATCTGTGTCCCCATCCAAATCTCATGTTGAATTGTAATCCCCAATGTTGGTGGTGGAGCCTGGTGGGAGGTGAGGGAGGTGGATTTTTCATGAATGGTTTAGTCCCATCCCCTTGGTACTGTTCTCATGATAGTGAGTTTTCATGGATCTGGTGGTTTAAAGGTGTGTGGCACCTCCCCTGCTTCCTCTCTTGTTCCTGTTTTTGCCATGTGACGTGCCTGTTCCCCTTTTGCCTTCCACCATGACTGGAAGCTCCCTGAGGCCTCCCCAGAAGCAGATGCTACTGTGCTTCCTGTACAGCCTGCAGAACCGTGAGCCAATTAAACCTCTTTTCTTCATAAGTTACCCTGAAATACAGGGAGGTTAAATAACTTACCCAAGATCACACAGCTACTAAGTGGTAGAAATAGGATTTTAACCAAGCAGTCTGGCGCCAGAATTCATGCTGGTAACCACTGCAACCTGCATTAGAGCTGGGTGGACCAATCAGGAGACTCTTAAAATAGGCCAGGCAATAAGGACTGGATTCGAGTGATACTGGGTTCCTGTCTGGGTGACTGAATGGATGAAGGTGACAAGCACCAAGGGGAAACACTGGAGAAGGGAAGGAGCTCACTATGGCCATGCTGTTTGTGAGACCTAGCGCACACCCAGGAGGAGAACCCAGGGAGAGGTCTGGGCTGGAGGAGAGATTTGGTGGCTGAAGACATGGGATACATGACATATCTGTCCCAAGGAGCTAGTGCAGATCCAGAAGGGAGGAGAACCTAGGCTAGGACCCTGGGAAACAATAGCCAAAGATTCTCTGGGAAGAAGGAGGAGAATCCTGCGAGAATGGAGCACCAGGGACCAAGGCAACCAGGAGCCGAGAAAAGGGGCTTGGTCACCAGTCCAGGGGCTCTAAGAGGAAAGAAGTGTGATCAGGAGGTCACAGATGCCTTGGGATGAATGAACAGAGGCAAGGGAGGCAGAGACAAGGGCAGGATGTCATGGACTGGGAAGTGTCTGGGGTAGAGGGTTGCGGAAGCAGGTTTAAAAAGGGGGCACGTCAGCCAGGCACAGTGGCTCATGCCTGTAATAGCAGCTACTCAGGAGGTTGAGGTGGGAGGATCACCTGAGCCCAGGAGGTCATGGCTACAGTGAGCCTTGATTGCACCAATGCACTCCAACCTGGGCAACAGAGTGAGACCCCATCTCTAGAAAAAAAAAAACAAAAAAGAGGGGCAGGTCAATGAGAGAGGGCACGCCATGCAACTCCAGGGACCAGCAGAGCCTCAGGAAGAATTTGCTCACTGATGGAGAAGGAGTCAGAAGTAAGGAGAAGGGTGAGAGGCCCAGGAGTAGCAGGCAGCCTCAATCCAAAGGGAGGGAGGACGAGACGGGCCCTCTATTCTACCTTCCGCTCCTTTCTGTCTGTCCCAGAGCTGAGCGAGCTGGAGATTTTCAGCGACAGGTTTCAGTTGCAGCAATACTTTCTCTATCACTGAGCCCACACTAGGTCAATCCCGTCTGCTCTTGGGGCTGGTATTCAGATCACTAAACTGATATGGCCTGGGCTCTGAACGGTTGGCTTGCACATAGACTATACACTGGAACAGGATTCCAGAGACCACTGTGGCAGACACTGAGCCTCTAACTGCTGCATGGTGGAGGTATCTGGGGGGTCTCAGAGGAGAGGATGATTGGCACAGAGATGCCCAGGGTGGTGGTTGGTGGTTATTAATTGTGGAATAGTTTATGTCTGTCTGAGGCCTGGGCTGTTATCCCTGTAAAAGCAGGAACCATGTTGGGTTGTTCACTGTGATCTCCCTGATGCCTACCGGCGTCTGGCACAGGTAGGTGTTTGGTAAACATTGGCTGAGTGTCCAGTGATGGGGAGGGGAACTGAGGGGCTCCTGAAGGCCTCCACCTTGTCTGGGAAGGAGGTGCTTCCTTGTTCCTGGAAAAACAGCAGAGACATACAAGGACTTTCCTGGCCCATGGCCCAGGATGAAGTAGGGGGAAGAAGGGACCTGGAGCACCCAGGTGCCACTCAGTCTTCCCTCTGCAGGACTTTGTCCTGCCTTTGAGCCTAAGGACACTGAGACCCAGAGAGGGACAGAAGCATCCCCAGGGCCACACAGTGAGACAGAAAGTGAGCCAGGACAAGAGTAGCCTTTCCGTGCCTTGGTTTTCTCATCTGTAAAATGGGATGATACCAAAGCCACTCACTCCACAGGGTTGTTGTGAGGGTTAAATGAGGTAAGATGCAGAGAGTGATGCCTGGTGTTGAGAGTGGGTGCTCTAATGCTACATTTGGGTTTGGCCTCTGTCTCCATCCACTCTATCCCTAATTGGTTCACCTACTCCCTGGCTTTTCTTTCTATGAGCCAATGATTCCCAAATTTATATCTCAAATACAGACTTTTTTTCTCAGGTTCAGACCCATAGATCCAACTGCCCAGTCTTTTTCCTTACACTCATGTTGGTCCACCCACATGTCGAGACCTAGCCGGGGTGTGCTGGGCCTGTCCTGGACCTCTGCAGGCTCTCTGTGCCACATCCAGATGTCAGGCAGCCCCATCATCACTTTCCTGCTCCATGTTCCATCCTGAGAACAGTCTGAGCCTCCTTGCCTCCTCCTCCCCCCACCCCCTGCTCATCCCAGGCCCTTCCTGTCCTCCCCTTGCCCTCCTCCCCCGCTCCTCTGGGACCCATCTGCGCTCACTTTCCACCTCCACAGCTGCTGCCACAGCTGGTCACTGACGGAATGTGCAGCTGCTGGGAGCCACATGTGCAGAGCAGGCGGAGCACAAGCTACCCCTGGGGCTAGCGAGGGTGGGGGCTGGGACCATCTGTCTGTGTCTGTCTGTCTACAACACACACATGCATGTACACGCACAGACTTCCAAGCTCCTTCTCTAAGTAAGGTGATAAACATGTTGGTTTGGTTCCCCTTCCCTGTCCCTGGGCTGCAGAGTTCATGCTCTACTTATCTGGGCCCCTGAGAGCAAAGCAGCTGGGCTGGCCCTGCTGTCTTGAAGCTTATGCACTCCCACCCCTATGTTCAGGCAGTACAAATCCCGCAGGAGCCACACAGGGGCGGAATGGCAGACTGGGTGTTCAGAGCTTCCCTAGCTTTCCCAGGCCCTGGAGGGTGGCCCACCATGGAGGAAGCCAGAAGCTTCGGACACATTCCAGAGCCCCCTTGGCAGCACCCAGAGGCTCTGGAGGCGTGGCAGCCTGGGGGCAGGGCCAGCAGCATCTGTCCTGGTTCCCACACTCTGGCCTCTCTGGAATCTCACATATTTCTCTTCCGTGTGTGCGTGATATCAGCAGGACAAGGACACTGGGGGTGGTGGCAGGGGAGGGACTGAGCTCCTTGAAGTCAGATGGCCATGGGGGTGGGGGTGGGAGCTGGGGGAGGGCCTGGTTCCTGCCATTGGTCACACAGTACGAAGAGGACGCCCTGGCCTCTAGCTCCCAGGCCTGACTGGGTCCTGATACCGCCCAATGCATTCCCATCAGAGCCCCTTTCCATCTCTCTGGGCCTTAGTTTCCTCATCTGTAAAACAGGAATAAGACAAGCATCTACCTCTCAGGGTAAGAGTAAACGTTGTAGAACCCAGATCCTCCTTGGAGTCCTTTTTGCTCTGTGGACAGCTTACTCTCCCATCACTCCCCTGACCCCTACCCCAGTCCTGCCACTTTCCATGTTTTCTGGAACATCTAACACAGGTTCATGTGTATTAGATGGGCCTTTGTATTCTGTCTTGAAAGCCTTTCCCTTTCTCTGTCTGGAAAACTCATACTCATCCTACAAAGCCCAGCACAAAAATACCTCTCTGGGAGTCTTCCCTGCCTCCCCCTGGCAGCTAGTCCTTCCTCCTTGTACTCCTGTGGCTCCCTGTGAACACCTCCAGGGCAGCCCGACCTCCCTATTCTGCCACTGTTTGTGGCATCTCACGAAGCTGTGGCTGAATGGGAGCTGCCCTTCCTGGGGCTGATGGCCACCTCAGGAGCCCAGGCACAACACCCCACAGCTGGTGGGTGTCAGAGCACAGTCAGGACATGGTTCTAGGCCTGGCCCCCAACCTGATCCTTCCAGGCAGAGCTTCCCACCTATACCATTTAGTCTGGACATAACAGGCAGAGGAAGGAGCTTGGACCTCACCAGCTGCGACAGCATTTCTTAAACCAGAAGCAGCCATTGTTCTCCTTCCTCCATCCAGGCCAGCCAAGCCACAGTCCTGCTGTACAGATGGAGTAACTGCAGCTTAGGCAAGGGAAGCCAGTAGCAGGGACTGGATTAGAACCCAGGGCTCTCATCCCCAGTTCAAGACCCTAGGCTCCTTTCTGCCCCCAAACTCCCTCTTTGATGAAGGATATGGAGACTGGGAAGTGATCATGGGGTTGAGGCAGAGCCTGGGTGAGATGGGAACCCAGGGCTTGGGAAGCAGCTGTCCCTAACCTCTGGGTATAGCTGAAATTGGAATCCACCATGTCCTCTGATGTTGACAGGAAACCCACACTTCTATTTCACCACTTAGCAATGATGGAGAATTTTAACACCATCAGGCATAGCCCTAAGCTATCCTAGGGGTGGGGGAGAAGATGGATGAGCATGGGTCCTATGGCTCAGAAAAGGTGTGTCAGTTCAGGCCTTCTAGGAGACAGATGCTAAGGCCAATTGGAGATGCAGAACATTTACTAGATAAATTGCTTATAAGGGTAAAAGAGAGGGAGCAGGAGGAAGCAGAAAGAGCCTTTTGACCATGATGCAGGTCTGACATCTGTGAAGGAGAGTGAGAAGGGAGATGGCTTGGTTAGGAAGAGCCTTGGACTGCAATGCAGCTCTGAGAAAGTCCTCATTGGGCCCAGAGTAAAGATGGGGTCCCACGTAGGACAGAAATAGCCTGGTGTTAGCTTCCCCACCATGCCCAGTCACCACTGGGAGCAGGCTAGGAAAAGCATGCTATCTGCCCCATGAAAGCTGCAGCAGACCCAGAGGGGCAGCTGCTGCAGGCTGTTGGGTAATCATGCTCCTTGCAGCAGGTTCTCTCGAAGGAGATGTGAGTTATGCACTCTCCTGGCAGCCACAGAGGATACATGTTTTGCAAGGTCACCCAGCAAGCAAGTAACAAGTTCATATCCTTGGGCTGTGGCTGTATTATTCTCACACTGGGGTGAGCTTTATACCACTTGGAGCTTCATAGGGCTTCTAAGGGGAACTTTGCCAGAGGAAGGAAAGAATGAAGATTCATGGGTGGGTAGGTGCAGCAAACCACCATGGCACTCCTTTACCTATGTAACAAACCTAGGCCAGGCGCGGTGGCTCACGCCTGCAATCCCAACACTTTGGGAGACCGAGACGGTTGGATCACCTGAGGTCAGGAGTTCAAGATCAGCCTGACCAACATAGTGAAACCCTGTCTCTACTAAAAATACAAAATTAGCTGGGTGTGGTGGTGCATGCCTGTAATCCCAGCTACTTGGGAGGCTGAGGCAAGAGAATCACTTGAACCCAGGAGGCAGAGGTTGCAGCGAGCCGAGATTGCGACACTGCACTCCAGCCTGGGTGGCAGAGCGAGACTCCATCTCAAAAAAACAAAACAAAACAAAACAAAACAACAAAAAAAAACCCAAAAACCCTGCCTGTTCTGCACGTGTATCCCAGAACTTAAAATTAAATTAAATTAAATTAAATTTTAAAAAAAGAATGAAGATTCAAATTGCTATGGTCTGAATATACCTCTCCAAAATTAATATGCTGAAACCTTATCACCAATGTGATGATATTAGGAGGTCGGGCCTTTGGGAGATTATGAGATCTTGAGGGTGGAAGCATATGCCACCATGCCCAGCTAATTTTTGTATTTTTAGTAGAGACGGGGTTTCTACTAAACATGTTGGCCAGGATGGTCTCAATCTCCTGACCTCGTGATTCACCCGCCTCAGCCTCCCAAAGTGCTGGGATTACAGGTGTGAGCCACCGCGCCCGGCCAAAAATAATGTTTCTTTAAGTGACCTATTGGAAAATAAAACTGGCTACTAGTAAGCACAAGAAAAAAAAACAGAACACATAGGCCTTAGGTCATGGATGAGCTTTGCAAGTTGAAAAGGGAGTGCACACGGGAGGAGAAAGAATTATGTCTGTGATTTCTTTATCTGGTGGTTACTCCTTTTTTTTTTTTTGGTTCCAGCTCCAAGCCACAGTCACATCTGTATCACATCATGGGGTTTTTATTCCCAAATCCAGTCCAAGACCATGTCAGAAAGTAGAGGATTCATTTATGGCACCAGAGGCTGGGGCTGATATCCAAGGCCTAGGAAGGAGGGGGTGTTAGGATGCCACCCTTCCCCCACCCCTGCCTTTCCCTCACCTTGGACATGGGCCACTGGTCATAAAACAGGACAAACAGCTCTGGGACCACTGGCCTTATGGACATTATAAAAATTTTACCATGAGACTAAGACATCTCAGAACACAGTTTCGATGATGTCCCCAAGTAGGTGACTCCAAGGCCCCTGAAGGAATGTTGGACAGGAGGTGTGGGAAGGAAGTAGATGAAGAATCATATTTCTCTCCATTCCTGGTGACTGGGTGGGGACAGGTGGGAAAGCAAGGGGACTTCAGGTTGGAGAATCCAGGAGACACATTCAAGTCTAGTCTTGCCACAGGGCAGAAGAACGGTTAACATAACCTTGGGGGCCCCTGGTATACCAGACTGATGGAGGTATAATAATATGTGGTAGCCAACCTCCAAGATGGCCCCTAATCATCTCCACTTCCTGATATTCACCTCCTTGCGTAGTCCCCTCTCACCTTGTATCAGGGTTTGTCTGTGTGACCAATGGAATATGCTAGAGGTGATGACATGTCACTTCCAAGGCTAGGTCATAAAAGATGGTGTGGCTTTTGCCTTGCTCTCTTGGATTACTCACTCTCAGGGAAGCCAACAGCCATGTCATGAGGACACTCAGGTAACATTGTGGTGAGGAACTCTGGTCACCTGCCAACAGCCATGTGAGTGAGCCATCTTGGAGGCAGCTCCTCCAGCCCTAGGCAAGCCTTCCATTGACTGCAGCTCCACCTGGCAGCTTGACTACAACCTCATGAGAGGCTCTGAGTAAGAACCACCCAGAAAAGCCACTCTTGGATTCCTGCTCTGCAGACACTTTGAGGTGCAGGAAGACCCTGGGGTGTAGGAAGACCCTGGGGTGCAGGAAGAAGAATGATGTGAGGGCTGGAGTCTGAGTTATCCCCTTCTTCCTTCATCTCACATCCTTTCTCATCTTCTCTTCCTCCCTCTCCATCCCCACCCTTGGTAGTTCCAGATGGGAACACCGAGTCCATGTGAGGAGCCCTGTTGGGGGAAGCTTGCCTTCTGATGCTCTCAGGCTGCTGTCCATTGCGGAATCTCCCCTCAGGGTGGTCTTCATGTGCTGGGACAGATTCTACAGAAAGATCCCAGCACTAGTGGATGAATCGGGTCCCAGGCCTCTTCATTACCTACGTCACCATTAGCATTTCATGAGGGGCCATATGCCAGTTTGTGAATACAATTGTGGGGAAAAAACAAGACAACGTAAGTTAATTAAAACCCTCTCCATTTATTTGAATGGCTTTTAAGAAGCAGAAGCACATGTGGTAAAATTAAGGTATAGGACATGCATGAGAAGTGACAGGGACCCACACTGGCAAGCACTCAGCACCCTTTATCATGTGACCAGGTAAATGTTACAAAGAGCCAGACAGGTCTGGATCGATGGGGTGTGCTACTAGTAGGCCAAAGAGGGCAAAGCTGGGAGAAGTACAAGCAGTCTTATTCCCAGACAAGGGAAGTCACAAAGACGAAGAAACACATGCTCTAACCATTTACGGAGGCACTTAGGTTTATCATAACAAGCAACCCAGAGAGGTTGGGTGATGAGGAAGACTGAGGCAGCAAATGCTATCAAAGCAAAGGGCTTCTGACAGGTAGATACAAGCACATTATGCACACAGGTTTCATTTTTCATCGTATTCTATATCGGAGGTTATTGAGATGCTCTTAAGTAGAAACCAGAAGTTAAGTATATGTGCGCTATTACATTAATAAAGAAGTTCGTAGGCCGAGTGTGGTGGCTCACGCCTGTAATCCCAGCACTTTGGGAGGCAGAGGCTGGTGGATCACCTGAGGTCAGGAGTTCGAGACCAGCCTGGCCAATATGGTGAAACCCCATCTCTACTAAAAATACAAAAAATTAGCTGGGCATGGTGGCGGGCACCTGTAATCCCAGCTACTCAGGAAGCTGAGGCAGGAGAATTGCTTGACCCCAGGAGGCGGAGGTTGCAGTGAGCCAAGATTGTGCCACTGCACTCCAGCCTGAGTGACAGAGCAAGACTCCGTCTCAAAAAAAAAAAAAAAAAAAAAAAAAAAAAAAAAAAAAGAAGTTTGTACATACGCAGTTTTGAACACACAAAGGCTGAGCTAGGTCATCTCTGAGGTCTCTTAAATATCCATCACTGAGAATCTGAGTGTAATATCCTCAGACTCTCAGTGACTTGGGTCTTAAAAACCCAAGTCTCTGGGCCTGGGCCAGCGGATGCAAACTGGAGATTCAAGGGCCGGATCTCGCCTACAGAATATGTTTTATTTGGCCCAGATGGTGTTTTCTAAATTCAAAATAGTTGCCAACATTTAAAAGTCCAGATTCCCAGCTTCTCTTCAAAAATGGGGCGGACTATCCGGCAACCTCAGGCCACATTCCCATGTGGCAGCAACCATGGCAGACCACAGTGTTCTCCATTCTCAGTGAAGAACTGGCTTAATCCTCTCCACTCATTTATGTTTCCTGCCTCGCCCCTGTAGGCATTGGGGTTTGTGACCCTGGCCCAGGCATCCAGTCTAGGGTGACCTCAGTGATTTTCTTGGTGGCTTCTTGGTGGCAGTTAGCTACAAGACTAGCCTTGAGGCCTTTACCCTAATTCCGTGGCAGATGGCCATGAAGGCATATATTCACCCACAGGCCAGGAGTGTGGGAGTCAGTGACCCCAGTCTTCACAGCTTTGGTTTGCCTTACAGAGGCTTTCACTTTGCAAAGATGAGTAACTGAAAAGTTCCCAGCCACATTTCACTTTTATAAATGGAATTCCAAAGGCCTCTAGGGGATGGCCCATCAGGGAGATACTTCCCAATTAAGGTCAATGGTAAGTCACTTCTGGGCCACATTAGAACACTCAAGCAGAGGCAGGAATCTTTGCCTAGGTTGGGCAGGGCTGGTAGTGGGGAGGGAAGGCAACTTTCGTAGCCATGGCCATGAGATGACCAGGGCATCTGTATACAGTTGGCAGGTTGTGCAGGTGTCTAATAGGTACTACCCATGTCACAATACCAATGGCGCCCTCTAGATTTTTGCAGTGCACAATCTGCCCAACTGGACACGTTGGCCTTGGCACTGTTAGGGGGAGGGAAGAAACAAATGGAGATGATGAGGCAGGTATAGTCAAAAGGATTGCCCTTACACAGATTCTACCACTTCCTTCCCAAGGCTCAGGAGTAGGGGTAGGAGGCAGAGGGTTAGGAGCCAAGACTTTCTTGGCCAGAGGTTGGGGGCTGGTCTCGGTGGCCCCCAAGCTGCACATACGCAAATGCCCATGTTATGATGGAAATGGGTACAACTATCCTAGGGCTGGCCATCAGTATGTGGGTCCCAGGACACTCAGTTAACAGAGATAACCATCTGTACACATAGTGAGTACACACACACACACAGAGTCATTGGCTGAGATATCTGGCCCATTACACACACCCACATAAATACACGTACGTGTACGATTTTTATCCTGTTGCACAAACTTAATATGTGTGCATCCATACACACAATCACAGTAATTGCCGGCAAGAGCAATCGGCTCGTCACTCGGGCATATTTAGCAAACATTTCCAGAGCACCTGAAGTCCTTTTTGGCTGGCTAGAGCTAACCGTGGGGAGAGTCCAGCGCAGCACTAAGTCAGTGGGAGAGAAAAGTAAATCAGTGGGTAGAATCACTTGACTACTGCCAGCAGCTGCGTGCCGGCCTGCAGTGCCACCTACTGGCAGAAAGGAGGTGGTTTTGTGTTTTGCTTTAAGACTAGATAAAACCCGTGATCTGGGAAGCCGCCAGCCACACGATGCTATTCATCCACCTCCTTGTGTTCTACCCAAGTCAGGTGAGGCTCTGACATCCTCAGAGTTGCATCATATCCTCAGAGGATGAACATTCTGGGCCTTGCATGCCTCTTGGATAGCAAAACCCAACACCAATAGGGATGGCAAAATAGGTTTCATCTTTCACACCAGCTCCAGCCCGCTGGTAGTGGCTGCCTGGAATGCTGGATAGAGAAAGATTCTGAGACCCAGTCTGGGCTTAGTGGAGAAGAGTATCATGATGGCATAGCGACAGCAATGATGGCTGTAGATGGGGCGTCTTCCATACTGTCTGTTCTTGCAGTGGATCCTGGAAGCCTGGTAAATCTCTAAATTTGCAGAGTCCTAGAATTCTCCTGATCCACAATTCCATTATGAGGGGTATTTGTGTTTATTGCTCACGTGCCTTCATGCCACAAGAAACTGCCATTCCAGCTGTTACAGGAGTTTTCTCTCTCACTTGATCAGTAACTTCTGAACCGGCTAAAGTCCTCACGGGACCCTCTTCACGACGGACTTGTTCTTGCTTTCACAGAAAGTACATGGATGACCTTGTTGGCTCGGAGCTGCTGAAATCAACACTGGGCACTTCAATCTATCCAAAACTCATGTTTAGCTAATGCGCATCCACCTACTAGGCTGATCATTGCCTAAGAGGCCCCATGAGGAAATGAGTCGGGAATACAAAGCCATGCTGGACAGCCAGCTGGGCTCATCCCCAGCCAAGGGCCCTGCTCCTGCCCTCTCACTCATCAGCTTGGGAGAGCACATTCAAGTCAAATCAGTGCATCAACAAAACTGCAAATTACCATGAGCCATGGGTCGCTTGAAAATAGTCAAAACTTGGAATCTTCAGATGGGCATGGAGCCCCATGTCCCTTCCCTTTGGCAGTGGAGCCAGCCTCCGCCCACAGATGCATAGGTGGATGTGACCTGGCTCATCCCACTGAGGCATCAGCCAGGCTGTCTGCCTTGGCCCAGGGGTCCGCACATTTTTCTGTAAAGGGCCAGATAATAAATATTTTTGGCTTGCAGCCTCTGTTGCAACAATTCAACTCTGCTGTTGCAGTGTGAAATCAGCCATAAACATATGTAAACAAATGGGCATGGCTATGTTCTAATCAAAGTTTCTTTTATCTTTTTTTTTTTCTTTGAGACGGAGTCTCACCCTGATGCCAGGCTGGAGTGCAGTGGCGTGATCTCGGTTCACTGCAACCTCCGCCTTCCGGGTTCAAGTGATCCTCCTGCCTCAGCCTCCCGAGTAGCTGGGACTACAGGCGTGCACCACCACGCCCAGCTAATTTTTGTATTTTTAGTAGAGACGGGGTTTCATCATGTTGGGCAGGATGGTCTCGATCTCCTGACCTTGTGATCCACCCGCCTTGGCCTCCCAAAGTGCTGGGATTACAGGCATGAGCCACTGTGCCTGGCCCCAGTCAAAGTTTCTTTACAAAAACAGGTGATGGGTCAGATTTGGCCCGTGGGCCCAGAGTTTGCCAAACTCTGCATTAGCCCAAAACAGGGGCCTTCACACTGGGTTTCTCAAAACTTGGGATTGTTTGGAAGTGCTTCTGGGGGTTCACAAACGTTTGGCTCTAATTTAAATTATTTGTAGGTGTTTAGGAAGCTATAATAAAAGCATGCACTCAAATGTATTCCAGCATTTCACCATGCAGGAAATCAACATATTAACTGTCAGGTAAGTAAACTCCTTTAGTGAAGACCTCAGAATGGAGCTTCTCTGGCTATCTCCATGCATATGTATGAGCAGTATGACAAAATGGTTGAAAACCTGGGTCCTAGAATCAGATGGACATGAGTTTGAGTCCCAGCACTGCCACTTACTAGCTCTATGGCTTTGGACAAGTTACTTTGCCTCCCTAAACCAGCATGGCCAGGACACCACAAAACAGAGTAGACACTGGCCATAGTGCCGCTGCAGCCTCCTAGAGGCTGCATTGTGGGAAAATGGAGCGCTCACAGTGGAAAGGTCAGCTGAGGCCACGAGGAGACATTCAGGGGACTCAGCGCAGCATTATCTACCAACTGCTATGGAGGTATTTCAAGTTTTAGTCATCAGTTTGGCTGTACTGGTGCACACCAATTGAGTGTCATTATAATGCCAAATCCATCTTGGCTTTGAACTTCTTGCTAGTTTCTATTTTTTTCTGGCACATTCTGATATATCCCCACTACTCTGATTGGGCTCTCAGATAGGAGAGGGGGATGTTTTGCAACTGGCTGAGCAGTCTCAGTGCTTAGTAACAGGGCTTCCATTTTTCTGCTAAGCAGCAGTCCCATTGGCTCTGGGATTTTGCTGGCAGGCATCTCCTGGAACCAGTGTTCTGCAGGGCTTGTTGGGGAAGTGGTGCTCTCAGCTAAAGGGGTCCAGTGTTTCAGAAGCCGTGGCTGCTCCACCTCAGTGCTGCATTCCCTGGTTAGGCCTGGGACTTTGGTGTTCACCTGGCTTTTTAATTTACTGGTGAACAACACTCAATGTTCCTCATCCCTGGGCACCTCCTCACCTCTAAGACAATCAGAAGGCCCGTGTAACTGCTGCCTAAGACTGCCCCTCAGATTTCTGGCTTTTTATTCCAGTGACTGAAAGCTTTTTTCCAGGCCTGAGATGCTCATTTGTGATTTCAATAATAGAATTTAGACTCTTAGTGTTTCTCCATTGCCCAGGGCTGTCTGTGTCTATTAATGATGGCTCCAGTGAAATCCATGGCTTTTACTGCACCTTATCTTTCTGCTTCCAGCATCATATTTTCCTGCTTCCTGAGAGACATGGAATCATCAGTGGTGTTCATCACCAGGCCCTGGGGGCAAGACCACACAGGTCCCAGAATCCCTGCAGTTTTTCTTAATTAGGTGACATCTGGTGCCGTCCCCAGTGCACAGGTCCACCCTGGTCAGTCAGCCTGTTGCCATGCTGTGAGCCTGGGCTGTGCCCGGCCTTGTAGGCTTCTTGCAGTCACTGGTTCTGTGAGCCTTGGAGGCTCTTCCACGGGGGTGATTCTGACCCCTGGGAGTGAGAAGGAGAGGGCCTTTCTGCAGTTCAGCCAAGAATAAAGGAGACTCAGGGCTGAGCTCCCTCCTTCACTTCTTTTTTGTTTCCTTGAGGTTGTTCTTGGCCCTCACAGTACCTCTGTCTAGGCTTGGAGCTCTGGAAGTAGACACAACCCGGGTCTTCTGCCCCAAGGCCTCCTCTGTTAGCCAGAAGGATCCTGGCTGTGCAGTGGAAATGACCTCGTGCAAAGACATTATCATATGCCCTTCCAGGGGCAATAATGCCAGTGTCCCCTGATAAAGCAGTCACTGTGGGTATCTGTCCCAGTCACTCCACACAGCCATACCCTTCCTCCCTGGGACCAGCCTCATGGAGACCTCTGACAATGACAGTAAAAACTCAGCCCAGCCTTTCTCTTCTGGCCCAAATCGTTGCTCATTTGAGAACCGTCTCTGCCTTCTCACTTTGTTCTCCTTCCTGGAATATCTTTCTGCATCTCTTACCCTGCCCCACACTGCACAGAACCTGTGCCCTTTCAGACCCTGAGCTGAGTCCCCAGAAGGACAAAGATCAAAAACCCCAGGGTGTTCTCTTCCCCTATTTCCTACCACCACATCTCCAGGCTTCTGCCCCTCTCATGATACTTTTGGTTTTCTTTACAAAGTGCTTGCTCATGACTAGGATTCCTCCTAGAAGCCTGGCAATCAGTCCACACACAGATGTCTGCTCACCCCTTCTGTCTCCCTGGGGACCAGCCATTGGTGCTTCCACCCTCCCTCTGGAGAGAGCCAGGGATGCTCAGCAAAGGAGGAGGCTGACTCATCAAGCGGTGAGAGTTCTCCTCTGAAAGTGGTGAAGAAGGGGCCGCAGGGGCTCTTGCAAATGTGGAGGATCCGCTGATGCATTTCATGGGGAGGTTATCTCATCCTGGAAGCCCTTGCTCAGCATCCACTGATGGAGAGCTCATTACCTCCAAAGGCAGCTCTGACTGGCTTTCCACTAACAATCCCATAGCTGGAGAATTTTGCTAGTGCACATTTCAGCTCCTTCCTCTCCAAGCATCACTGTCTCAGTACCTTCTGTCTCACACCAGACCTCCTGACACTTCCCACTTCACCCCAGGCAGCACCTCACCCTGGGGCTCAGCCTGGACAACCGCCTACCTCAGCCACTGCACTTTCTTCCCCTAGAATTGAGGCCACAACAGTAGACACCCATGCTCTGTCCCGTTCCCCACCAGCAGAGCTGCTCAACAGGATGCAATAACTGGAGGAATGAGGGTGGTGGAAGTGAGGGTCTTGGCAGGCAAGAGCAACTGAACTTCGGCTCAAAGCAAGAGCAAAGGAAACACTGAGCAGGCAGCTACTAATGCTTCTCCCGGGAAGAGCCTGCAGTGCCCCCTGCTGGCTGGAGGAGAGTTTGTATGCGTGTCCAATTCACTCCCCTTGCTTCCTGGGCTGAGCCCTGATGACCATTCAGGTTAGAGAATCACATGAGCAGATAGGTCATCTTGTCCAGTGGTTTCAAAATGTGTAAAATTATAGATAGAGTTGCTGGGGGCGATTTTGCATTTTGTCCATTTGAGAAAGGCCTCTGAGCTGAGGGGACACATGGGGGCTGAAATCCAGCCTCTATCCTGCTAACTAAGCTGTGTACCCCACTATGGGACTGGGTCAGGCCAGAGGAAGGGATGTCTTTTTGTTCTTCATTCACCTAGACAGTGTCCTTTTGTAATTTGCACAAAGGTGCCATACATACCAGCAGCAGCACTGACACAGAATGCTTCCTTCTAAGAGGGCGATCTTAAAGAACCAAGCTTCTTTGGCTAAAAGGGAGCTTGAAAACTGCCCAAAAGATGGGGAAACTGGGGGCCATGAAGGGGAGGGATTACTCAAAGTCATGCAGTTAATACCAGGACAGAGCTTAGAAGCCAGATCCACTCTCTCCCATAGCAGTGTTGTTTACACCACATTGAGCTAGTTTTCATCCTAAGTCACTATTGAGAAATCCTGGCTTCTCTGACCCTCCCCCTCTCAGACCCATTAACTTCCCCCCTGAAATCCAGCTACTCTGCACAGTCCTACTCTCCTACTCAGGATCATGGCACAGAATTTGCCCCAAAGGAGGGATGTTGAGAATGCCAGACCCGTCTGCATAATTTCCTACAAGTACATCACTCATAGGGATGAGGGCAGACAGGCAGAAGGACAGAACAGTGAGAAACTAGAGGGATCTACCAGAGGAGGTGTCGAAGTATGTCAGGGAGCCTGGAGCAATGTGGATCAGTAAAGCCGGTGGTTCAGCTACTGTGCAGATGGGGCCTGCTTTGCAGGTGCAGTCCGCCGGGGTGTCTGTGCCACACCATAAGGCACATGGGCGGCCACAGTGCCCATCTCCTGAGCCCCAGCCACATGGAACATCTGGTCATCAAAGAAGATGTGTGGGCGGATCTTCTCAAGGAGAGGGCCCTTGGGCGCTCCAGCAAGGAACAAGGCTTCATCTGTCTCCAGGCCCCAGCTGCGCAGGGTCTTGAGAGCCCGGGCCCCGGAACTGGCTGCACTGCGTGCTGTCACCAAGTAGGTACGAATTGGGCACTCCAGCCGCAGGCCTTTGGAGTAGAACTTCTTCTGCAACCTACCCAGTGCCTCCAGAAAGCCCTTTAAGGGGCCCTATGAGAAGGCAAGGGGAACATTGTTAGCTCTACCACCTCCTAAATATTTGCCCCCTGCTCTCCCTAAAGCACTAGTGTCTTGTTTGGTGTGGAAAACTTCAGGATCCCTAAATCTTTCAGTTAGCTCTGCTTATGCCTGCTTAGGCTACTGTGTGCACCAGCGCGGCTCTAGTCAGGGGATCTGTGTTATTGTATATTGGTGCTGGGTCAGGATAACTATCAGGGCAACTGTTGATATGTATCATCCATCCATATGCCCATCAAGGTATACAGATGTCTGTCCTGAAGGTCTGTAACTGTGGCCTTCGATGCCCATCAACAGGGGGGATATTAAAACCATTTAGTAACTATGGCATGGGCGCCCTCCAATCAGAATGGACTCCAGCTATAAACAGCTGGAGAAGATGGACCAATGTGTAAGTGTTGAGTATCAACCGTGCCCATCTGGCACCCAGGTGGCTCAGGGTGTCATCCTCAAGCACTCTAGGGTCAAGGACAATTTATTCTCTACAGTGCCCAGAACAATGAAGCTTCCTGAGGATGTGAGAATAAAAAAACAGACAACGATGAAGAAAACTGCTTATTTCCAAAGCAGCTAGAAATAAACAAAAGTGGGCTCCTCGTCTTGGAGACCTCTCGCTTGCTAGGTAAACTGGAATAAGCAGTGGTCTCCTGGGCCTCTGCTTACCACTTAGTAGGAAAACTCTCCTGCCCTGGATTCCCAAGGATTTCAGAGGCAACTCGCAAGAACAGACATGAACTGAATATTTAGGAGCCACAGCGGAAGCCTGCTGAGCTCTTGGAGAGGGGCTCTGAGATTATTGAGCTCCCGGGTTTTTGTTAAAAGCTCAAATAAGAGCTCCCAGCAGAGCTGGAGAATCCCAACAGCCCCAACTCCAGGGAATTTCCACCAAGCTCTAGGGTATATTCTGTTCTGAGAGACACTGAGCAGTTTGAGGGTGAGTGAGGGTCCCTGTGCCCCCAGCCAAGGGATGGATGGCAGGAGATGTCCCAAAGCAAATGGTCTGCCCCAGATGTCACACCCAGCTGGATCTCCCTACCCCAATGAGGCGCCCCAGTCCAGCAATTCCTTTCCTCCTGTTTCCAGTGAGGGAAACAGGCTTCTTAAGAGGGTGGGCATGGTCTCAGAGGGGCGGGGGATCTCAGGG
This sequence comes from Homo sapiens, assembly GCF_000001405.40. Taxonomy (NCBI): domain Eukaryota; kingdom Metazoa; phylum Chordata; class Mammalia; order Primates; family Hominidae; genus Homo; species Homo sapiens. The sequence continues at coordinate 39,660,658 of NC_000001.11, forward strand.
AGGAAGTGAGGGTTCCAGAGAGAGAATGGGAGCTTCAGAGAGACAGGATGAGGCCTTCAGAGCAGGGCAGGGACTTCAGAGAAGAGGTGGGGACATAGAGAATGGGGACGTCAGGGAGGGAAAGGAGACCTCAGAAATGGGGATTTGAGCTGCAGAGGGGGGATGGGCTTAGAGAGAGGCTTAGATAGAGAATGGAGGCTTCAAAGGAGGGTTGGGACTTCAGTGAGGGGATGTGGGCTCAACAAAGCAGGTGGAAGCTCATTGATGGGGGGTCAGTGGTCAAGTGAGAGGGTCGAGGGGACCAGGCTGGAATCTGGGCTGAGCCTGGGGTTTGTTTGCTTCCAGGCTGGGAGTGCAGGCCAAGGGCAGGTCTGGGGAGCTGCCTTGTTCCTCTCAGGGGTTCTGGGTCTATGGGGAGCACCTGAGCCAGAGGTTTGTTCTCGTGGGCCTTCTCATGCTCGAAGAATCGGTCCAGCCCGTGGGCCTTGACGATGCGCTCCGACTCGTCCGAGAAGAGCACGGCGTCCCCATCGAAGGCCACGCGCAGCTGACTCTGGGACACAACCACATCCCTGCTGGGGCTGAAGATGGTGGCAGCTGCGATCCCTAGGCAGAGAGAGGCAAGCATTGTCTGCCTTCAGGCTGGGCAGTAGGGCTAGAGTGGGCTATCTTAGGCTATCCTTGCCCCACCTGCCTCATACAGGACTCAGGGCAAGGCTGATGAAAACTAATATTTAAAACTTGTAAAAACTGGTAGTGCATGGATCCTGGCCAAGAAGAGGGCAGTAGCAGTGGCTCTGAAGGAGATCTCTAGGGCCCTTGCCTTGCCAGGTTACCCTGTTGGTTATTGCTTTGTGGAAAAGTCTGGGAGGAGTCCCAGGGGGCAGGAGGGCACTCAGGACTCAGGGCAGGAAATATTTACCAACCAGGGTGAAGGAAATTTCAATACTTTAATACCTAGTAAGATCATGCTGCTGTGGACCAGCCAAACATGAGTCCCATCGGCCACTGCCTTCGTGCCAGGGGTGCCTCACAGCCCCTGATGTAGACCGACAGTGGGGCTGGGAAGGAGCCCCAACTCTGGGTTGGCCTCAGTCACTCCCTCACCATTGGTTCTAGCAAGTCACTCACCTTCTCTGGACCACTGTAAAATTAAGGGCCTCTCAGCTCTGGGGCTGAGACCACAGGCTGCAATCGGGTGAGGTGAGTACGTGCACCCTCAGTCTACAGCCACAATGACACCCAGGTATGCCCTGCTGGCGGCTGGCTGTTCAGGGTTCCAAAAAACAACCTAAGTGGCCCTGGGAGACAGCACAAGTGATGGCTAGTTGTGTGCACAGACTGCAACCCTGGGCTCCTCCAGGGGTCCAAGGATGCCTCTCAGGGGTTCAGGCTCCAGGCTAGAGCTGCACTAGATGGCAGAGAGCCAGTGCTGGGAGGCTGGAGACCTGGGCAACTGGCCGAGCTCATTCCCTAGTCTCCATCTCTTCAAAGACCACTTCAGCCCAACTCTTTGAAAACTGAGGATCACAGAGGCTGGGCTTAGGTGAGCTTTGGGAGGAGTGAGCAGTGCTACCTGCACACAACTTCACTAGCCTGAGGATACTACAAGCAGGGCCAGTGCCAGGCATCAAGCCAGGTACCCTCTCAGCTCTGCCAGCACTGGAATCAAGATGACCCAGAACCACCCCTACCCTCAACAGGGCCTCCCCGTGGACCATTCTCCTGCTCCCTAGCCTGAGGTCAAGTTACAAACACACAGAGGCACACCTACATGCCAGTGCCAAGGCCCCAACCAGAGGGTGTGACATCTGTCTAGGGAAATGGCTCCTGGTTCCTGGTTAAAGAAAGCCTCTAGGAGCTCCCAAGCAGCTCAGGAGAGTGAGTTATCAGGGGGAGAGGGGCCAGGCTTCCAGGCAGGAGACAACATGAAAGAGGAAGAGAAAAGTGAATATATTGTTGGTTGATAAAGAAACTTGCCACTAGTGTTCAGCCTAAGGAACCCTCTCAGGTACCTGGCCAGTCCTTGCTCCTCTATGGGCCTGTTTATCTCATGTGCAATAGGATACGCACCTCGTTGGGAGGACTGAGACTATGGATACCACCCAAAACTGCCCCTCGAAAGACACACATAGAGGGACATTCTCTTTGTCAGTACTTGCATCTGGGTCTCCTAAACTCCCCTAAGCACTGGCCAGCCCAGCTGCTGGAGATGCTGGCCATTCCCCAGACCCCACCACTCAGGCTTTCAGGCTGGACTAGATATGAATCCTCCTTCCCATTGGCCCAGGGCAGGGCAGAGGCTGCCTATGGTCCTACAGGAATCAGAACTCCTTCTGACTTGGAGGAATCATAGAAGAAAGTAGCTTTCTGGGCTGTAGAGAGGGTTTCCATGGAAACAGAAGGCTGGGTGATGCTGAGAAGTAAAAGCATCCATGACACAGTAGGGCCAGATGTAGGAAGATGGAATGGGTAGGGCCTTGGTTTCAGAATTTATAGGACAGATTATAAGAATTAAGGAAAGTATTGCTCAGCCTTGCCTTCTAGTTACCATGGCAACTCCCAGCACCTGCTCGGAACTTCAGGACCAGGCCTCCCACCTCAGGGACCCCTTTGCTGCACTCCCCATATTCTTCCTCTTCACTTAGACTTACCCTCATCAATGGCTTCTCGCACTTTTTCCGCATCGGCTGACAAGTAGAGGTTGGTGTGATAGGCCTTGAGGTAGCAGATCGGGCTGTTCCCACCTGTCATGCAGAACCTCTCGATGAACAGGTCTGGGAAGGAGGTAAAGGACCCAGGTGAGGCCAGGGTCAACCCTGGGCTTCAGGGCAGTCTCTCTGTGCCCAGTGCACACCATCCTAGTTCTGGGTGTGGTACGGCAGCACAGCGTGTCTCAGTGTAATTTTAGGCCAGTGTTCCCCTCTGAGCCCCTCCATCCTTCATGAAATGAGGACGATCACATCTCTAGAGCAATTGCCCAGCTCACAGGGACATCCTCTTGTCAAGGAATCACAGTGCTACATGCCTGTGTGACCCCGCCTCCTGGCCATAGCTGCCATAGCTGATTGGATAAGAGCAGACATCTGGCCCAAGCTGGGCCAATCTGATTACCTAGGCTGCCAATCCGCTGGTCCCCATTACTGCAAAAGTTGTAAAGTATTTGTTGGTTGATAAACGGCTGCTGCTCTGAGCCCATTAAGTTACCCGTCACTCTCGCAGCCCCTTACCCAGGACCTCTGTCCTCTCCAGAGTCCACAACACAAGGCGGTAATGCCTTGTACGGCAGGGGTCCTTCAGGGCCCTGCTTCAGCACTATAGGGAGAGTCTGTCCTGATTACGCAGTGTGTATGTCACACAGGTGGTTAAATATTTTTACGATCAACCCTGCTCCCAAGAATTTGAAATTAGGATTTAAAAATGCCAACTAGACTCTCTTGGTTGCTAAAAACCAGGCCTGGTAAACCTATAAATATAGGTGTATTCTTTTTCTTTCTTTCTTTTTTTTCGTTTTGAGACAGAGTCTTGCTCTGTCGCCCAGGCTGGAGTGCAGTGGCGTGATCTCGGCTCACTGCAAGCTCCGCCTCCCGGGTTCACGTCATTCTCCTGCCTCAGCCTCCCGAGTAGCTGGGACCACAGGCCCCACCACCATGCCCGGCTAAATTTTTTTGTATTTTTAGTAGAGACGCCGTTTCACGGTGTTAGCAATCCAATCTCCTGACCTCGTGATCCCCCGCCTCGGCCTCCCAAAGTGCTGGGATCACAGGTGTGAGCCACCGTGCCTGGCCAGGTGTATTATTTTTCTGTCTCTCTCTCCCCAGAGTGGATTTCTCCTCCTCTCCTCTCCTCTCCTCTCCTTTCCATCTCACTCTGTCACCAGGCTGGAGTGCAGTGGGGTGATCTCGGCTCATTGCAACCTCTGCCTCCCGGGTTCAAGTGATTCTCATACCTCAGCCTCCCGAATAGCTGGGATTACAGGTGTGCGCCACCACACCAGGCTAATTTTTGTATTTTTAGTAGAGACAGGGTTTTACCATGTTAGGCTGGTTTTGAACTCCGGACCTCAAGTGTTCCACCCGCCCTGGCCTCCCAAAGTGCTGGGATTACAGGAGTGAGCCACCGCACCTGGCCTGCTTTTCTTGAATACGGTTTTTATTTAGGAAAAGCAGAGAAATCCAATTTCAGGGGAGAGAGGAAAAAAAAAAAGAGCAAACTTGCTAGAGAAGCACAAATAAAGGTTCATGTGGCCTGAAGAAAAGAAGAGCCGGGAGAGATTTCTAGTACTTGGATTCAGGTCTTTGTAGGCCCAATTTTATTTCCTGCCCTCTGAAAGACACCCCTGTAACCTAATAAAAAATTCTCCTGGGCTTAAGCTAGCTCTGGAGGGGCTATTATTTTTAACCTTGAGTTTAGAATAAGACACAAAGCCCTTTCACTCTGACAGCTGCACCTGATTCTCCCAGCAGCCTTGTGAGGCCTGTTAGCCCCATCACAGTTAGAGAAACTGAGGCAGGGAGGCAGTAACTGTCTCACCTAATCACACGGAGAGTGGGGTGTGCTGGAGCTGGCTTGGACTGGCTTGCAAGAGCCCACAGTTAAACATTCAGAAATTTTGTGAGCCATTTGTGTTGTTCAACCACTGACAGCTTGAAACCAGTCCTGGTGGAAATATTTTACACCTGAAAACTAGCAACACTACAAGTCAGGGTTTTGTTTGTTTGTTTAAAGAGCGAATTTACCAGCACACACTGGACTTGGGGTTCTGGTCAGTACAACTCCATCCTGCAGAGGTGTGGCCCCATCCCTGGGGGGTCTGGTAGGGGTGTCCCAGGGCAAACCCCCCATCCTCATGCTCATGCTCACCATAGTGGTTGATACTGTTGATGAGGCGGACACCCACTTGAGCATGGTTGTTAGTCATGAGGACGATGTCGAAGACGTCCTCACTATCAGGGTACAGCTCCCGCAGCCGCCTGTTCACGGCCTCCAGAGCCTGGAAAGGAGAGGGCACCCCCCAGCTTAGACCCCCAAGGATTGATACCTGAAGTTGGTGGCCAAGGATTCAGTGAGGGGAGGTGAGGAGCCATGCTTGGGATGAGATAAGTGCACATGAACTACCTTCTCCTAATGCAAGTTGCTTACCACTCAGGGGTACCTCGCTAGAGAGAGTCGGGGCTGAAATCCAGCCCGCATTCCACTCACCAAGCTGGTTACCAGGCGTGGGGCTGCATTTGTCCAGAGGGTGGATGAATTTTCTTCCCAAAAGACTCTGTCACCTAGCCAAGCTGTGTACCTGTGTGGTTACATCTGCCCAGAGGGGCCCTTTCACCTTACTCAAATACTCATGGGAGTGCTTTTTTCTAATCCCCACGAAGGCGCTATATGAGCTAGTGGTGGAACTGCTCCCTCACCTTCACAAAAGGGAAGGCTGGCCCGGGACTGAAGGGTTCGTTCTCATGTTCCAGCTGGTAGCGCACGTACTCCTCCACGCCCTGCTCCGTGTAGATCTGCTGCTCCTCGTCCATGCGAAACAAGGCTCGGGAGGACACAGCGATGGTGACTGCATTCTGAGGCTTGGGCTGCAGAGGTATGGGAGAAGGGGTTGTCACTCAGATGACTGCCCCTGAGGCAGGCTCACATGTGTGAGTCTCCCTGGGTAGTGAGGACATGGAGAAGACCCAGACCCAGTCTCTACCTAAAGAGGCCCAGCCTTGAGCAGATGTGGACTTAGGTCAGGACCCCATCTATGACGGACCCAGATGGGGGTTGAGAGAGGTGCTGGCTCCCTTGCTGGAAGCACAATCTGATGGAGGGAGGGCCATGCCCTTGGGAGTTTGCAATCTAGCCAGGCATCTGGACACAAGAAAAAAATGAAGCCAATGTATGTGGCCAACGTGTGACTGATGCTGGAGATGATCTCAGTTGGTTTCCATTGTAAAATAAGAGCTGCATGCCCTTAGGAAGAAATGATGCCCATAAATATGACAATTTATATAAAAAATGTATCTGCAACCCAGATCTGTCTCCTGAGCTCCAGATTCATACATCCATCTAACTGCCCCAGTTGACTAACAGCCTCTCAAAGTTAACATTCCCAAGGCTGAATTCCCATCACCTTCTCCCCTCCCAAACCTGATCCCTTCTCCCTGTAACTCATAGCAAGGCTTAGAACCACTATCCACTCATTACTGAAGCAGAAGCTGGGAAGTCAGCCTCAACTCCCTTCCTCATCAATCGATTACCGAAATGAGTCAACTCTACTAGAATCCACCCACTTCTTTCGTTCAGGCCATCATCATCTGTCACATTCTCTAATCTGTCATTCATGCTGCTGTCAGGGGATTTTTCTAAAGTTCAGATCTGACCACAGCCCCCCTCTTTAGTGGTGCACACTATTCTCAGAATATGGCTGGCAGCCTCTAGTGTGGAAATAGAAAGCCCTTCACAACAGACCCCTACTTCTCTTTCCATTCCCCTCTTCCAATCCCCTAGCTTTGCCCCACCTGGGCTTTCTCACATCAGGTCATACTTTCCCCCTCTTTTTTTTTTTTTTTTTTTTCTGAGATGGAGTTTCACTCTTGTTGCCCAGGCTGGAGTGCAGTGGTGTGATCTCAGCTCACTGCAACCTCCACCTCTCAGGTTCGAGCAATTGTCCTGCCTCAGCCTCCCAAGTAGCTGGGACTATAGGTACCCGCCACCCCAGACAGCAGCTGGACCTTTATAGTCCCTAGGGAGGATCAGAATATGAGTGCCCAAGGGATTTACAGATACCCAGAGAATCCCACCACATCTCTGTGTCCTGAGCAGTCCTGGGGTCCTGATTCCCACTTTACAAATTAAAAATGAGGGGCTCAAATTGAGGTCAAGGCTCATAAATGCACCTTGCATTCTTGCCTCTCCTGATCATCCGTGGGTCATGTACTCAACCCCATTTCTTCTTCCTGGGGTCAGTCCTGGGCTCCAATCAGTTGACAACATTGAGTGGTTACCATCTGAGAGACACCGTGGTGGACATGGCAGGAAACAACACAAGTGTGATCCCTGTCCCCATGGAGCTCATGATCCAACCCCAAGACAGAGGCCAATGCCATCTTTTAAAAGAGCAATGTCCAATGGAACTTTCTATGATAATGGAAATATTCCATAATCTGTGCTCTCCCTGTGGCTGTGGAACAATTTGAAATGTGACTAATGAGACTGAGGAGCTGAATTTTAGATTTTACTTCATTTAAATGAACTTAAACAGCTATACGTGGCTAGTGGTAAATGCAGCTTTAGAACCTTATAATAGGAGTGGAAGACAAAAGAGTTCCCCAAGGTCATGTGGTAGACCTCAGTTTGCATTTGACTTTTAACCCCAACCAAGATGGTGTATGTGGCCAGCAAGGTCTGCATAAGGCAGTGGCAGGACAGGTGCTTCTTCTTGGAGGTTCAACCCAAATACCTTTCTCAGTTGCTGACTACCACCATGTGTGTGTCCTAAGGGTGGGGTTGGTGGTGGAGTGGGGAGACCCACTCTCATAAACCCTGGAAGCCTGGAGGCCTTTGGAACAGGAGCTGAGCTTGCTCCACCCACTGGGCTTACTGCCCCAGGGACAGGGCCATCACCCCTCTAAGGACAGAGAGTCAGCTGCCCTCCCAGCCCCATTAGGCAGGTTCCCAAGCCTGCCACTCCAACCCTGGCAGCCAGCTAAGGTCTCGCTCCTCACTTTCTGTCCCACAGTCCCTGCCAGACTGCCAAGTCCTGGGCTCCCTCTGGCTGAGCTACCCAGACAGACCCCAATCCATCCCGCCCCTGGTTGTTGCAAGAAAAACGTCCTGGTTGCATTGGCCCCAAGAGTCCTCTGCTTCTCTCTTTTCCAGATGGGGAAACAGGCCCAGAAAGGGGCCTGTTACTCTAGGTCAAGGCAGAGCAAGATGACATCTCAAGTCTCCGGCCTCTAGCCTGGCCTCTATCCACACTGCAGTCCCCTTGCTATTCCTCTCCTCAACAGTTCCCAGAAGATTCTATCCCTTGCTACTTCCGCCTTCCCTGGAAACATCTCCCCCAGCCTTCACTTTCCAGATTTGGGAGAAATGATCAGGGCGTGCCCACAAACTGAGGTTTCTAACGGCAGGTCTCTGTTTCCCAGCAGAATGGGGGTCCCAAGGGCAGGACTGTGCATCCCCACTTAGACTGCTGTGACACAGTATGAGTGAGGTGGAGTCTAAGATCCCAGAGGCCATGGCTGTGTAAGAAATATGGATCCCAGCTGGGACTGATGAATGACCTGTCCAGGCTCCAGGTGGAGCTGAAGGAGCAGGTGAAATGGGCTGGCCAGAGATAGGGACAAGTTGTGGACATAGAGACCCTCCTGGGCCTGGCCGCAGAGGTGGCCATGTGTTGGCAGGGGCATCTAGGAACAGTTCCTCCAGAGAGCAGAAAGAAGCCCTGATCTCAGACTGGGAATTGGGTCAGAGTGACTCAAGGGCTCACTCTGGGAGCTCTGAGCTCCAGGAAACCAGGGTGCTGGCAGCTCTCTCTGCCTTTCAGGGTCAGGCTGATGGCTCCGGCTAGGGGATGGGAATGGAAGAATAACAGAGTGCAGCCCACCCCCACCTGGACTTCCTGAGGAGCTCCCATTTAGGCTAACGTAATTCTGCCTATTGGGTCCAAGATAGAAACATAGGCAAAAAGCTGTTATTCCCAGTAGGACTTAGAGAGGGAAGGGCTGCTGAAAGAGAGAGGGACAGGAGAGTTTTGGATTGAAGAAGTGTTCTGACCCCATGAGGTGAGGGCCTCCAACAGGCCTTCAGGCGTTAAATATTTTACTCAGGCCCCTGGGAATGAGAATTAGCCCAGGCCAGGCCATGATGGGGCCCATGAGGCCTAGAGCCCCCAAAATAGCCTGTGGGAAGAGGGGCTTCTGCAGGAAGGAATAGGAGCTGGGAAGCCTCCAGGCTTCTTGCCTCCCAGAGAACCATGAGAGTCAGGGGCTGATCCAGGGGTCATGACTGACAACTGGGCCTGAGCTCTCCGGTTCCTTGGTGCCTGGGGAGGAAATGGATTTTGAGCACTGATGCTTTCACTGCCCCAGTCCCCAGTCTCCATCCCTTCTTCTGCATCACTCAGGCCACAGCATTGACATTCATCCAGCTTCCTCTTCAGAGAGGCACCAGCCTTCTCACTGGTGGGTTTGCTGCCGGACTCACCCTTTCCAATCCATCCCAGAGTGATCTTTCTAAAATAAAAATGGGACCCAGTTAATCCCCTGATGAAAAATCCTGTAATAGCTCCATAATGGTATTCATATGTTTGTTTAAATGTAGGTTGACCTTTTATTTAAATGAATTCAAATAAACTTTGAATTCAATATGTAAGCCAGATATTACCATATATCTCATACCATATGGTACCAGATATAACATATATAATTGGTGTTTATTTATTTTACAGATTCAAATGCATTACATTTATTTATTTATTTATTATAAAGTCAACCAATGAAAACAACACAGTTGTTTGCATGACAACAAATTTGAAACTAGCGGCTAGAATGCCAGTGCAGACTTAAGCTTCAGCATCCGGCCAAGTTGTTGCTGTGTTTGTATTTGTACAGTATTGAGAAAGTCCTGATTCAGACCAATAAGTGGTTGGAAATGCTAAAAGGTTTTTTGTTTTGGTTTGTTTTAAACTAAAGGCCTTACAATCTCAAGACGCTCTTTGATGGAACAGATCACAGGGGAAGCCTTATTCTGAGCTTTGCTTTAAAAAAATCTGCAGCACAAGCTAGTGGCCTTCAAGCTGCTAAAATGTCCACCTAATACATTAGAGTGAGTTGGGTTTTATTACACATTTTTAATTGTTTAAAACATAGTCCGAAGAAGAAAGAAAATAAATTGGATTCACATGTGTGCAGACTCCCTGAAACATGGGGCTTGGGGAAGCTAGTTTGGAAATCCCTGACCCCCTTGAGTAAGGTCCAGACTCCTTAACATGATCCCCAAGGCCCTCTGTGGGCTCTTCCACATCCCTCCAGCTCTTCTTCCAACAATCCTGCATTCTTCATTCAGTACTTATTCAGGAACACAGTCCTGAGCTTCAGAGACATCTGCATGACTTTTGCCTGTCCTGTTTCCCTCTCCCTGGGAAACTCCACCTACTCAGGCTTTAAGATCAGGATACGTGCCACTTCTACAAAGCTTTCCCCAGTGTGATGTCACTACTCTACTCCCCCCCCAACTCCCCTAGGCTCTCATCTCTGGAGCCTCCATCATTGTGCAGTGAGCTCCTGAGGCAGGGACTCAGGTTATTTAATTCTTCAATCCCCACTCTTGAGCAGAGCTTGGAGGTGCTAATTGAATGATTGCTGATAGGGTGGACCTGTTGGGGAAGGGTTCTTGGAGGGAAGCAGCAAATTGCTTTAAGATCAAGCTGGAGCTCTTTGGAGGACCGCTGTGGGCCAACCTCTATTCTCGGTTTTCTCCTCAAGCTCTGAGATCTGGGAAGTTGGAGACAGCAAGGTCCAGGGGCAGACCAGGGCATCATCAACTTGTTTGATGGCAGAGAGGAGAGAGCTCCTCTGTGAGGTCCCAGACGGTTGACACCACCACAGGGTCGTGGGGATGTTAATGCCCACTGCAAGGGGAGCAGAACCCGAGCTGGGGGGCAGAGTCCAGCGCTGGGAGCCTGCGGCCAGGGGCGCCGATCGCCCCCCAGCGCAGAGTGTGGATCCCAGTGCCTGGAGAGAGCAGCTCCCTTTCCTTAGGACGCGGGGAGCGCACTGCCCCCAGCCCAGGGCCCAGGACCCAGAGCCAGACCCCAAACGCAGAGTCTCAGGTCCGGAGCCCGATGCCCAGATGGCGGAGACCGGAGCGCACAGCCAGGAACCGGGTTCCCAAAGTCTGGTTACCCGCGCCTGGGGCGCTTCTGGAAGCGCTGCGGACCAGCTTCGCCAACAAGTGCAATCCGCGCTCCCCGGCGGCCCGAGTGGGGAGGGGCTGGGGCTGCGGGCCTCTAGCTGGGCCCTGATGACAGCATGGGGGAGGGGGAGCCTGGCGTGGAACCCGAGTCCCGGTAAAAAAATACACCAGAGCAGAGCTCCCAAAATAAACCCGAGCCCGCGCCAGCTGCAGGGCGCATTCTGGGGCTGAGGAGCTGCGTCCCCTCCCAGAGGGGCGCCACGGGTCCCTTCCCAAGAGACTTATGACCCCTCCTCCGGGGTAACCCTTCCCCCGTCCCCCGCATACCCGTGCATTGCTTTTACCGATTTGGGTTTCTTCTTGGGCGCGAGGTTGTCGTAGAAAATCTTGGCTTCCTCCCAGACCGGGGCCGCAGCGGTCTCCGCTCCTGGCCCGGGCTCGCGGGGCTCCTGGGGCTCCCGGGGCTGCCCAGGTTCCATGCTCCGGCTCTGACCCGGCCCGGCCAGAGCAGGCGGCGGCGTAGACGCGGAGGTGGCTGGGGCTGGGCTGCAGGAGGGAGGCGAGTCCCGGCGAGGGAAGGGGGCGGGCAGCGGCGAGGAGGCTGTGCGTGTGAGCTGGGCTCCCCGCCCGCCGGGCGGGGGGAGGTCACACTGGCCCTCTCGGTCGCCCGTGTGTCGCTGCCGCTGCTGCTGCTACTGCTGTACGGTATGAGGGATAGCTGGGCTCTCCTTCCCCGACCGACCCACGCCAGCAGCCGGTTGGGTGGTGAGGGGGGCTCTCTGGCTCTCTGGGTTTGTGGGCTGCAGCGGATTGGGGATTGCGAAAATGATGTTCTTCGCAGGCGCTGCAGGGCGCGGAGACAGGAGAGGCCTGACAACTTTTTTTTTCCCCCAGGATAGTGATCCCCAAAGGACAAAATGAAAAGCTAGCCGCTCCCCTCCCAAAAGCTAGCTGCCCATCTTTCCTTTAGGAGCTAGGACCCTGGGATCCTGACGATGTCCCCTTCCCTCCGAGGCCAGTCCATCCGGCAGACGGGCAGGAGGTGATGCATGGATGGCTCCTCTCACTAGCAGAAGCCTGCTCCCAGCGGGAGCTCAGTGAAGGGCCCAACCCGGCAGCTCCTCCACACCACCTAGGAGGGGCCCTTGAAGTCCATGTTGAGACCAGGCTCGGGTGGTCTCAGGTCGAGACCTTGGCCTGGGGTGGGGACCCAGGCCAGAGAGACTCCCAGGGACTCTGAACCCGAATTCTTGCTGGCCCTTTGGTGGTCAGCAGAGGGCGCGCATTCCTAGGCCCCCACCTGCCCAGCTTGGGGTGATTTGTTATAGGCCATGAAGGGGCTGGATAGAGGGAGGGCAGAAGAGGGGCCTCGGAACTACCATCCTGGAATTCCAGGGTGTTGTCCCTCTTGATGCAGAGCTCTGTACTAGTCTCAGGGTGCAGACACAAATGTCACCCATCCCAAGGTACAGGCCAGGAAGCAGACAGCCTCTCTCAGAGGTGTGCATGGGTGGGTGGGAGAAGCAGGAGAAAACACTGGCTTAGCTAGGAGGGCCTCTGACTGGGGAGGTGAGGGGGCTACAGAATGGAGTGATCCCCTCAGCCTCCACCAGGTCCTGGGAGGAATAAACCAACCCTTGTGTGGGAGGAAGGGAAAAATCATAATAAAATGTTAGGATTGGGGGAAGTGTGTTTAGACTTACTTCTAGAAGATTGTTTCCAGAGATGGCCCAAAAACCTCTTCCATCCTGCCTGTCCTTTGGAAATGTGACTTTGACATTCCTCCCATTCAGAGGTGGAGTCCAGTCTGAGCTGGCCCTGTGACTTGCTTTGACCAATTGAATGGAGTAGAAGTGGTGCTCTGTGGTTTCCAAGCTTACGTCTTAAGAGGCCTTGCAGATTCCATTTTTGCCCTCTTGGGAGCCAGCTACTATGTAAATAAGTCTGGACTATCCTGCTGGAAAGGCCACGTAGTGAGACAGATAGGACCTGGAGGATAAGAAGCTAGCGACAGCCCAGGTGACTATAGGCACAATTGACAGACATGTGAATGAGGCCATCCTGGCTGTCCCAGCCCCAGCTCAGCTCCCAGTGGAGTGCAGCTATGTGGGTGACGCCAGCCAACACAACCTGAAGCAGTAAAACCTTCCAGCTGAGCCCAGCCAACTCACAGAATCATCAAAAATAATAAATTGTTGTTTCAGGCACCAAGTTTTGGGGTAGCTTGTTACACTGCAATAAATAATTGAAACTCTAGGAATGAGGTCAATTATTCTCAGGTGCCTCATGGAGAAGAATGATGAAGTAACTCAGGAAGAATACATAGAGTGGTTACTTGGATGGAGGTGGGCACTTCACACAAAAGTGAGCCACCCCCATGCTGTCCAGCGGCCTTTAATCTGTGTGATTGGCTTGAAAAGATGACCTGGGCCAAGCAGATTTGTCTTTCTCAGGAATTTGGAATTGGGAAATGGGCTGGGCAGTCAACCATTGGAATAGAAGCTGAGGATGCTGTGAAATACAGTTGGCTCCGAAGAGACCTGGGTGAGCCTCAGCAGACTGCAGTTATATGCAAAGTAAAGCTCGGCGCAGGTGGAGACTCTCTGAGCAGAATGAGATGAGCAGCAGATCAAGATGGGAAAGGATGTGCAGAGAGCAGCACATGAGAGAAACCATGCTGCCCTGAGATGGAGCCGCCTCTGCTCCTGACAGTTTCCCAAGTTCTAGCTAAGGCCTGGCTCTGGTGCCCATCTCTACACTTTCATGAGATTCTCCACATTGTTTCAACAAATGCCCCCAAAAGGAAATTTGGTGGATTGTGGTTTTGCTTGAGTGGCCACTTTTCCCGGCCTCTCTTTCTAATAAAAAGCCCTGCCTCCCTGGTTTTCTGGTCAAGAAGTACCAGACCTGGTACAGAGACCTGTAACTGAGACCTGACCAATGGCGGAGCCCTGTGTCCCTGGACACAAGGATGAGCATGTGACCCCAGCTGAGACACTCTTCACTCTTATTTAGGGCTTCTGGGAGATTTGGCTCTTTTTCTCTGAGGTTGTTAATTTGGGGCAATGTGAGCTGGGAACCCATTTGGCAGGTGAAAGAACATGGAAGAAGCACATCTGGAAGGACAATGGTGCCACAGAGAGAGAAGCAGAAGGAGGGAGGGAGAGAGGATGCAACTGAGTTTCTGGACCCAGCCATGCCTGAACTTCCCAATTACATGAGCCAATAAGCCTCCCTTTTTGCTTAAGCTTGTGTGAGTTGGATTTCGTTCACTTGCAACCAAAAGTCCCAACTAATCCATTCCCCTTTACTCACCCTGCCATGAGTAGGCACTGTTCCTTGCCATCAAGGAATCCTGCCCAGACTCCTGGTTCAGTCCCTTTAAGAACTTTCCCCGGGCCGGGTGCGGTGGCTCATGCCTGTAATCCTAGCACTTTGGGAGGCCGAGGTGGGTGGATCACAAGGTCAGGAGTTCAAGACCAGCCTGACCAACATGGTGAAACTCCATCTCTACTAAAAATACAAAAATTAAAACTGGGTGTGGTGGGGTGCGCCTGTAATCCCAGCTACTCAGGAGGCTGAGGCAGGAGAATTGCCTGAACCCGGGAGGCAGAGGTTGCAGTGAGCCGAGATCATCGTGCCACTGCGTGCCAGCCTGGGTGACAGAGCGAGACTCTGTCTTAAAAAAAAAAAAGAACTTTCCCCAGATCCTTCTTTGGAAGGATTAGAGAACTTGATCCTTAACTGTTCTTTCCACCCTTCCAGGCTTCTGGCCATGCTCTCTGGCTTGCCTGTCACTTGCTAATAGCTGGCTGGGTGCAGGGCTTCCCTGGCTCAGGGTTTCTGGACTCCAGCCAGGACTTTGCCTCCAGGTCCAGCACTTCTTCAGATGAATAAGCTGGGAACAGACCCTGTAGGGCATGACTCCAGGAGCCCCACACCTGGCTGTTCCCTTGGAGAGCCCTGCTCCAGCATGCCTGGCCCTGTTGGCTAATGTTTAGTAAGACCTGGGGCAGATGCCACCTCCTCCATGAAGCCATGGCTGCCCTTTGCTCTTTACCTATTCCTCACCTCTCCCCAGTCAGGTAAGACGCTTCCTCCTCTGAAGCTCAGAGCTCATGGGTTTTTTGTTTTTGTTTTTGTTTTTGTTTTGAGACAGAGTCTTGCACTGTTGCCCAGGCTGGAGTGCAGTGGCACGATCTCGGCTCACTGCAAGCTCCGCCTCCCGGGTTCACGCCATTCTCCTGCCTCAGCCTCCTGAGTAGCTGGGACTACAGGCGCCCGCCACCATGCCTGGCTAATTTTTTTGTATTTTTAGTAGAGACGGGGTTTCACCGTATTAGCCAGGATGGTCTCGATCTCCTGACCTCATGATCCACCCGCCTCGGCCTCCCAAAGTGCTGGGATTACAGGTGTGACCCACCGTGCCCAGCCGGTTTTTTTTTTAATCTCTTTTCACATTCTGACTTGGATTCACTCCCGTGGCTGAGAAGGCACAACAAGCAGTGGCCTTGATGTTAGGAGACCTGAGATCAAGTCCCAGCTTTACCATTTTCTGGGCCTTTGTTTCCTTGTCTTTAAAAAAAAAAAAAAAAAAATGACATGGCCGGGCACGGTGGCTCATGCCTGTAATCCCAGAACTTTGGGAGACCGAGGCGGGTGGATCACCACAGGTCGGCAGTTCGCGACCAGCCTGACCAACATGGAGAAACCCCATCTCTACTAAAAATACAAAATTAGCTGGGCATGGTGGCGCATGCCTGTAATCCCAGCTACTCGGGAGGCTGAGGCAGGAGAATTGCTTGAACCCGGGAGGCGGAGGTTGAGGTGGGCTGAGATCGTGCCACTGCACTCCAGCCTGGGCAACAAGAGCGAAACTCTGTCTCAAAAAAAAAAAAAAAAAAAGGAAAGAAAAAGAAAAAGAAAAAAAAAGACTTAAATGTGTGCTTGGCTCAGCCAACAGCAGATCACATGGGAAGTGTTTGTTGATTGTGAGGGACTGTGTACACGTGAAGGGCCAATCGTTGGAGAGTTGGGAGGGTTTCATAGAGGAGGAGATAATTCAGACAGGGGAATGGGTGACCCAGGGAGGAGCAATGGCTTGTGCACAACACAAAAGCATAAGAGACCCCTTAGGAAATGGGGGCCATTCAGGATGGCTTAGTGCAGGGTGCAGGATGAAAAGTGAGAGGAAGAAAAAAACCTTCTGAGATCGGCTGGTGCCCGATCATGCAGGACCTGGAGGGATATTTAAGGAGCAAATCATACAGAGGGGCAAGGGGAGCCTTTGAAGAGCTGACATGGTTAGATTTGTGCTTTAGGAAGGTCACTGTGGCTTCTTAGTGGCAGCTAGATGGGGCAGAGGGCAAGGCTGAAAGTAGGAGGTGGACTAATTTGGCTGGGTTAGAGATTATGAGGGCCTGAGTGGGTAGTTTTTGGGAGAAGGCAACCCAGGACCTGTGTGCCCAAAGTAGACAGGGGACAGGACTTCCCATCCCCCAGCGTGGCCTCAGCTGGGAATAGCAACCCCAAGTTCTCAGGCCTCTGAGTCACCTCCTTAGTTAGGTTCATGGTTGCCCCGAGGCCAGGTCAGCCTCCTTCCTCTGTCCTAATTACTTCCTGCCAAGGGAGCTGGCCACCTCCAAGTGTCCTTGACGCAACCCTTGTAGAAGCAATTGAGCATTTCAGGAGAAGGCAGGCAGCTCCAGCCACCACTGCCCCCAACTCTCTGCAGGGAACAGTGCTTCTTGGACTGTCAGGGGACATTCTGAGAGGAACACTTCACCACCAACTCCCACCCCAACCCTTGACCATATTTCAGGTCAAGGTGGAACAGGTTACGCACTATGCAATGACCCGTGACCAGCAGGAGAGGCAGGCTGAAATGCAGCCTGTGCTCCTCTTGTGAAGCTGTGCACCCTAATATGACAGGGCTGTATTCACCTGGAGGAAGGGAGATATTTTCCTAATTAGCCCAAAGGCGCTATCCACTGCCCAGCTGCGTACTTATGGGGCTGCTTCCACTCAGAGGGGTGCCTTTTCCTAAGTCATACAAAGGGCGCCATATGGACGAATTGTAACCCTGGCTCTTGGCCTTTCTTTCCGCTGGCCACTGTCCTCTCATTTGGGCTCTTAAGAGGCCTTTCACTGGGCAGAGGGGGAAACTAAGTCCCAACGTCTGCTGCCATTAGCTTCCTTCTGAGGGAATTGCTCACAGGTCCCACATATCAGTGTCCAGTCAGGCTACAGATGGTTGGGCCAAGGGAGGACACCTGACCTAAGGGATCCCGCCAAAAGCTAAGCCAAACCAATCAGATCCTTTTGCTTGTGAATTGAAACTAAGAGGCACAGAGGGGAGTTGTCAGTCACTGGTGAGTCTTGATACCGAGTTGGAGATTCAGCCACTGTGTGCAACAAAACCAAAGAAGTCTGAAGAGAAGCCCAGGAAAAGAGCATGGATGCAAATACTGCCCAGGGAACAAGAGCCTGCAAGACCCAGAGATGGTAAGGAAGAGGCCCAGTTGCCAGTTCCAGTTCTCTTGAGGTTCAGCCAGTTTTTATTTTATTTTTATTTTTATTTTTTTATTTTTTTTGAGATGGAGTCTTGCTCTGTCACCAGGCTGGAGTGCAGTGGTGCGATCTCGGCTCACTGCAACCTCCGCTGCTCACTGCAACCTCAGCCTCCTGGGTTCAAGCAATTTTCCTGCCTCAGCCTCCCGAATAGCTGGGACTATAGGCGTGCACCACCATGCCCAGCTAATTTTTGTATTATTAGTATGTTGGCCAGGATGGTCTCGATCTCGACCTTGTGATCTGCCCCTTGGCCTCCCAAAGTACTGGGATTACAGGTGTGAGCCTCTGCGCTTGGCCTGAGGTTCAGTCATTCTTGATTTTCCATCTTCAGAGTCCCTTATAATCTGCTCCCCCATTTCTTTGAACTAGCTCAAGTGAGTCTCATGCCATGTTCCCAGAGTCCTTGCTAGAACAAGGACCTTGGCCCTTCACTGAGTGAGCCTCCCCAGGCCTCTTCTGTCCCTTTCTCCCCACCCCAATCCTGTCCCAGTGTAGGGAAGAGCAGGAGCCCTCAGCACAGTTGCACCTTTTATTCACTGTCAGTGGGGAAAGAAACACACCACACAGCACAGGGTTGAGCAGTGAGGGCAGTCACTGAGTGCACAGCCAGAAGCAGCACATCTGGAGGGGATAGGGGGCTACACTGGAACTGGCCTCCTTCCCCTGCTACCCAGACCCCCCACTTCCCCAAGCCTCCTTTCTACTGCTGCTTAGAAGGCCCTGGGCCTGACTGGCCTCCACCAAGCAGGAAGGGCTATACACCCTGGCAGGCCCAGTCCTGCCCCCACACTCTGGCAAAGGTAAAAAGAAAACCTCGAAAATTCCAGAAAGAAAATCCCATATTTTTCTGACTTTTTAATTCCAAGGTTTGAATTATTTCTTTTTTCAAGAATGATGAATAAAACATGTAAGACATTCTTGACCCCACAGTGATCTCTAAAGTCAGCTCAAAGCCTCACCCAGGGTGGATCTTCAGGAAATATTTGTTGCTTCAATACATTTTTGTGTAAAAAATATTTAGTGTCAGCTTACTACCCTGCCTGGAGACCCCA
Source organism: Homo sapiens (assembly GCF_000001405.40). NCBI lineage: Eukaryota > Metazoa > Chordata > Mammalia > Primates > Hominidae > Homo > Homo sapiens. The sequence continues at coordinate 39,679,185 of NC_000001.11, forward strand.
GCTTCTTCTCTTTCTTTTCTTTCCCCCATCCCACGCCATTCCTTCTCTCTCTGCAGCAAGGCAAATTTCTACCTCTAGAGACTCTGCCATTGTCAGGAAAGGATTTAGTGCCTTTACTTATGAACTAACTTTTTCTTCACTTTTGATATACAGGTAAGTTAAATAATCCTGACTACAGCTGAAAGGACTAAAGTGGCCATCTGAAGTAGCCTTTGCTGATAATTTTTAGAGATAAGAAATAAGATGCTCATCAATTAGCCCAAAAGGATGAATGAGGGTAGAGTATGTGAGAAGGCAGATTCTGGGACCTTGCAATTCACAGAGTTGTTGCAATAAGATTGGAATTTAAAGGAGAGTTTGAATATATCAATGTTTTGATTGTCTGTATATTTTTGTGTCTGTGCAAGTCATACATAAATCTCTGCCAGCCTTGTGCTTTGCGGCAAGTCTCTCTCAGCTGGTGCAGGGACGGGAGACCTGTGTCTCTTCTCAAGGCAGGGCCAGTGCTCTACCACAGTGCTCCTGAGCACACAGTCCCTGGGACACCCAGGAGTATGCAGGAGCATGTCCTGGGCCACCTGTTGTTCCTTCCATCAGCAAGATGGTGGTCCCAGTTCCTGGCCTGGCATTGTGTGTTCACACTGCTGGGCTGTCTGAGAATATTGGGCCTGAGGAGCAAAAATCACCCATGGGTATGTGTGTCCAGAAGCCTGGAGTAATCAAACACGCCTTCATGGGTAGGCATGTTTCTCTTAGTGAAGATGATGGTGGGTAAAGACAATGCAGGATGCTTCGAGGGTTCTGAGTCAGAGGACTCCCAGGACAGCACTGAGCTGTTAGCACAGCTGCCAGAGGCAGAACACTGAGTGCTTGAAAATGTGGGGACTTCAACCAAGCTCCTATTTTTTTTGGAAGACCACAATCTCAGAAGCTTTTTAGCAGGAAGCCTATAAAGGATGAATATCAATGTAACTTGCCCTGCTGTCAACCTCTGCACAGCTTAGTCACAGAAATGGACAGGGAAGAGACTCTGAAAAGAAGAAATCCTCTTAGAGCCTTGGTTCAAGTCTTAGCCCTGTGTCACCTCCTGACTATGTGATCTTGCACAAGGGATGCTTCCTCTCTGAATCTCAGCTTCCAAGTCTAGAGAAAAGAAGTGAAAATCCTCACCTCCATGGGATGTGAGTATAGAATGAGATGGGGCACATGGCAAGCCTTTGAAAGCCATGAAATTCTGTGTGGTTGCGAATTAGGCTAGATTCAGCATTTGCAGGGAAGGAACCTCACTTAGTGAAAAGCTTTTCACCAGAAGATTTAGGTCCCAGCTAAGCCAGGCTGGTGAGCATCTATGTGTCTGTGATGCTGACTGACCGCACAAGACATACCTAATAGCCAGTTCCTGGGAGCAATGCAACATCCTTGAGGCATTGCTGGATAAACAACTGCTAGTTCCTGCCTGAGGATGTGAACTCCCCAGCCTCACCATATGGCTGGTCATGAGCAAGAGGATAGCAAAAGGATAGCAACCCAGTGGTTGCAAACCAGTGGTTGCTATCCCCAGCAAGAGGATAGCAACCCAGTGGCCTTGCTACCTCCAAGGGCCCAGTAGAGCTTGGGACCAAGCTCTATTGATCAGCATCCCCCAGAGTTTTCACCTGCAGAGAAGCAGGACAGGTGGGCACTCAGGAGTGAGGAGCATGCTGCATCTCTTTCCTGCAGATGCAATTCCCCTGCCCCGGGCTCAGCAATCATTTCCTGCTCCCACCCTGGGCTGACAGCACCTGTGTACTAGACTGTTTTCACCGGCAGTTCAAGAGGAAATCAACTGTCACTGCACGTCAAAGGTAATTTCTGATCACAAGTACAGGAGAAAGACCTGATGAAGAAGCAAGATTAATTTTTCCGGCAGTCAAAGCATGCAGCTGTATAGCTCATGGATCCAAAATTGGGAAGCAGGCATTGGAAAGCAGAACCAGCACACTTGGAAGATGTTGAACTACCTGGCAGATCTAAGATTTGGGGTTAGAAAAAGCCTCTCAAACAGAGCATGCCTGGCACATTTTTAGGCATTTCGTCCATAAATTATGTCTGGGTGCCTAAACAGTGGCCAGGTGAGCCTTTTCTTCTAGCTCTTTCTGATTCTGTGGCAGTGAAGGAACAAGTCCAGTTCTGAAACTAAACCCAATCCAGAAACGAACTACCAAGATACGGAATATACACTAGTTTCACTCTTTGCAAACCTTGCTTTTTCCTGTCCCTGAAGTCAGCACCCAACCGGAGTAAGTATGTAGCAGAAAGTTGCTTGTTGAATTGAAAAAGGTAATAAAAAGGAAGAGCTGAAGCAGCAAAAACTGCTGAGAGTGGCAGCTCAGGACTTAGTCTTAAAAAGTGTTATCTGGTAAATTTCATGGTCTTTTCTCCCTTTCTTCTCAGGTTTTTTCCCCTTGAAAATTAATATTTTCTCTATTCATTTAATCATTTTATAAGAAACCAAGTAATATAGAGTATATTTTAACCTCCTGAAATAATAAAATGACTGTAGCTCCTTTAAAGGGTACTAAAAAAATAAGTATGACATAAATTTCATTTTTCTTAAAACTTTCACTCACGTGGCTCCTAAACTTCCAAATGCTTTTCATTTCGTCCTTCTGCAGCTTTGTGTGGAGCTGAGCTGGAAGATGAAATAGCTCCTCCCAGACTAACCAGCCTTCCAGCACCTTCTGCTTAGCTGAGACCCTGACGGCTGGAAGTTTGCCTCACAACCCTATGAGCTTCCAGAGGGCACAAGATGTGTCTTGTAAATGACCATATCCTTAGCACCAAACAGGTGCTCAGTAATCATTAGCTGAAGAAAGGACTGAATGAACGCTCCAAAGGCTGGGGCTGGAAGGGCCAGGTAGAGTAGAAGGGATGGGGAAGAGACCCCCTTTATGGGATCTGGAGCCTCAGGAATGGACAGACCCAATTTGGCCCTGTGACAGGCCTGTGGGACCACATCCTATAAAGCATAATCCCAGGATCAAGAGAATTCCTAACCAGAACCCCAGGCCCCCAACTCCTTAACCTCACCTCCTGGGGCAAAAGCCAACTCCCCTATGCCCAATGGACATTGGTTCTGGCCAAGTGGGAGGTGGGGCTAGAAGACAGGGTACTGGAGGACCTGTCTCTTTTGCAGGGTGAGGTGGTCCCTCAAAGATCTTGATGGAGGGGAGGAAGGGCTTGGGCAGAGGACTGGGTGGGCCAGAGAGGGGGGCTGGAGTGTCCCTCCTCCTGGGAGGCCAGCCAGAGAGGTCATCAGGTTGGGAGGTGGCCATGCCCCTTCTGGCCAGGGACCCTGCCCCTCACCAGCTTCTACTTCTGCATGTCACACTGCAGCAGCAACACAATGGATGGGTCACTCTTGGCTGCCTCCTTGAACTCCTCCAATGTAATCTGGTCGTCCTTATCCTGGTCCATCTTCTTGAAGATCTTGTCCACACGCTGCTGGGGCGTGAGCCCGTCCTGGTTCATGCGCATCATGATCACGGTGCCCACCATCTTGTAGATTGCCTGGTGAGGGAAGGAGGAGGGAGGTGTGAACACCCACAAGGGGCCCCGAGAAGCAGCGGGTGAAGGAAAGGGATCTGGCAGGGAGAACACTGGGGGTTGGTGAGGATACTGGAAGGTATATGTGGTCATTAAGACTGGATATTTAATGAGCAACTCTTTTTTTTTTTGAAACAGAGTTTCGATCTTGTTGCCCAGGATGGAGTGCAATGGCGCGATCTCGGCTTACTGCAACCTCTGCCTCCTGGGTTCAAGTGATTTTCCTGCTTCAGCCTCCTGAGTAGCTGGGATTACAGGCATGCACCAACACGTCCCGCTAATTTTTGTATTTTTAGTAGAGACGGGGTTTCACCATGTTGACCGGGTTGGTCTCGAACTCATTACCTCAGGTAATCCACCGGCCTCACCCTCCCAAAGTGCTAGGATTACAGGCGTGAGCCACCACGCCCAGCCCTCAACTAATTTTTTATTTAGACTAAATAATATTTATGTGGATGAAACATGCCAGAAGCCCAACTCCGTGGAGACCTTACTGATGGGGCTCCTGGCTCCCCGTATGACCACCTTCCTATCACTCTCTCCCTCTCATGGCTCTCCCACCACCGGGCCTCCTGGCCCCTCCTTGAACTCTGCAGAGAAAGGCCGACCTGCCTTAATTGCCCCTCAGCATGGAACGCTTTCCCCCAGGCATCTTGCAGTAAAGGCCTCACCCCATTCAGGCTGCTGCTAACTTTCCATCTTATATAAAGTAACTTCTCCATCACGCGCTCTCCCTGCACTTTGCTTAGTGTATCTTCCTCATAGCACCTACGGCCTGACCCCGCATGTCTTCATTCATTTATTTTTTAAAAAAATTTCTCACTAGAAGGAATGCCCCATGAAAGCAAGAACTGGCAGGCGCTCAATCCCTGCCTGTTGACAGAATGAGTTGAAAACATCAGCTATGAGGTCAGACTCCCTGGATTGGAATCAGGAACCCGGCCGTTTCCTCCTCTGCCAAATGGGGTTTGGGACAGTAACCAACCCCTCCGCCCCGTCGAGTGTCGGGTAAAGCATTTAGCCCGGGCCTGTAGCGGGGTGGTAGGAGGCGGGATCGCAGGCTGGGGAGCAGCAGGGAGGCCCCGAAGCCCGAGAGCAGCGCGGAGGCAGGGGCGGGGATGGCGAAGCGCTGGCCTCGGGAACAGCAGCGCCCGCGCGGCCCCGCACCTCGATGATCTCCAGCATCTCCAGGCGCGTGATGCGCCCGTCGCCGTCCAGGTCGTACATCTCAAAGGCCCAGTTGAGCTTCTGCTCGAAGCTGCCGCGGGAGGTGACCGACAGGGCGCAGATGAACTCCCGGAAGTCGATGGTGCCGTCGCCGTTCTTGTCGAAGGTGCGGAAAGCGTGCTGCGCGAACTTGGAGGCGTCGCCGTAGGGGAAGAACTGAGGGGGGTGCGGTGGGTTGGGGCGCAGCGACAGCCCCGCCCACCCCGCCCCCATCTCAGGGAACCTCCCCTGCACCCCGGGTGCCTCGCCTCCTCCCACCCCGGGTGCCTTGCCCCCGCCACCCCGGGTGCCTCACCTCCCCCGCACCCCGGGTGCCTCGCCTCCCCTCCCACCCCGGGTGCCTCGCCTCTTCTCATCCCAGGGTGCCCTGCCTCCCTCACCCCCGGTTCCTCGCCTCCCCCAACCCGGGTACTTGGCTCCCTCACACCAGGTGCCGGCCGCCCACCTTGATGTAGAGCTGCTGAAACTCCTCCAGGTTGAGGATGCCGCTGGGGCAGTCCTTCAGGAAGCCCTTGTACCACTGCTTCAGCTCCTGCTCGCTGAACTCAGTGTTCTGAACAAGGTCCTCCAGCACCTCGGGGGCCAGCTTGCTGTTGGTCTTCCCCATGGCGGGGCCTGTGGGACAGAGGGATTCCTCCGACTGGGTCCAGGGAAAGGCCCTGCCTCAGCCACAGCTGCCCCCTCCCCTGCCACACACAGGGCGGGGTTGCAGGTTCCTTCCCCTCATGACACTCCCCCATAATGGGGCCTCCTCTCCCCTCACAACACCTGCATTCAGGTAGGTTTCTTCTCCTAGCCCCGGGGGTCTCCCGCCTTCCAGGTCTCAGCTCTCCTCCTCACTGACCGTGCAGCACGCCACAGTCTTCATCCTCTCCCCTCCTGCTCACACCTTTCATGGCTCCCCTGCCCACAGACTAAGGCCTTGACTCCTCTCCTTGCCATTTAGGGCTTTCTGAAGTCAGCCCCCACCCTCCTTGGCAGGCTTCTGTCCTGAGAAGGGACCCAAGGTAGGTTCCTTGTGTGTCCCCTTGGCACTGTCTCCCAATTTCTTCCTCAAGGCTTTCTTGGGCCACCCCAGCAGGGAGCTTCTCTCCCTCTTTCCTCTATACAAATAGAAATCCTCTACTGACATTTGGCTTTTCATTAATCCATTCATTCCCTGAGCATTTATTGAGACTGACTGTGTGCTAGGCCCTGTGCCAGTGATGGAGATGAAGCAGACATGAGCCAACCTTCAATAACTTGTAACTGGGTCAAAGAGGCAGATGGTTGGTTACAAAGGGCCTCCAATCCATGCCAAGAAATTGGAGGGAACAGACGCTCCTGGGATTTTTTAAAACAAGGGCTGGGAAGATTGCATTCATTCCACAATATTTACAGAATGCTTATGATATACCCAGTCTTGAACGAGTCACTGGGGACCCAAGAAAAGGTATGTGTTTTAAAATTTTTCCAGGCTGGGCACCGTATTTCATGCCTATAATCCCAGTACCTTGGGAGGCTGAGATGAGAGGACAGCTTGAGGCCAGGAGTTTGAGACCAGCCTAGGCAATACAGTGACACCTAGTCTCTACAAAAAATTTAAAAATTTGGCTGGGCGCGGCCGGGCACGGTGGCTCACACCTGTAATCCCAGCACTTTGGGAGGCCAAGGTGGGTGGATCACGAAGTCAGGTGATCAAGACCATCCTGGCTAACACGGTGAAACCCTGTCTCTACTACAAATACAAAAAAATTAGCTGGGCGTCGTGGCAGGCGCCTGTAGTCCCAGCTACTCGGGAGGCTGAGGCAGGAGAATGGCGTCAACCCAGGAGGGAGAGCATGCAGTGAGCTGAGATCGCGCCACTGCACTCCAACCTGGGTGACACAGTGAGACTCCACCTCAAAAAAAAAAAAAATATATTGGCCGGGCGCAGTGGCTCACGCCTGTAATCCCAGCACTTTGAGAGGCTGAGGCAGGTGGATCACGAGGTCAGGAGATCAAGACCATCCTGGCTAACACAGTGAAACCCCATCTCTACTAAAAATACAAAAAATTAGCCAGGCATGGTGGCGGGCGCCAGTAGTCCCAGCTACTTGGGAGGCTGAGGCAGGAGAATGGCATCAACCCCAGAGGCGGAGCTTGCGGTGAGCCGAGATCGCTCCACTGCACTCCAGCCTGGGCGACAGAGTGAGACTCCGTCTCAAAAAAAAAAAAAAAAAAAAATTCACTGAGTGTGGTGGTGCATGCCTGTAGTCCCAGATACTTGGGAGGCTAAGATGGGAGGATCACTTGAGCCTGGGAGGCAGGGGTTGCAGTGAGCTGAGATGGCACCACTGTACTACAGCCTGGGCGATAAAGAAAGGCCCTGTCTCAAAAAAGAAAAAAAAGAATTTTTCCTTTGGCCACAGCATGCAAGATGACCTTTGGTGGGGGCAGGTAGGTAGAGCAGGGAGGGGCCTGCTACACGGTTCAGGTGAGAGACAATGCTGCCAGAGTAAGGGTCGTGGAGAGACGTGGATGGGCTGAGACGTTAAGAAGGGCACTGGCAGGACTTTGCAGTTGATTGGATGTGGGAGTAAGAGGAACAGAGGAGTTGAGGCAGAGGCTCAGATTTGAGCCTCAGTGGATAGAAGTGTTGTTGCTGAGAAGCAGGTTTGGGAAGGATCAAGAGTTATTCCCCAGTGGGAATGTGAGCCCGTAAGTGGGCTGTGCCAGGGGAAGTGTTTGAAGAGGTACAGGCCCTCCTCAGGAAGTGTGGCCAGACCTTGAAGGCAGAGTGGACCCTCCTCTCTGACCTCCCTGGGAGGAATGTCCCTGCAGAGTCTGGGTTTCCCAGGACATGGCTTGGGAGGTGCCTCTGACCTGCCTAGAGTCTCTTTGGAAGAGGGTCAGGCTCCCACCCCAGGTAGCCTGTCCTCAAGATACTCTGGAAAAGGAAGCCCTTGGGCTGGCAGAAGGAATTCCACTCCCATAGCCCGATGTCTGCCAGTGGGCTTCTAATTCTTACAACTGGGAAAACACTAAATAGCAAATCTGAGGTTGGTCCATTCCTTCCCACTCCCCTTTGCTGGGCTGACCTCAGGCTAGTTACAGATCCTCTCTGGGCCTCAGATTCCTCCACTGGGCCATAAGGAAGACCAAGGAGCAGTGCAGGTAGCAACATCCTTCCCCACTCCCAGAGGATGAGGAATTGTATGCCCTCAGGAAAAGCCAGGGAGGGGGAGCATGCCATCTTCAGGAACCTGAGGCTGGGCGGAAAATGGCTACACTGAGGCCAGAGCAAGGATGCCTCTGGAACACCCATAGGCAAAAGGAGGCAGGCCTCACCCCTCTCCCAAATCCAAAGGACTCTCAAGGCTCAGGGTATAGTCAAGGAAGCTGGAGAAGTCAGGCAGAGATGTCTGATGGGGGGAGGCACAGCCTCTCCAGCTGTCTTCCGTAGGATGTGCCTGAGAGTCAGCATGAGGGGCTGGGTCTGTGTGTGGGAGCATGTCAATGTCTGAGGCTGCAAATCTGTCAGAGTGCACACGTCTCTCTGTGTGTGTCACAGTGTCTGTGTGGCTCTCACCTTATACCCCTTTTCTCCTCCCTGCTCTGTGCTGCCTTCTCCACAATTCTCTGTCTCCTAGGGTCCTTCCTGTTCCCTGCTTTTATTGGGTCTCAGACCCAGACTATGCCTCCTCCTTTATTTCTCCTCATTCCCTCTAGATCATCAGAAGGTCAAAGCTGAGCCTGGGCAAGATAAGGAAACCCTGTTTCTACATAAAATTTAAAAATTAGCCAGACATGGTAGCATGTGCCTGTAGTCCCAGCTGCTCAGAAGCTGAGGTGGGAGGATCACTTGAGCCCAGGAGGTTGAGGCTGCAGTGAGCCGTGATTGAGCCACTGCACTCGAGCCTGGGCAACAGAGCAAGACCCTGTCTCAAAAAAAAAATAAGTAAATAAAAAATTAAGAAAAGAAGGTCAAAACTGGCCGTGCCCTTTAAGATCATCCCCTTATTTCAGTGAAAATGGAAATTGAGAGATAGGAGAAAACTGGCTCAGGGTTACACAGCAGGTCAGTGGGAGGGCCCAGATGAGCACTCAGGCTGAATCCGTGCTACCTGCCTGGGCCACCGTCTCCAAATCATGGCTACTCTTGTTCAGCACAGACCTTCTCCACCCACATCTGCCCTCTGGGAAAATCAGAGCTCTGATCTCCCTTTTGGCCGCAGTGGAACCATCTGGGGCCACAATCTCTGACACCCAGGAGATAGCCACCCTAGGGGTGTCCACCAGCACCTCTGAGACAGCAAGTCTACAGCCAGACTCGCTCCCAACCAGAGATGGTCAGACTGTCTCTGTTGCCCCTTCCTTCTCTCCCTCATCCCCGGGGTGTGGGGAACACAATCTTAGTTACCTTCATTTTTTCCCTTCCCTTTGCCCTAGGTCTAACTTGCCATCAAGTCCTGTTGTCTCTTATTTTGAAATGCTCTTGGTACCTTCATTATGTCCATAGCCAGGGACACAGCCGAGGGGGCTGAAATCAAGCTATGCTCATGCCCATGGGGCTTCCCTGCCTGGCAGGAAGTGCCTTTCTTTTGATTCCTCTGTTAGGAGGGAATGGCTTTTTCCCCCCGAAAGTTACAATATAGACTAGAAGTAGCCATGCCCATGGGCCCCCTGAAACTCTAGAATCCTCTAGAATCTGGTCTCAAAGTGCCCACCTATCTCGCCTCAGCTCTCATTGCTCACTCACCACCGCATACTCCTCTCAAGCCAGCCTTCTCACAGCCAGACACGCCTCACCTCTTTGCTAAGCTATTTTCCTCTCCCCTAATATCCTTTCTTCTCTCCTGGACTATAATCAGTCTTCAGGGCCTGGTTGAAGCCTGCTTCCTTATGATCAGCCTTTTCCAGTCTGGACAGTGGAGAGTCAGCAGCCCAAGCTCAGCACTTTGGGCATGAGTCAGTCCCCCACAGGCGTGTAGACTTCATAGCCCTCTGACCCTCACCTGGTGCTGTAGAATTCCAGGATGCAGTCTGATTTGAGACAGGTCTTTGCATTAAACCCCTGCCTGAGTCAGAAAAAAAATCCTCCAGACCTTTTTGCTCAATGGCAAGGAGTTGATCCCCTCCAATATGCCCCAGTCCACTTTTGAGCAGGTTGAAGCGTGAGAAAAGTTTATTTTTCCCATGGGGAAAATAAAAGTGCTTTTCCCTATGCACTCACTTCTCCCAGTGAGTGCTTAGTCCTCACTGAGTCTGGGACCCATGAGAGCAGGGGTTTTTTCTCTCTTATAGCTCCCCTACCCTGGTTCCCACCCTGCCTTCTGTGCCTGCACAGAACTGCTCTGTGGAGACGCAGTGGCAATGCCTAGGACACAGTGATGTTCAATGAATGTCTCTTGGTGGATTACGTAAGAGGAGCAGAACCCCCTTCTTCCTCCCTGGATCTATGTCAGGCTGTTTTGTTTATCTGTGTTCTCCTGCTATCACACCCACTTCAGAGACAATGGAACCCAGACCTAGGGGAAGGAAGGGTTCACCCCAGGTCAACTATAGCCCATCAGCAGCAAAGTGAAGGCCAGAACCCAGCTGGGGACATGCTCTGCTGGAGCTGTGGCCCTGCTGAACATGGGCAGGCTCCTCTGCTTACCTCTTGAGGGCTGTCCTCCAGCTATGAAGGAGCTGGGACTGTCCCATACACAAAACCATTGTCCCAGTGTGCCCAGAGGTTTCTTCAAGAGGGCTAAGGGCTGTGGGCTTTGAATGGAGAGGTGGCTGAGGCTTTGAATGGGAGGGACTGAAGGAGGCAATAATCCCACACCCTCACCCAGCTTCAGAGGAGCTGGTACTGAGGTGGTTGCCATGGTGACAATAGCTCCCTGGTCAGGAGATTTTTTCTCTCTTTCCTCTCCTCCCTTTGCTCTTCCCCAAGCAGCAGCAATAGCAGCAGCAACCAGGTCTTTTCCCTCTTCTTCTTAATGAGAGGCAGGGGATGACAAACAAAGAGTAATCCCAGCTGGCCACCTACAATTTGGAGCTGTCCATGTCAGGATGGGCTGGTGGTCTAGGAGGGACTCCTAATAGAAGGGGCCTGGAGAATGTGTGGGAGGAGGTAGCCTGTACCTAGGCTGGTTAAGAAGGAATGTGTCTTCAGTGAGTTCTAAACCAACCCCGCCCCCCTCAGGTCTCCTCTCTTTAATGTCCTCTTGGTTCAGGATCCTGTTTTTCCATAATCAGCCATAGAACCAGAGTGTCTCAGTGCCAGAAGGCTGTTCAAGTTCATCTCACCCAGTCTACCCTCTCTGTTATACCTCTCCCCATTTTCATGAAGGATCAGAGAGGGGAGTGACTTGGCCAAAGTCAAACTTTGGCTGTACAAGATTTGAACCCAGCTCATCTGCCCTCCAGGTATAGTTCACTTTAGGGCCAAGAGCAATACAGCCCACATGGCACCTTGGCAAGGTCCCCACGGAGCAGCAGGAAGGTGGGAGAGAGGGAGCAAATAGTCATACAAATTAGAAAGACATTTGACAGGCAGAATGAGAGGATTTGGTGCCTGGCTGTGAGGGGGGAGGGAGGAGGTATGGAGGTTGGGGCCTTGGCAGCAACTGGACTGACGGTATGGGTGGTCTGCTGGGGGTGGTGTCTTTGGTTCATCCTCCCGCCAGGATGAGAGATGCCAAATATGGGGCCTCTGCCTAGCACTGGGGGCCACTGGGGAGGGCTGTCGAGACTGTGAGGAGAAAAACTGGGGAAGGGGGATTGTCCCCCCCTCAGGTATGCTGTGGGCTCTGTCAGCTTGAGGGGTGGGATGTGGGGACAGTGTCTGGGGACAACAAGGAGGGAGCGCTCTGTGGAGGGGGAGGCTGTCTTTGGGGGCAGGGGCTCCCTGATGAGAAGTGGCTAGGGGCTATCCGTGGAGGTGGGAGTTTGCCATGGTGCTGGGCAGACAACCCATATCCAAACAGGAGGGAGGGTGACCAGCGCCTCCAGCTAGCACCAGCGCCACCACACCCCCAGATGTGTGTGTGTGCATCTGTGTGTGTATGTGTGTTTGCGCGCGTGTATGTTGGGGGCCATAGCAATGGTTGTTCTCACCTGAGCTGGGGATAAGTAGGCGGCTCTGCCTCCTTCTCTGCACCCATGGGCCTGGACTGAGGTGGGGGGTCTCCTGCCCAGGGGTGGGCTCTTCAGTTGCTGCCGCCTAAGGCGGAACCACGGGTCAGGGAGGTGAATCAGGGCAGGACATGAGGATGGGAAGGGAGAGTGGAGGGGGAGGGGGCCAGGGCCTCCGCCCGGTGGGTTTGTTGCCTTGAGGACCCGGTCCCACTCGCATTACCTGAGGCCGGTCGCCGGGTCGCTGGATGGCTCCGAGCCTCGGCGGGCCGCGGGAACCGAGGCTGGCTCGCGGGCCGGCAGCTGTGCTCTCCAAGGTCTGCGCCGGAGCCGCCTTCCAGCTCTTGTATCACTATGTGCCTCCCGAAGGCGACACTATTTGCATAAGCCCCGCCCCATCCCGGGCAGGTTGCACGGCTATTGGCTCCTCTGGAGCGGAGTGGCAGGCGGGGTTTCAGGTGGGGACCGGGTGGCCGGCGAGGCCCGGCCGCAGGAGCGCGCCCCGCCTGCCCGCGCTGACCTTCCCGGAGTCGCCGGGAAGCGGGAGGGCTGCACCCCCATCTGCACCCCTGCCCTGAGGCTCAGCCCCCGGCTTACAAGTCTGGGGTGGAAAGGGTCGACGATGAAAGTGGATTCTCAAAAACAACCTCACCGTTGCTATGGAAACGGGAGAACCACAGCCGAATCTCTAAGCTTCCTTTCCTGGGCCCCAGCATGGGTGGGGGCGGAAGAGGGGATGAGTCACAAGATGAGACCCCCCCCCACACCCATATCCCACCCGAAATTGGGAGGGGCCAAAGAGGAGCTGGGGAGGAGCTGGGTGGGAGAGGGAGGAGGTGGCTGGTCAGCAGTCCACATCTCTGCGTCCCCCCTCCCCACGCATCCACTCCCCTCACGCCGTGGGGCAGAGAGGAGGGTGCTGGTTGCGCGCGGAGAGCGCGGTATGGGTGGCGAAGTCCCAGCCTCTACCTAGCCCCGCGCTAGTCGTGGGTTCCCTCCAGCCACCCCTCTGGCCCTTCATTCCGGTCCCTCCCCAGACGGGCCCTCCTCCTTTCTCATGGACCCCCAAGAGGCCTCTCGCGTTCTCCCCCGAAGGACCCCTATGCCTAGCCATGGATCCTCCATTCCCCACCCTCCCGTTTTCCCGTCCCGCAGACGGAGCCGGTCCCCAGCCGCCGCCAGTCTCCGGCCTCGGATGTTGACACAAACCCGAGGCGGTTTACACTGAGCGGGTCTGGAAGCTTTCAGGGCCCCGGCAACACCTCCTCCCCGCACTTGGGGGTCTCCCCACAGCCCGGGCCGGCCGCCTGGGCTGCACTGGCGTCTGAGAGCTCCTGACACAAGGCTGTGGGAAGGAACCCTTTTAAGCCAAACTGGGGGCAAAAGGGGAGCCAGACATCCCCGGGCTGGGCCACGTGCGGGGCAGGGACTTCTAAGGATCTGTCGAAAGTCGGGGCGGACGGCTGGGGATTGGCCTAATCGGAGCGCGGACGCTGAAGAGCAGCGGTGAGAGGCGGGGCTTCTGTCCGCGCGGCGAAGGTAGAGGTGGGCTGGGCGGGGCGATGGAGGATGGGGTCAGACCTGCCGCGAGTGGGGGCGAGGCTTCTGGAGCTGGTCCCAGAAATGCCTGGGCCAGGCTCGCTGGGGGAGGAACCCGTGGACGTCCCTTTTCTTTAGGACCTGTCCCGTTGCCCCTTGAAACGGTTTTGCTCTACCATTTTCGAGGCTGCGGACTATGCCTTCTCTCTGCGGCCTTAGCGGGGGCTGAGGGCTCCAAGGAACCTGCAGCTGTAGGAGAAGGCGCGTCCTTGGCACTATGGGTTGGTGACTCATGAAAGACAGGTGTTTGAAGCTCTAACTCTTTCACTTCTCTGATACCTTCTCAGCTCTGGGTCTTGGGGACCCAGAGATGAGCGAGAACCCCCCTTGCTCACAGTTAACCATAATCCAAGGCGTGAAGAAGTGGGGAGAGGCAGCACAGGTTACTAGAAGTGGTATCTGAAACCCTAACATTGACTGACCCAAGTTCATATTGCTAACATTGAGTCTCATTTTTGCCAATGATTCCATTTACGACCGTGGGCAAAACCCTTCTCATTCTGGGCCTCCCAGTCTGTGAAATGTGGGAGCTGGCTCAAGAGGTCCAGAGGAGCAGGGGGAAATTTTCAACCAGGTGGGTGAAGAAAGACTGTCCCTTGGACAGAAGTATGTGGACATGAATCTGACTGCTCCACTTAAGAGTCCTGAGCCCCTTAACAATAGCTAATGTGTATCGAGAGCTTACTTTGTGTCAGGTGCTATTCTAGCATATTATATGTTACCATATAATATAAATTGGGAATAAGTTACTCAATTTATTCCCCATAAGAGCTCTGTGAGGCAGGTTCTATTATTACTCCTACTTAACAGATGAGGAAATCAAGGCACAGAGCGGTTAAGTGACTGACCCAAGTTCACATTGCTAGTAAAGAGAGCTCCAGTGCTGGGATTTGAACCCCAGCAGTCTAGCCTCAGAGCCCACACTCCTAATCAGTACACAATACTGCCTCTTCTTATGGTCCTTCAAGTCCTTAAGGGTAAGGACCTTAGATTGGAATATTTGTTTCTGATTCCCCAAGGTATTAGAAAGGCAAAATCCAGCCTCCTGGGCAGCCCTTCTGTCTCAGGTGAACAAGATATGGGATTCCAGCAGTACAGTAAACTAGAAGTAGTGAAAACAAGAAGCCCTCCTGGGCTCACACCCAGGATTTATGCCTGTAATCCTAGCACTTTGGGAGGCTGAGGCGGGTGGATCACTTGAGGTCAGGAGTTTGAGACCAGCCTGGCCAACATGGCAAAACCCTGCCTCCACTAAAAATACAAAATACAAAAATACAAAAATAAGGAGGCTGAGGCAGGAGAATCGCTTGAACCCAGGAAGCAGAGGTTGCGGTGAGCTGAGATCACGCCACTGCACTCCAGCCTGGGCAACAGAGTGATATACACACACACACACAAAAAAAAAAAAAAAAAAAAAAAAAAGCAGCAGCCCTCCTGAACTGCAAGGGGGCCAGAGTGTGGCTTCTCCTGGCCATCCTATCCTCCAGGCATGACTACCCATGCAGCCTCACCCATGAATCATCTTGGGGCCATGTGACTATTCCTGAACTGCCAGTCATAACCCAGCTTCACCTGTTCATCATACTCAACTTTGAGGCCCTGATATTGGACCCTGCCTCTGTTCCCTTCAGTTTGATGTTTAAAGCAATAACAGCTGACATTGACTGAATTGCCTCACTGTGTACCAGACTATCTGCCAAGTCCTTTATCTGCATCATCTTACTTAATCCAGAAGATGACCACTACTAGGGATGATATTAAAAATATCTAACACTCCATTCAGGCATGAGCGTTATCAATCAGAATGGATACTGGCCTTAGTGCTAGATCAAGGTCTTAGTAGCTCTCTGTTCTGCCAAGAGTTAACACTTAGGTTATTGGATCAGTCAGGCAGGCAGGGAGAAGCAAGCATAGTAAGGAGTCAAAGGCTATGGCTGTTTACCAATCAATTTGGAAGTACTTTTATGTTTTAATAACCAGTTTAGCTGTACAGTGCATAGGGACTGAATTTCAGCCCTTGTTTCATTACTTTATTTCATGGCACAGGATGGAGCCTCAGAAAGGTTAGACAACTTGTCCATTGTAACACAGCTCGTTAGTCAAAGAGCTGGGATTCCCACCTAGGTCTGACTTCAGAGCCCACACTCTTAACCACTGGCTGACTTGTGTTCCTGAGAAGGGGTAGCATCCAGAATTGAGTTGGGATTTCCACTATTATGAGCCAGAGGAATGTGGCTTAAGTTTTGGGGCTTTGTCATGGCCTTACTGTTCTCAGGCTTGGAGTCTTGGCAAACACCTGTTCCACGTTGTTGAAGGAGCAGGCTCTGCAGAATGAGGAGGCAAAATCAAGCTGCACTGAAGGACAGGGTGGCTGTACAGGAGGCCCCACAAAGGGGCATGGAGGGGAGTGAGCCCAGCAGGGTTTGGGTGAGGACAGAGGTCTGCAGACAGTGGCCACTTCAATTTGTTTCATCTAAGTGCTAGCATTCCTCTCCTCCTTGGTCCTGAACAGTGCCTTTATGATGGATAGTGCCTTCCTGATTCCCTGGGTTTTCTCTGCCTTGGCTAGTGCAGCCTCCTGACAGCTGGAATTCCCCTAGGTCTTAGATAGTTCACCATCTTCTTTGTGGCTGGGAGAGAGTGAGATCACCAGAGTTGGATTCCTTCCTTTTATGCTATTGGCTAAGCACGATTTTTTTTAAGAAGTCTCTCTATTATTTGGAAGAAGGAGAAGGAAAAGAAGAAGGAGAAGAGAAGAGAAAGAAAAGAAGGAAGAAAGAAGAAAGAAGAAAGAAGAAAGAAGACAACAACTACAGAGAGAGTGGAAGTTCCCTATAACTCCTTGCATGATAACTGCAGGGGACCTTGTGGTTTTGCCTGTCCTGAATCTATTCCCTCTTATTCTATTGGAGAAGCCATATGTATAATGGGTTAAGTGCACAGACTTACAGCCAGGTTGCCTAGGTTTGCATCCCACAGTTGTCACTTACCAGCTGTGTGACTACAGGCACATTACTTTATCTCTCTGTGTCTCTGTCTCTTTATCTGTAAAATAGGGATAATAAAAATAGTATTGGCCGGGAGCGGTGGCTCATGCCTGTAATCCCAGCACTTTGGGAAGCCAAGACAGGTGGATCACCTGAGGTCAGGAGTTTGAGACTAGCCTGGCCAACATGGTGAAACCCTATCTCTACTAAAAACATGCCAGGCTGGGAGCAGTGCCTCGCGCCTGTAATCCCAGCACTTTGGGAGGCTGAGGCGGGTGGATCACCTAAGGTCAGAAGTTTGAGACCAGCCTGGCCAGTATGGTGAAACCCTGTCTCTACTAAAATACAAAAACATTAGCCGGGCATGGTGGCACACACCTGTAATTCCAGCTACTCAGGAGGCTGAGGCAGGAGAATTGCTTGAACCCGGGAGGCGGAGGTTGCAGTGAGCCGAGATCACGCCACTGCACTCTAGCCTGGGCGACAGAGCGAGACTTCATCTCAAAAAACAAACAAACAAACAAACAAACAAAAAATAAAATAAATAAATTAGCCGGGACTGGTGGCGCACACCTGTAATCCCAGCTACTTGAGGAGCTGAGGCAGGAGAATCCACTTGAACCCGGGAGCTGGAGGTTGCAGTGAGCTGAGATGGTACCACTGCACTCCAGACTGGGTGACAGAGTGAGACTCCACCTCAAAAACAAACAAACAAACAAAAATAGTGTTTATTTTATAGGGCTACTCTGAGGATTAAAATGAGTTAATATATGCAAAGTGCTTAGCACAGATTTTACTTTGAGGAATTACAGTGTATAGTAATAGCACCCTATTATGTACAGTTGTGGTGGAAACTATCAGCTCAGGTGTCTTGCTTTCTCTCTCTCTCTCTCCCCTTCTCTCTCTCTCTCTCTCTCCCCCAAGCAAATCTGAATCTTGAGTAAAGTGACTCAAGGATGTAGATAGTTAGCACTGCTTTATTCCAGAGCAGTGCCCTAATGACCCTGTCTATTCATTCCTGCTATCTGAATCCCGTCTTCTGCTTTTCCTTTGAGTCAGTAAGCCATCCCACATCTCTTCCCCAGATTTATGTTTTAAACTTAGGTTATCTAGAGGTGATTTATGTTTGCTTTCAGGGAACATATATTAATTTGATATATTTCTTTGTCAGTTATGACTTGTTGCAAGGTACAGAAAATCCACCCTATGATGGGTTAGGCAAAAAGAGAATGTAATGGCTTAAGTAAAGAAAAAAAAAACAGAAATAGATTGGACTTTAGGGCTGGCTGGATTCTAGGGCTTAAACAACGTAATTAATACCTGACCTCTTTCCAAGGCTCAGCTCTGCTCTCTTGAGTGTTGGCTTAATTCTCGAGATCCACATAAAGACAAGATATCTGTGGGCATCTCCAGGCCAACATACTGTCAGGTTGGAGTCCCACAGAAAAGAAGAGAGCTTCTCTTTCCCACTGCAGCCAAAGTCCTGGGCTGGCTCTCATTGGCCTGATTTGGAGTCCATGCTAATTTCAGGGTCAATCGCTGAAGACAGGGGTATGCAGTACTCAGATTGGCCAGGCTTGAGTCATTTTCCTACACCCAGAACTGGGAAGTCAAGTCAAGTCCTCCCAAAGCATATGCCCCTGCCACCACACTAGGGAAGGAAGGTGTTCCTTCCAAGAAAGGGGTGAATAGATGCTTGGTGGAGAAAAACAATAGAGGTGCCTAGAGTTTATAAGAACACATACAAGCTGTACTATCAAGCAAGTGGCACTCAAAGGGATAATTAAAGAAAGGTCAATAAGGGAATTATGTACATAGGTACGGTACAGTATGGTTGAGAGAAATCAATGAGGTATTGCCAAGCACCGTGCAGCTAGCAACAGTGGAGATCCAGTACCACCCCCAGGCCTCAATGGGTGAGGGGAGGGGGCAGAGCTGTTTATTATAGGAGATAGCTTTTTAGAGAGAGCTGTGGCTTTTGGCAGAGTAACACAGCCCTTGCCAACACATGGCCTGGTATAGAGAGATTGAGGGTGGGTGGAAAAAATACCTTGACCTCCTTCAGTTCCCTTGTGCTGCTCTCCTACTATGTCTCCCATTGGCCAAACCCAACAGGAAGGCAGGGGGCAAAGAAGCCTAGTTAGTGCAGTAGTGCAGTTCATATGCAGGCTCCTGGGGCACAGAGCAGGGTAGATTAGGGTAGAGAGAGGCAGCAAGCAGAAAACGAGATATATATATAGATATCTCTATATATCTATATATATATATATCTCCAAGTACATAGGCTTTCAAGTCAGACAGATCTTGGACAAATTCTGTCTGCATTTCAGTTACCTAGTCTGTAAAGGGGAATAATAATGGGAACTACTTGTGTGAGGACTCATGAGGATAAAGTGCTTAGCAGAGTTCCATGGCACGAGTAAGAATGATACACAGATGAACATATAAATCATGGTTGTTACTGTGCTATATTAGTTGGGACAAAGACTAAGCTGCTATAACAAATAGATCCAAACATACAATGACTCAAATGCAATAGAATTTTATTTTTTGTTTATATACAGTCTAGGGTCAGTGTCAGGTTGATGGGTGGTTCTCTTCTTTGTGGGGATTTGGGGATTAGGCTCCTTCTACCCTGAGATGCTACCATCCCTTAGGGCCTCCAGCCAGCGAAAAGGGAAAGACAGAGTGGAGGAGGCACATCTGCTTCTGAAGGCTTTGCTCTAGAAGTGGCACACGTCACTTCTTACGTTCCAGGGAAAACAAAAACCATTCTATTAGATTGGAGAGGGAATTTATAATAAGAGATTTGATACAAAAGTGTTAGAAGGGCTGGAGGAGCAAAATGCAGATGGCGAGGTTGCCCTGAGATTTCTAATTGCAGGAAGCCACTAAAAGTGTTACAAGGACTGGAGGAGCAAAATGCAGATGGTGAGGTTGCCTAGATTTCTAATTGCGGGGAGCGGGGGGCAAAAGGGAAAATGATGCTCTGCAGAGCCTTTGTTCATTGCACTGCTGCTAACTCCATTGGAGCACCTGCAGCCACCGCCACCGGAACCACCACCACTACTGCCCTGCAAGAAGCCAGGAGCTCACACTCTCACTGATGCTGCAGTGCTGAAGTCTGAAGTCACCTGCTGCTGTGGCTGTCATTGCCAGAGCTAGGGGTCATAAGAGCCATGCTGCCAAGGCAGCTGGGGTGCCTGCCACCACTGCCACTGGAAGAGGGCTAGGAGTCTGCCCATTGTTTTTGCTGCTGCTCCTTCCACTGTTGGAGAAAGAAAAACAGGCTTCTCCCTTCTTCTTTCCAAACTCCCATAAGAGCCACATGCTGGCAGAACCTAATGGGAAGTCAGTTGATAAAGGAATCTGAGAAATGTAGTTTGCAGGCTTCTAGCCCCTTGCTATACAGAGGGAAGCATAGTAGGATGAGAATAGTGTTGACAGCAAACAGACAAGTGACTGGTACTGTAAATTCAGATTGCTGAAGACTGTAGTTTCAGCCACCTTCTTGCAGCGTTTGTGGAGAGATGCTCAACTTCAGAACTAGCCCAACAATCTCTCTACACCACCCTAGATTTCTATAGAGGGCTGAGACAGGGGTGCTATGATTGTAAAGGGAGACAGACTGTAGTGTCCTCTCATTTCTTGTGGGTGTATTCAAATGGTTCCCTTCCCCAAATCTCTGGGAGGGGGACTCCTAAGAATTAGCTCATTAAGTTTTGGGGTATCATCAGGAAAGGAAGTCTTTTTCAGGTTGTATCTCAGCTGACCCACACAATGCATCAGTCTGCCTCTGTACTGCAATGGCAAGGGTGGGATGAGGTGGGAAGAAGCACTGAAGAGAGAAGGTGTGGTGGAAATGCCAGTTGGAGCGGGTAAGGACTGGGCCCTTAAGTGGTCAGTTCCTGAGATTTATGGAAGGTAGATCCTATAACCTGGTGGTGACCGGTGGAACTTTTTGCAATGATGGAAGAATTTGGTACTCAACCTATCTAGTATGGTAGTTACTAGTCACATGGGGCTATTGAGCATTTGAAGTGTAACTAGAGCAAATGAGAAACTAAGTTTAATTTTTTTTTTTTTTTGAGACAGAGTCTCACTTTGTCACCCAGGCTGGAGTGCAGTGGCACAATCTCGGCTCACTGCAACCTCTGCCTCCTGGGTTCAAGCAATTCTCCTGCCTCAGCCTCCTGAGTAGCTGGGACTACAGGCGCGTGCCACCACACCTGGCTAATTTTTTGTCTTTTTAGTAGAGACAGGGTTTTACCATGTTAGCCAGGATGGTCTTTATCTCCTGACCTTACGATCTGCCCATCTCGGCCTCCCAAAGTGCTGGGATTACAGGTGTGAGCCACCGTGCCCAGCCTAAGTTTAATTTTTAAATTAATTTTAATTTAAATAATCCATGTAGGTTGTGGTTATTAGATTGGACAGCACAGCTATAGATCCTGAAACTGGGGGTGAAGAGGCCAGACGAAATTGGGAGCTGAATGTTTTTTAAAACTCCTGCAGAGAAACATGGCATACTGCCCGCTAGAGATCTACAGAAAAATGTAGTTATGTTTCAAGGGACCATCAATACCTAAAAGAATGGCTTAGGATTGAGTATCTCACCAGCAGGGCCTATAGAAACCTCACTGCCAGCTGAGTGTATAGACAGTGAATTGGATTCGTGACGGCAAGGCTAAAATTCAACTGCCATACCAATTGTTAAAATATTGAAACATTTCCATATCAGCTTGCAAATAGCCACTTCCCCAAGTGCTTCCTGCCACCCCAGCCACTCTGCCCCCACCCCTAGAGCACCCAGGACTTTTGAAGTACCTAATGGAGTCCCTGCTGTCCCCTACCTCTGACCTGGCACAGCAGGGAGCTTTCAGGACCCTGCTCAGGGATTGGCAGGTGACTGTTCACCTGGGTTGGTGCCTGTGCCATTCTGGCTATTAAGTATTTAGAAAATCACCCCTGCTCTTGGGTACGAAAGCAACTGATGTGTGGTTATTCATGCAGGGGAATAGACATTATGGCCCACAGAAAACGGCCTGCCCCAACTCACCATTGGCATTCACATGAGAAATCCTTTTCTTCCTTTCTTCCTCCTCCTAAAACCCACTGCAGAGAAGCAATCACAAGGAAGGTGGTAGGTGTGGAAATGCTCCCTCCCTGCCCACAGCCACCAGAGCTGTAAGTCTGCCCCTCGTAGAATAGGGGCTGGGAGAGAGCTTTGGGTCAAAGGTGAAATTGAAAATTTAACTAATTTGGAAGAATTTCAGTAAACTAAAAGTGATTGAACTTGTGGGCTCTGGATTAAGGTGTTAGGTTTTTTAAAGGGAAGGCAAGGGTTAAAGAAAGACATACAGAGAGAGAGGGCAGCTCTACAGCAACACAGGTATATTGCAAAAACCTGTGGAGGTAGGGGGATCAGCTTAATGTCAGAGCCCACCGCTGCTTACAGGCTGGGGTAATTATAAGCATGTGGGGGAGGGGTCTGGGCAGTATGGCTTGCTGCCCAGGAAGATGTTGATTACGTGTTCCCATGCTGAGGCGGTTTTGGCCCTTGTTCTGGCGGAATGTGGTGTTCCTTGCACTTTCTCCCAGCAGAATATGATAAGAGGCAGGCTGTTTCTCACAGTCCGTACCCCATGGAATGTTTCACTTCGACCAAGGTCTGCGAGATGGCGGGGGAGGGGGCAGCGGGGGCTTACAAAATGGTGCGGTTTGGACTAACAGTGGAGAGGGGTGGGAGAGCGACAAGAATCGGCACTCTTGATCCAGGTGCTGGCTTCCTTACTGATCTCCTTCTGTCTGCCATCGCCAGTCCCTGGCACAGAGCCCCCTCCTTCATCCTGGCCCTGAGATGCTCAGCCACTCAGACCAGTGCTTGCCCCATTGTTTGGCCACCTGCACACACACACACACACACACACACACACACACACACACACACACACCTGCAGCCTCAGTCTGTACTTGCGGAAATGCCTGGCTCAAGCTGGGCCAATCAGATGTTGTCTCCTGGGAGTGTGGAATTTTGAATGGAGAAGAAAGAAATCTCATTATCATCACAGTGGAATCACATGCTCTGGGCAGTGTTCTAGGAAGAAAGCTCTATGATCCCTTGCTGTGGGATGTTCTAGGCCTGCCCTTCTGTGACAATTTCTTGGCTGTTCAACCCTTTCTGGGAGCCCCTGAGACACCCCCATGAACCTTCTAACATGTCATGCCAGCTCTCCCTCTCCAACTTCCCGCCATTTTTTCCCTTAAGTTAGGCGGAGCTGGTTTCTATGGCTCGCAGCCAAACACCTCTCAACTAATAAGGGCCATGCAAGATCAGAGATAGGAGGTGCGGTGAGAGGCAGCTGCCAGCAGAGGGGACTGTGGCCTCACTTTGAAGGGGCCTTTGAGTGGCCATAGAGGCCTTTGAAGGGAAGGTGGGTGAGGGAGCCAGGCAGTGAGGAGAAGGCTCTTCCTTGTGGTGTTTTATCCCAGCAAGGGCAGGGAGGGCACACAAGGAGATAATGAGATGGAAAGTCAGGGACTTTAATCCTATCACAGCTGCATCACCCACTTCACTCATGCTGTGACTTTGGGCAAGTCACTCCTCCCTCTAAGTTTGCTGACTTCGAAAACTGGGTTAAGACTAGAACCTCCCTTACAAGATCGTCGTGAGGATTAAATGTGATAATGTATCATCTTAAGTGCTTGGGACATTGTCTGGCACATACACTGTTATATATTTTTGCTGTTATTATTCTCATTTCACAAAGCACAGAACCAAAGGGCCAGAAATAGAGCCCCAGGAGAGCATATAGACATGCTTCAGACCATGGGGGGACTCTTTCTGGTACCCTGAGATTTGCAGTTCTAAAGCTAGATAGGGAGGATAGCTGGGTATCTTCCTGGGAGAGTCTGTGGGGATGAAAAGTTCCAGAGACCAGAACATGGGGATAGCCCAGAAAATGGAATCCATTCCTGATGACCAGGTGGTGGGAGTAGGGCCAGGTCATGGCTGGGAATGTGATGCATCCTGGTGAGGGCATCCACATCTCAGCATTTGTGGTCTCCAGAGATGCCCAGTTTGCTACTAGGACCTGTGATGGGCTGATTGACTCACAGGTGCTGGGGGCCAGACAGGGATCCTTAGGTGCATGTATTAGAAGCCAAGGGGACATTAAGAGATTATACCCAGCCAGGGGAATCCAGTCTTCTTGCCCTACCTTTTGGGTGCTCAAGCCCATGAGTACAGTAGGGGTTCATGTGTTGTGGACCTGGGAGATTAGAATAGCAGTTAAGATCATGGACCAAGGATGCACAGAGAGGAGGCTCCATACTCACCAGCCATGTGACTTCAGGCAGGTCACTAAATCTCTTTGAGTTTCTATTTCATCTTTAAAACTAGTTCAATTATAGTACTTTCTGTATGTGGCTATGAGGGTTATTGTAGGATTTGAGGATTTTTTGGGGGGATGGGGTTATTGTAATGATTTTAAAGCATTATCTATGCAAAGCAGTTAATATCTGGCATACTAACATTCAGTAAATGTTAGCTGCCACACTTACCATCATCAGGCCTGTCCAACTGCGGTTAGGACATGTGCACATTTTCAAGATGGAAAACTGGTCAGCAGGGGCAGCCAGGGTGGGGCTAGCCTTTCAGATCTTGGCCCCTTTCCTTCCCATCCAACCAGAGCTGAGCTTTCCCGGCTTCCAAACTTCTACAGTTGTTCTAGCCCAGAAAGGCACCCGGACAGACCCCTTCATGTGCATGCAACCTGTGCAGCCACACAGGGCTCCACTTAATTTAATGCTCTGCTGATGCCGTTTTGCAATTCTTAATAATTCTTTAATCAGGGGCCCCACGTTTTTATTTTGCACTGGGCCCCTGGAGTTAGGGAATTTTTTTCTATTCTCAGTCGCACCTATGATACCTTTCTTGCTGATTAAGTTCCTTGAATGGTTTTCTGTAGAGGTTTCTCCTCTTTACAATCATGTTGGGGATTTATGTTTAATTTTTTTTCTTTTTTGAGACAGAGTCTCGCTTTGTTGCCCGGACTGGAGTGCAGTGGTGCGACCTTGGCTCACTTCAACCTCTGCCTCCCGGGTTCAAGCAGTTCTCCTGCCTCAGCCTCCTCAGTAGCTGGGATTGCAGGCGCACACCACCATGCCCAGCTAATTTTTGTATTTTAGTAGAGACAAGGTTTCACCATGTTGGCCAGGCTGGTCTCAAACTCCTGACCTCAAGGGCCACCTCGGCCTCCCAAAGTGTTGGGATTACAGGCATGAGCCACTGTGCCCGGCCTATGTTTAATATTTTATCTTTAAAATACTTGAGTTTTTATATTAGTTTGGTAACTTTATCATTCAAATTGTTTGTCTTTAGGATTGTCCACTTTTATTTTCTGTCTTTTGAATATTTAACTCTTGGTTGTGCTAATTTATTTATTATGTTTCTTCTTTAACATTTTTGCCACTTAAAGAAAAACTCTGAGTTTAATGATCTTAGAGCTTTTACTTTACTCATTTTGCCCTGAGAGTCTTCTTAACCTTTAAATTTTCATTTCTCATTAAGTTTAATTGTATTACTTTTTAAAATCTTCCATCTGACAGTCATTGCCTTATAAGGGCAGTTTCTCAGTGTTTGTCTAATATTAATAATGTTAATAACACTACTACTAAGACACAAAATGCTGTTAACATTGTGGTGTGGATTCTTTCAGATTATGTATCTAGGTATTCATCTGTCCTGCTGGCCTATCTAAATATATATACATCATATACATATACATGTATATATACATATACATATACATATAATTTTCAATTTGTTCCTCTCAATATATTTTTGGTCATCTTTCTAAAACAATATACAAATTTTTTCTTTAAAAATTGTTGTAATAACTATGTTTCCACTTTATGTATGCATCATAGTTTATTTAATCAATCTACTCATGTTGGATTTTGAATTGTTAACAGTTCTCTATTATTAGAAATTATGTCATGGAGAATATCCTTGCGGATAAGCCTTAGCTCAGATTTATGATTTACTCCTAGGATAAATTGTAGAAGGATAAACTGCTGGATTGGGGGATATGAACTGTTTATAAATTTTTCATCAAGTGTTTTAACATGAAGTATGTTCTCATGGTATAAAATTCAAAAGGTACAAAAGGGTGCATAGTGAGATTTCTGTCCTTTCCCCCCACCTCCCCTCCCCATAAGTCCTCCAGCCATCCATTTCTCCTCCCCAAAGCTATCTCATATTACCAGGTATTAGGAACATCTTTAAGGTTATTGACATAAGCCATCTTATCAGATTGCACTCCAGAAAAGATGCAGTGTAGGAGAGTGCCTGTCTTGCAATGGCTTTGCTACAGTTTCATATTTTTAATTTGATTAATACTTTTACATTTAAATTTTGATAATATTTTGTTTTATTTTATTTTATTTTTTGTGAGATGGAGTCTCGCTCTGTCACCCAGGCTGGAGTGCAGTGGCTCGATCTTGGCTCACTGCAAGCTCTGCCTCCCGGATTCATGCCATTCTTTTGTCTCAGCCTCCCAAGTAGCTGGGACTACAGGCACCCGCCACCAAGTCCAGCTAATTTTTTTGTATTTTTAGTAGAGACGGGGTTTCACTGTGTTAGCCAGGATGGTCTCGATTTCCTGCCTCGGCCTCCCAAAGTGCTGGGATTACAGGTGTTAGCCACCGCGCCCGGCCGATAATATTTTAAATTTTAATTTTACGTTTTCTTTTTCCTCTTTTCTAGTTACAAAATGCGTGTTCATTGTAGTAAATTTAAACAATAAAAGAGAATATAGAATAAAAAGTAAAAGTCCTCCCCTCCCACTCTACCCAATCCTGCTGCCTTCCTCAAGGGCATCTCTAGTTAAGTTTGGAGTCTTTCCTTTCCTTCTTTCCAGACCATTTGTTTCCCTTGCAAACACACACACATCCCCTGAGCTTGCTCCTGATTCGTTCTATCATTCCCCTATTAATGTATATTTATAATTATCTTTCATTTCTCACTGTCAGAAACTTTGCTTTAGTGAACAAGCACGTATACTGAATCTCTTCTGTAGGGTTGGTTCCTAATATTGCTATCAGTAAACACACCCACTGCAGAATATGAAATTGGTTATTTCCCATATCTTGGCTCAAATTGGGTACCATCTATCTTTAAAGTTTGCCAATTTGATAAAAAATTATATCTTGTTTTGATTTAACTTATATCCCCTGATAATTACTGAGGTTGAATATATTTTCATTTAATTTTTGACCTTTCTTATTTATTTGTGACTGGCCTTTGTATACCCTTGGGCCAGTTTTCAATTGGGCTATCTTTTTCTTGTTAATTAGTATATCCTTATATGTTATAGGTAATTTTTTGCCTATCATATTTTCTCAGTCTGTGTTTTTTAGCTTTGTTTAGGAATTTTTTTTTTTTTTGGTATACAGAGACTTCTCATTTTACGTAGTAAAGTCTATCCATGTCTACATTTTCTTCTGATATTTTTAGAATTTTATTTCATATATTCAGACCCCTTCCTTCCTTCCTTCCTTCCTTCTTTTTTTCAGAGCCTCACTCTGTCACCCAGGCTGGAGTGCAGTGGCATGATCTCAGCTCACTGCAACCTCTGCCTCCCAGGTTCAAGTGATTCTTATGCCTCAACCTCCCGAGTAGCTGGGACTACAGGCGCACACCACCATGCCTGGCTAATTTTTGTATTTCTAGTAGAGACAGGGTTTCACTATGTTGGCCGGGCTGGTCTCAAAATCCTGACCTCAGGTGATCTGCCCACTTCAGCCTCCCAAAGTGCTGAGATTACAGGTGTGAGCCACCACACCTGGCCTATTTTGTATATGCAGATCTTTGATCGATCTAGAATTTATTTTGAAATATGTTGTGAGGTAGGTACCCAACTTTATTTTTTCTCTTTTTGTTTTAAAAATCTATTTCTAAATGAGTTGAAATCATTTTTGTATGATCTAGATGCAAATAGAAAGACAGAACTTCCCCAGGAGAGGATTGTTGACAGTTTCATAGAGCCATGGTAGGCTAATGGTGATTTCTCTTTGACAATGTTCCTCACCCAAATTATTTTGGCCATACCTTGGGGTGCTCATTTTTGTAGAGACCTTGTCTCTGCAAAAATTACAAAGATTAGCTTGGCATACACTCACCCTGTGGCTAGGCATTAGTCCTAGCTACTTGGGAGGCTGAGGCGAGACAATCGCTTGAGCCCAGCAGTTTGAGCCTTCAGTGAGCTATGATTGTGCCACTGCACTCCAGCCTGGGTGACAGCGCAAGACCCTATCTCTACCAAACAACCAACCAACAAACACCTTGTGATACCTGTGATTGTATTTTTTATTGATTGTGTTTTTGTATTTAATATTGAAATAGTAACATACTAGTTGGTTTTATTGTTGGTACATTGTAATACTTAGAGTAAGTGTGTGGAGTTTTGTTGCCCTGTGATTTAGTTTCAGGGAAACTGGAGGCCAAAGGAGAAGAAGTCAAAGCAAGGTAGTTAATGAGGTTGGGTGAGACCTGTGGGATGTGGTGTGAGGAGCATTGGATGGGAAAGAAAAGGCCCCCAGGATAAAATAAACATGGAAAGGATGAGGACACAGGGTTTGACTGTGTAATGGAAATGTTTTTTCTGTTTGAAACGAACAAACAAAATACTTCTATAATTTGTATTCTGAAAGGAGAATTTGTAGGTGGGAAGAGACCTCTAACTAAATTATGCAATTCTGCCTGCGTTCTGCCGCCCACAGACACAGGCATTGTGCTAAACAGGGCTGCTAAATAGGTATGGACGGTGGAGATTGGGACAGTTGATAAAATATTAATAGTAACATGTTAGTTGGCAAATGGTAAATACTAACTGCAATAAATAGCAAAGTTAATTATTTATAAATCTAAGATATAACATAAACTCATTAGGACACATTCATGAACATTGATAAATGGGCCTCCTAAAATAGAAACTTCTCAGAAGCATTAGCTGCACTATCTGCCACTTCGTCCACGTCACGGCAAACAGCACACGCTACATTGCTCATTTTTTATGGGGCACTCTGTGCTTTAGAGAAATAATGAGTTTATCTTTATCCTCAAATTGCTCACTTATTAGTGCTTCTAAATAACTTAGCCTTGACTTTGGTTTTATTGTTGGTGCATTATATTAAGTTGGTGCAAAACTAATAGCCATTATGTTTAATGGCAAAAACCGCATTACTTTTGCTCCAAATAATATTTATAGTAAGTGTGCGGGGTTTTGTTTCCTTAAAAGATCCAGAACTTACAGGAAAATTGTAAAAAGAACACCCAGGATGAAGAGACAACTGTGTTTAGGTAAGTGTTCCTTTTAAATATCATAAATAAAAATATTTTGGCTGGGCGTAGTAGTTCACCCCTGTCATCACAGCACTTCAGGAGGATCCCTTGAGGCCAGAATGTTCAAGACCAGCCTGGGCAACATAGGGAGACCCCCGTCTCTACAAAAAAAAATATATAGAAAAATTCTCTGGGCACGGTGGTGCACACCTGTGGTCATAGCTACTCAGAAGGCTGAGGCAGGAGGATTGCTTGAGTCCAGGAGGTCAAGGCTGCAGTGAGCTATGATTGCAGCACTGCACTCCAGCCTGGGTAACAGAATGAGACCCTATCTCTACCAAAAAAATAAAAATAAAAATAAATAAAAATCTGAATCTGGGGGACAAATTTTTAAGAATATATTAATAAGGAAAATCAATACTATGTAAAACTCACAACAGCCTGGAAATGACTTTGATGCTATAGATAATTCATTGAAAATAAACCAAATAACTTGTCTTTCTAGAAGGAAAACAGACTTAGTATTTCAACAAAAATTATGAGTAGATGATAAGTGCTAGTGAAGTAAATGTGGGATGAAAAGGTGCCCAAATGTGATTAAAAGTTGAAAGTTGCTCAACTTGTGTGGCACTTAAACCATTCAGAATGGCAATTACATTCTGTTAAAGCTCATGATTTGTATCAGTCAGGATTAAATCAGACAAGCAGAAACACGGAAAAGGGAATTTATTATAGAGATTAGTCCTTACACAGTTGTGGGGATTTGTTTAGGACATAGGTGGATTATCTTTGCTCCCCCATGCCCAGGGCCTCGGCTGGGAAAATTTGACAGCTGAGGGCTAAAATCATCTGGGGACATTGTCACACACATCATCAGGTGTTTGACACTGGCTGTTGATGTTGACACCGGTGCTGTTGAGGTATGGAATGTAACTGAGATCTGACCAATGGAATGTGAATGAAAGTGATGTGTGTCTCTTCCAGGCCTGGCCCATACAAACCTCTCATGCATCATGCTTTCTCCCCTCCATTTATCAGCTGAGTGAAGAGGACTTCAACAATAGATAGGAAGGCAAAATCCTAAGGTGGAAGAAGTCTGGGTCTCTGAATGACTGTGTAGACTAAAGCCCTCACCAACCTGCCTCAGGTTGTGACATGAATGAGAAACAACTTTCTATGAAGTTAAGCCATTTACCTTTTTGGAGTTGTTTGTTATAGCAGCTAATGCTGATTACCCTAATAACCATTTATCAAGGGAATCAACATTACCTGGTTATTTACTGAAGTTACACGTCACCAGAGATTTTCACCTGGTGTGTGATCTGGAGCTGCAAACATCCATGGTGATTCTCACCATGACAACTGTTACATAAGCCCTTTTTATGATCGCCATAGCAGGGGTTGGCCCTGTAACTCCTATTACCTAAAATGTGTGATACGGTTTGGCTGTGTCCCCACCCAAATCTTGTCTAGAACTGTAGTTCCCATAACTCCCATGTGCTGTGGGAGGGACTCAATGGGAGGTAATTGAATCATGGGGGCGGTTACCTCCAAGCTGTTCTTCTGACAGTGAGTGAGTCTCACCAGATCTGATAGTTTTATAAGGGGCTTTCCCCCCCACCCCGCTCTGCACTTCTCCTTGCTGCCTCCATGTGAAGAAGGACGTGTTTGCTTCCCCTTCCACCATGATTGTAAGTTTCCTGAGGCTTCCCCAGCCCTGTGGAACTGTGAGTCGATTAAACCTCCCAGCAGCTCCAGGACCACCACTGGCTCCCCACCCCACCTCACCTCTGGCCCCATTTCATCATCCTCGCCTCATCCTTCCCTCCCTTCTGCGACCCTGGCCTGTATTAGAGCACTCTTGAGAAAAAGAACCAATGGGATGCATTAGAGAGAGAGAGATTTATTTTATATTTATTTATTTATTTATTTGAGACGGAGTCTTGCTCTATAGCCCAGGCTGGAGTACAGTGGTGTGATCTTGGCTCACTGCAACCTCCGCCTCCTGGGTTCAAGCAATTCTCCTGCTTCAGCCTCCCGAGTAGCTGGGATTACAGGTGCGTGCCACCACGCCTGGCTAATTTTTGTATTTTTTAGTAGAGTCGGGGTTTCACCGTATTGGCCAGGCTGGTCCTGAACTCCTGACCTTGTGATCCACCTGCCTCAGCCTCCCAAAGTGCTGGGATTACAGGTGTGAGCCAGTGCACCCAGCTGAGAGATTTATTTTAAGGAATTGGCTTGTGTGATATGGGGACAGGCAAGTCTGAAATCCATAGGGCAGGTTGGCAGCCTGGAAATTCAGGAAGAGTTGATGCTGCATTCTCAAGTGAGAAGGCTGGAAACTCGAACAGAATTTTGATGTTGCAGTCTGGAGACAGAAATCCTTCTTCCTTGGCATACCTCAGTCTTTATTTATTTATTTTGGAGACAGGGTCTCACTCTGCCGCCCAGGCTGGAGTGCAGTAGCGTCATCACAGCTCACTGCAGCCTCAACCTCCTGTATTCAAGCAATCCTCTCATCTCAGCCTCTCCAGTAGCTGGGACTATAGGCACGAGCCACCACGCCTGGCTAATTTTTGTATTTTTAGTAGAGACAGGGTTTCCTCACATAGCCCAGGATGGTCTTGAAGTTCTGAGCTCAAGCGATCCACCTGCCTCAGCCTCCCAAAGTGCTGGGATTACAGGCGTGAGCCACTGCTCCCAGCCCCTCAGTATTTATTTTTAATTGGCTAGTTCAAATAATTTAAACAGGCTCCAAAGCTGTCCTTAGGTGTCTGGTACCCTGGGGTGATTAGGGCAGGCGGATAGTGACCTGACCTCAGCTTGGGAGAGACCAGTTGAGTAGATGGTTGTGTTTATGGGCTTTGAATGGGTTACTTCGCATAAGAAAAGCGTGCTCTAGGATGTTGTTTGCAATCTCTAGGAATTAGCTAGCAAGGGAGAGACAGTCCATGCACGGTAAGGCCCCAAGTTCAACTGATGGGCCCAACCACTTTATAGAGGGGAGTCTGCTTTACTAAAAGTTTATGAGTTTCAATGCTGATCACAGGCCAGACACAGCAGCTCATACCTGTAATCCCAGCTCAAGATGGGAGGATCACTTGAGCCCGAGACTTTGAGGTTACAGTGAGCCATGATTGTGCCACTGCACTCCAGCCTGGGCAACAGATCAAGACCTTCTCTTAAAAAAAAATGTGGATCACATGCAAAAAATTACCTTCATAGCAACAGCTAGACTGCTATACTGTTGTTTGTCCAAACAACTGGGCACCACAGCCTGGCCAAATTAACACAAAATTAACATCACATGGCCCCTTTGCCATTCCTTGAAGGCAGGCGTTGTCCTGTCTCAGAGAGTGATTCCCAAATATCTGCGGAGCTGGCTCCCTCTCCTCCTTTGGAATTTGCTGGATATTGCCTTAGTGCAGTCGCTTCTGATAGGCCCCTTTTGCATGGCAAGCCCTCCTCCAGCCCCAGCACTCCCAGTCCCCCTCCGCTGGGCTTCTTTGTGTGTTGTCTCAGCTGAGTCATGCCTCAAAGGTGCAGTTTTCTACTCTGGTATGTTCTAGTCATGAACGCCTGGACTATAACCCATTTAACAGTCAGGACGTTATCTAACTTGCACACTGTGCTGGCGATTAAGCTGTCATCTCTCTGCTCCAAACCCTCCTTTCTATGACCTGCTTTGTGAAGCTGGGCTGGGACTCTGAAAACCACATTTCTGCTTTGCTGGCTGTTAGGCTTTGTCAATAGGGGACGCTCCAGGGTGTTTTAATGGAACCCGGATTTGCATTTGTTTTAATCAGGTATTGTAAGACAAGCAGACTTGGAAGGGAATGTCATGAAGGAAGAGGTTTACTCACAGTTCCCTAGAAATGGGAGACATGAGATACCATGGATGTGGGGGTAGGGGCACAGAGAAGCCCCGGGGTCGGTCAGGAGGCAGAAGGAACAAGGGGAAAATGTAGGCAAGAGTTTTTATTGTGATTTTCATTGGAAAGAACAGCCAAGGTAGGGTAAGTAGGCCTAGAACTGGCTTGTTCGAATAACTTCAACAGGCTCCTAAGAAGCTGTCCTTAGGTGTCTGGTACCGGGGCCTGGGGTCATTAGGGCAGGCGGATAGTGACCTCAGCTTAGGAGAGGCTTGGTTAGCATAGATAGTTGTGGTTATGGGCTCTGGATGGGTTACTTTGCATAAGAAAGGCGTGCTCTAGGTTAAGTTGTTTACTATCTTTAGGAATTAGCTAGCGAGGGAGAGACAGTCCCTGCAGGATCAGTAAGGCCCCAAGTTGTCAAAACATCGAATAAAAGAAAATAAAAAGACATGATTAATACACAGGGAGAGAGGGCATGCAATGATGGGGATGGAAGAAGAAACTTACTTCTTCTGTTGGTTCCCTGTGAATTTCCTGTGGCTGTCTGATGGCCTGTATTTTCAGCGAGCATCACTCCAGCAAAGCTTCTATTCTACTCCCTGGCAGCAGCAGCACCTTCCTGGAGCAGCAGCTGAGACCAGTTGCTCTGCAATTCTCTCCAGAACTGACTCTGCAATTTCCCACCACTTGCAGAGTCAGCCCCAATATGGTCTTCTCAGAGACACCAGCACCAGCCAGACAGTGCCCTGTCCCCAAGAGGCCTGGGTCTCAGCCCCATGGAACCCTCTTCCAGGTTCAAAGGCACCAGCATCATCCAAGCAGCAGCCACCCATCCTCAGAGATGAGTTTCAGCTCTGGAGTCCCCTTCTTCTAAACTTACAAATTTTAATAATTCAAACCTCTTCTCCCAGTTCCCTCAGTCTTAGGAGTGGTAGCTACTCATCCATAATATGTTGGTGTGTTGTTATTTGAGAGACAGGGCCTTGCTTTGTTGACAAGGCTGGAGTGCAGTGGCATGAAGACAGCTCAATGCAGCCTCAATATCCTGGGTCAAGCAATCCTCATGCCACAGCACCCTGAGTAGCTGGGACTACAGGCATGCGCCACCACGCCCAGCATTTTTTTTTTTTTTTTTTTTTTTAGAGAGAGGGTCTCACTATGTCGTGCAGGCTGGTCTCAAATTCGGTGGTTTTCCTTTTTCTTTTTTCTTTTTTTTTCTCTTTTAGTGACTTCATTCACAACTTTATATCTAGTTAGCAATTATTTATATTCAATTCTCTTTGTTCACATGGTGGTATTCTGTCTCATTGGACCATAGCTGCTTGAGAAATTGGTCTCAGGAGTGGTCCCAAGAAATAACTCCTCAAAAATGTGTTTTTGTGTGTGTGGTTTTTTTTGTTATTGTTTTTGTTTGTTTGTTTGTTTGAGATGGAGTCTCGCTCTCTCGCCCAGGCTGGAGTACAATGGTGTGATCTCAGCTCACTGCAACCTCCACCTCTCGGGTTCAAGCGATTCTCCTGCCTCAGCCTCCTGAGTAGCTGGGATTACAGGCATGCGCCACCATGCCTGGCTAATTTTGTATTTTTAGTAGAGACGGGGTTTCTCCATGTTGGCCAGGCTGGTCTCAAACTCCCGACCTCAGGCGATCCTCCCACCTCGGCCTCCCAAAGTGCTGGGATTACAGGCGTGAGCCACGGCACCCTGCCATTGTGAGCCACGGCACCCTGCCGTGATATTACTTTAATGTGTTCTTGGGCTTGAACTCAGTGCCGAGCTCCACTGGCAATGGAAAATGGCATGCTAGCAATCCATGGCATACAGTGACATTATGATTAATCACATAATTGCCTGTGGTTGATTGTGATGAAGTGCCTATTACAAGTGCCTTGGGGGACAAGGTGGCTGTTTCACTTGGTCATTATGGCAGTGATGATGACTGCAAGAACTATTTGGGATGTGGGATGGATTCTTTTGAATGCACTAGAGTGCTTATAGAAAGAAATGACAAGCTCAACTGAATATTCACTTGGGACTATGACTAAATTTGAGAAGTAATTAACATGTCTTAGAAGTGGATGATATGAATGTCTCCCAAAAATGGATACAGTAATTATTGCAACTTTGCATCTCTTCGTTTTTGGGGAGAGGATTTGTTTATATGAAAGGTAGTTGTATCTTGTTAGACAGAAAGGCGGTTGTTTTTAT
This sequence comes from Homo sapiens, assembly GCF_000001405.40. NCBI lineage: Eukaryota > Metazoa > Chordata > Mammalia > Primates > Hominidae > Homo > Homo sapiens. Next base: position 39,714,095 of record NC_000001.11, read on the forward strand.
TGTCTTGAAAAGTTGACATATATGGAGAAAGATGTAAAAATATGTGCACATGGATCTTGAATAGCTGAACCAATGGACTGTGCTGGTTCTTAAGCTCTTGTCTATTGCTTCAACTCATCCTTCTATACTCTGCACCATGATGCTGGGACAGGGACTCTGCAAACTGTATTTCTGCATTGCCAAAAGCAGGCTTTCTGTTAGGCTGTGTTGATGGGTAGTACAAGAGGGAGACTGCAAGGCTGAAGGAGGAAGGAATTGGTTTCTTTCCTTGGTCTTCCTGAACTTGTGAGCATCACCTAGCAACACTTCCTCGCCTGGGCCACAATGAGGTAGGAGGCAGGACTCAACTCCAGAAATGGGGCTCAGACACTGCACCAGATTGAGGACTAGCTAAAACAGGGTAGGGGTGGAAGCCGCTTTCCAATCAAACACGCCCACCATGTACCATGTCAATTTATCATTGTCATGGCAACACCAGGGAGTTACCGCCTCTTTCCATGGCAATGACCCAATGACCCAAAATTACTATGCCTTCCCTAGAAATTTCTGCACAAACTGCCCCTTGATCTCCATCCAGTTAAAAGTGGGTATAAATATGACTGCAAAACTGCCCTGAGCTGCTGCTCTCCGCCTCCAGTGTAGCCTTGCTCAGAAGGAGCAGTCACAGAGTTGCAACACTGTAACACCACTAGAGCTATAACACTGCTTCTTCAGTAAAGCTGTTTTCTTCTATCTCTGGCTTACCCTTGAATTCTTTCCTGGGCAAAGCCAAGAACCCTCATGGGCTAAGCTCCACTTCGGGGCTTGCTTGCCTTGCATCAGCTGCAGTTCCTTCCTGTGGAGGTTGCTGAATCCAGTTTGCAAATTTCCCAACATTTGCAGAGCAGCCTTATTGTGCTTCATTCAGAAACTCCAACAGCTGAGTGGCACCTCTTCCTCAGAGATCTGAGGTGCAGCTCTGCAGGGCCCCTCGGCTAAGCTTTTTTTTTGTTTGTTTGTTTGTTTGTTTGTTTTTGAGATGGAGTCTCGCTCTGTAGCCCAGGCTGGAGTACAGTGGTGTGATCTTGGCTCACTGCAACCTCCACCTCCTGGGTTCAAGCAATTCTCCTGCCTCAGCCTCCCGAGTAGCTGGGTTTACAGGTGCGCGCCACCACGCCTAGCTAATTTTTGTATTTTTTAGTAGAGACGGGGATTCACCATATTGGCCAGGCTGGTCCTGAACTCCTGACCTTGTGATCCATCTGCCTCAGCCTCCCAAAGTGCTGGAATTACAGGCGTGAGCCACTGCACCGGGCCGACAAGATTCTTTATATTAAATTTTCTCTGCTCATATTAAATTTTCTCTGCTCAAATAACTGCTGTGGTTTCTGTCTTCTGATTAGACCCTTCTTGATACAAACACCTTAGCATCCTTTGGATGGAGAATTGTGTCTGATATAATAGATGCTATAAATGATGTTTGTTGAATTAATGACAGTGACATTTAGTAAGTTCTTGCCACCTCAGGCTTTGTTCTACATGTGTCATCTCATTTCATCATTAAAGTAATCTTATGAGATAGGAACTATTTTCCCTAATAAAAGACAAAATAAATACTGATATGTAGTGAGTATTAAACTGAGTGTACTGCTAGGTAAGGCAGAGGAAGCCTGATCCAATACAAAGTTCGGCCATGCACGATTGGGTCTTCAGATTAAATGTTAAAGAATAACTCAGGACAATTACCTAAGCATTGAGAGTTTCCTTTTTTTTTTTTTAAACAGTATTTTATTTTATTTTGTATTTTTGTGGGTACATAATAGGTGTATATATTTATGGGGTACATGAGATATTTTGATACAGGCATGCAATGTGTAATAATTACATCAGGGTAAATGGGGTATTCATCACCTCAAGCATTTATCATTTGTGTTACAAACAATCCAATTATACTTTTTTTTGTTTGTTTGAGATGGAGTTTCACTCTTGTCGCCCAGGCTGGAGTGCAATGGCGTGTTCTAGGCTCACTGCAACCTCTGCCTCCCGGGTTCAAGCTATTCTCCTACCTCAGCCTCCTGAGTAGCTGGGACTACAGGCGCGTGCCACCACACCTGGCTAATTTTTTTTGTATTTTTAGTAGAGATGGGGGTTTCACCACGTTGGCCAGGCTGGTCTCAAACTCCTGACCTCAGGTGGTCCACCCGCCTCGGCCTCCCAAAGTGCTGGGATTACAGGCGTGAGCCACTGCACCCAGCCTAATTATACTCTTTTAGTTATTTTTAAATGTACAATTAAATTATTATTGACTATAGTCCCTCTGTTGTGCTATCAAATACTAGATCTTATTCATTATTTCTAACTATTTTTGTACCCATGAAGCTTCCCCATTTCCTCCCCCCACACTCCCTATTACCTTTTGCAGCCTCTGCTAATCATCCTTCTACTCTCTATCACCATGAGTTCAATTGTTTTAATTTTTAGCTCCTACAAATGAGTGAAAGTGAGAACATGTGAAGTTTGTCTTTCTGTGCCTGGCTCATGTCGCTTAACATAATAACCTCCAGTTCCATCCATGTTGTTGTAAATGACAGAATCTCATTCTTTTTTTACGGCTAAATAGTACTCAACTGTATATGTACCACATTTTTAAAAATCCATTTGTTTGTTGATGGACACAGAAGTTGTTTCCAAATCTTGGCTATTATGAATAGTGCTACAATAAACATGAGAGTGCAGATACCTCTTCGAAATACTGATTTCCTTTCTTTTGGGTATATTCCCATCAGTGGGATTGCTGGGTCATGTGGTAGCTCTATTTAGAGTTTTGAGGAAACTCCAAACTGTTCTCCATAGTGGTTGTACTAATTTACATTCCCACCAACAGTGTATGAGGGTTTCCCATTTCTCCACATCCTCACCAGCATTTGTTATTGCCTGACTTTTGGATAAAAGCCATTTTAATTAACTGGAGAGAGATGATATCTCATTGTAGTTTTGATTTGCATTTCTATGATGATCAGTGATGTTGACTACTCTTTCATATAAGCATTAAGGGTTTACTTTTAGGTGAGTAGTATACAAGGAAGAGCATGCCTCGTGAAGACTGACACCCAGTCCAAAGGCAAGGGTAGGCTTATAAGGGCAAAAGCCACACAGTTTCATAAGGAGAGGTGATTGGTTTAAATAAGTCTTTAGCTTGTCCTCTCAGGATTATTTGGCTGTAATGGAACTGAGCCCCAATTCCATCTGTGCTTTTTTGAATCTTTATTGACCCAGTAAGTCCACGAAGTTGAATCCAAATAAACACTTGAGGCACAAATCGCAAACACAAGAAGTTCCTCATCAGGTTAGGGTTTTTGTTTGTTTGTTTGTTATGGGTTTTTTTCTGATTCTGATCAATTTTCCCAGAAGCAGTTGCTTTGGTTCCTTCTTCTGGGACCCTAACTGATTGATTTTTGCATTTTATTACTCATCCAGGCTCAAAGTCAAGCAGGGTGTAAGTCCATCTACACATGCTCAAGGCTTAGCAAAAATTTCCTTTATCATCTCACTTTTACAGGTGGACCTGTGCCACAGAGGAATTAAGTAACCTTCCCATGGTCACATAGCTGGTAAGTCATAGAGCCAGACTTTGGTAGGTGTGGTAGGTAATTTATTTTTCATGTGAATCAATTTCCCGCTGCCATTCTAACCTTTACGTACCCCTATGGGCCAATCCTTCCTAGTCAAGCAGGTTGACTTCAGAATTAGTGCATTTAACCACTTTGCTGGACTGCTTCGAGGAGAAAAAGAGACAGAGAGGGGAAAGGAGGGAAGAAGAGAGAAGGAGGGCGTTCCTCTGTGTGTATTAAGAGCATGTACTTTAGTGGCAAATAGATGTAGGTTAAAATCCCAGATATGGGTGAATTGAGCGCTGCTGGTGGGCAGTAGAGTCACTGCACCACCGCCGGGACCATGGTGTTCTACTTCACCAGCAGCAGCATTAATTCATCCCAGTACACTATTTACATGGGAAAGGATAAATATGAAAATGAAGATCTGATCAAGCACGGCTGGCCTGAAAATATCTGGGAGAGAACATAGAAGACATTCCAAAGGAAGTGCTGATGGACTGTGCCCACCTTGTGAAAGCCAGTAGCATTCAAGGCTGCAAGATGAACGTTAATGTGGTATATACGCCGCAGTCTAACCTGAAGAAAACAGCTGACATGGATGTGGGGCACATAGGTTTTCACAGGCAGAAGGATGTAAAAATTGTGACATGGGAGAAAAAAGTAAATGAGATCCTGAACTGATTAGAAAAGACCAAAGTGGAGTGGTTCCCAGACCTAGCAGCAGAGAAAGAATGCAGAGATCGTGAAGAGAGGAATGAGAAAACAGCCCAAATTCAGGAAATGAAAAGGAGAGAAAAAGAAGAAATGAAGAAGAGGGAAATGGATGAACTTAGGAGCTATTTACCACTAATGAAAGTTGAAAATATGTCTTCAAATCAGGATGGCAATGATTCAACTGAATCCATGTAAAAGGAGAAAAGGACCTTTGAAAGATGTGAATGTAGAGACAATTGCAGACCTTTTGGTTTCATCTGTATTCTGAAGTATAAAATACAACCAAAATTCTACCTTCATCCTACCCAGAAATTATTGATTTTGGAGTTTTAAAAAAATTGTACCTTTTTTGTTGACAGAAAAGGATCAGATATGTATAAAATAGTTGAACTTGACAGCATATAACTTAAAGCAAAAATGTTTTTGCCAGAACATGTCTTGGTACTTTGTGAAAGCTGGCTGCCCTTGTTCTTGAGATTGACTTTAAAATGAACCACTCTGAAAAGTACTTCTGTTGCTGTGATCTATCCCTGAAAACAGATGTCTTGAAACACTTTTCATATTCTTAAAATAATCTTCACTTCTGTTAAGAAGAACATGTTGGTGGGTAATTATGCGAATGTTTCCCTGTCCCTGATTTCCAGATTAGAAAAAAGGGCATATGGGTTTTGAAAAAGAGATTTTCAGAAGATTGTCAGCTTCAGTATTCACGTTCCATCGTGTCATCTGGGTCTGTTAGTGTAGTGACCCACAGCACAGTCTGTCCCAGCTTTTACGTCCTTGCTTCTTCTGAGCAGGGCCTCCTCCATCTTAGTATCATCATATTTAAAGAAATTGATGGTGTTCATCAAGGTGGGGCCTGTGGCAGTTGTTGCCTGAGCACCAAGTAACCCAAGCCACCTATGCAACAACTTCTGGGCTCTGGAGTAATTTCTCAGCATTGAGGGTAAAATAGGAAGGAATGCTCTGTTGATCATTTGGCAGATGTAGGTTACCTGATTTGTGCCTTGGGATGCAGCATGAAGCAGAAGTCCATATTGCAATTATGATTTTAGAAGGAAATAAGCGTTTCACTAGCCAGCCAAGTAATTATATTCTTTACCTTGAAATCATATTTGAGTTGTGGCCCCAGAGTTCAATTTCTCATTGTAGATTCAGTAACTTACTATATAACATTACTTCTCACTTGAACCACTCACTATCTGTTGTGATTCTGAGCAGAAGATGTCTTTTGATTGCAGTATGTAAGGGAACCCCTGTAGAAGGAGACAAAACAAGAAGAAAGAGAACAAAGCCTGCAGGACCAGAGGCATACAGGTGGACATTTTACTCACACCCACAGCAGCAAGAATGACCTCCTGCAGCAGATATTCCACCTGTAATAGCGCTTTGGAATTCTGGGCAAAACCAAAAGGCTAGTGTTTCCAAATATTCCATGTTGGTGTATGGGGTTGAACTGGAAAATTCCCTGAGGCATGATTCATTGGCCAAATTTTGATAGGGTATAGAAGATGACTTTAGAGATGAGTGGTTTTGTGTACGTGTCTAATGATATTCAGCTTGACGTTCTGCAATTTTAAAAGTTATAATAAAGTATAATTTTTTATCTGAAAAAAAATCCCAGATCTGCTTTTTGCTATTTACAAGTTATGTGAACTAAGAAAATTATTTAGATTTTCTAAGGCTCAGTCTCTTCATCTGTAAAAATGAGAAAAAAAAAAAAAGTACATAACCTAAAAGGGCAGTTTATTCTAGATGGTTTTTTAAAACAGCATACCAATTTATGATCCATGACTGCCCCCTAGAGGTAAAATTAAAATACTGCTCCATAATTGTGCTAAATATAATCCCGGAAAGAAGGTACAGACTACAGCTGTGATTATAGGTTCAAGTTGACAGCAAGACTCATGAGACAGAAATAAATTGTAACCTAGAATACAAGGCAGAAGATATGGCAGATGCTACATCTTTATCTCACCAGGTGGCCCAGCAGCTACCGAAGTACACATGTCCTGTTGTCATTCATCCACAGGGCAATTACAGCTGCCACGGGCTAGCCAAGGTGTGCAGCGATCACTTTGACTCATAGAACCTAAAGCCTTAGTCAGGCGCAGTGGCTCATACCTGTAATCCCAGCACTTTGGGAGGCTGAGGCAGGAGGATCTCTTGGGCCTAGTCTGAGACCAGCCTGGGTCTCAGGCAAGGCCCTGTCTCTTTAAATAAATAAATAAATAAATAAATAAATAAATAAGTAAGTAAGTAAATAACCTGAAACCTCTATTTCTCACCAATATTTCCTGCCATTCCCAGTTGCATACGCTCATGACCTGTATGCTCACTGACAATGCCTCCAGACCCATGCGCAGTTCCACACAATTGTGTAGTCAGCATACACAACATCCCCTGTTTATGTTAACTCTGCAGTTTCCAAGGAAACAGTATTGTGGAAGACCAAGGTCAGTGTCAGGCAGGCTTGCATCAGCCCCAGCCTGATATTAATTTTCCCTTTACTCACAGAAGCATAATTTAACATTAAGAAATGTTTCCCTGTGATTTGCCAATTAAGTGATAAAGGAGAAAAATCATACAATCCTCTCAAAAATGCAAAAAACATCATTCAACAAAACTAAATGTGGATTCATAATTTTTAAAAAACCCTTAACAAATTAGGAATAGAAGGGAACTTTTTCAACCTGTTAAAGGGTATCTACCCCAAACATAAACTTTATGCTTGAAAGTTTGGAAGCATTTCCATTAAGTCAGGAACAAGATTGCTATCAGCACTATTATTCACCATTATACTGGAGCTCCTAGCCAATGTAATAAGAGAAATAAACAAGAAGTGTTAACATAGAAAAACAGAACACTATCCATATTTGCAGGTGATATTACAGTCAATGAGAAAATCCAAGAGAATATAGAGAAAAACTATTTAAACCAATAAGAGTATTAGGCATAAAATATACCATTCCCAGGGTTGATAACAACTCTAAGGCATCTAGGACTATATCTCATAAAGGATATACTAGACCTTCATAGAGGACAATACAAAATGTTTTTAAATATATAAAAAGAATATGAATAAAATAATAAATGGAGAGATATTGATGGGAATACTTACTATTATAAAGGTATCACTTCTCTCCCAAAATAAACCTACAAATTAAATTCATTCCAATACAAACTCAGCAGGATTTTTTGTTGTAACTGGATTAACAGGTCCTAAAGTTCATATGAAAGAGTAAATGTCCATGAACATGCAAGATACTTCTGAAAAAAAGAATAAAATACCAGATATAACAAATGAATGTTAAACTACAGAAATTAAATAGAGTACAGTCAATTCAGACCAACCTAAAGGGGTAGAGAGCCCAGATACAGTCCAAACACATTGGTCTTTTAATCACCTACAAAGCCTCACATGATCTGACCTCATCTCTCCAGCCACTTGCCTCAGCTCACTCCACTTCAGCCACACTGGCCTTGCTATTCCTTGAACTTGCCAGGCCAGGCCAGTGTGGGCTCTTGACACTGACTTTTCCCTCTGTCTGGAATACTGTTTATACAGATAATTCCCTTACCTACTTCTGGTCTGCATTCCCATATAACCTTCTCAATGAGACCCACCCTGACTTCTCCATTTAGAATCATCACTCATGTCCCTAACTCAGATCCTTCTTGCCCTTCTCTACTTTTTCTCCACCCCTCACAGAACTTATCACCTTCTAACACTCCAAATAATTTACTTATTGTGCTCATTGTTTTTAAAAATCCATCTGCCCCTGCTAGAATGTAAGCCCCACAAGGGTATAGATCTCTGTTTTGTTAGATCTCAAGTACTTTAACAGTTCCTGGCATATAGTAGGCACTCAATAAATACCAGTGGAATAAATCAATGGAACAAGGGCATTTCCAGTAGTAATAAATGCTATAAAGCAAATAACACAGGGGCATGTGACAGAATAACTGGGGCAGGCTTCTATAAATTGATTAATCAGGGAAGAACTCTCTGACTGAGTGACTTGTAGTGGTAGGCTGGCAAATATTTAGCAACTGACTCCAAAACAAAAGCCCTGATTTATAGCTTTTGCCTATTTCCATGGTGTAAATATTCCCACCATGGCCAATTCGAAGTTACTGGCATAACATAACTGAATAGGGAGTTGGAAAGAGATGCACACACCTGGCTCTCACAAGCCAATGCAAGCCAGCTCCAACACACCACTGCACTTGTATGGAATGGGAGAGCTCCATACAGGATTCTTGAGTGAATCACTAGAATGTAAACTCGATGAGAATGGGATTTCCTGTGTCCTCAGCACCTAGAATATTTCCTGGTGTATTACATTTGCTTAGTAAATACTTCTTGAATGACTGAATGACTGAATACATACATAAGTGTAGGAATTTCTTCATTCACTTTTACCCAAGTGAGTACCTAGCTTATTTGCCACCTGGAATGGATAATTTTTTTACTGTCCCTCTTTTTCATATGACAAAATCATTTTCAGTAAAATCATGAAATAAAATGAATAATAATAAGAATAGGCTGGGCATGGTGGCTCACACCTATAATCCCAGCACTTTTGGAGGCCGAGGCGGGTGGATCACCTGAGGTCAGGGGTTCAAGACCAGCCTGGCCAACATGGTGAAACCCCGTCTCTACTAAAAATACAAAAATTAGCTGGGGGTGGTGGCGGGCGCCTGTAATCCCAGCTACTCAGTAGGCTGAGGCAGGAGAATCACTTGAACCTGGGAGGCGGAGGTTGCAGTGAGCCGAGATCGTGCCATTGCACTCCAACCTGGGCGACAAGAGTGAAACCGTGTCTCAAAAAAATAATAATAATAGTAATAATAAGTCCCAGAAATTAAAAAGCAGATAGTAAGAACTTTTGTCTATATAAATAAATAAATGCCAATATAAATGAATATTACAATACAAAAAGGAAAAGAGTAATTAATGAATAATTTTAATTACCTTAATGTGTTTTTTGAAAAAAGGAAAAAACCTACTTATTTTGTTCTGTAATGGTAATTAATATTACAATTATGATTTTTGAGCCTTAACTTCTGCAAATTTGTCAATGACTGTGTCTAAATTTATCTTTTTTGCAGCCTTATGTTCAATAGACAGTACAGACAGATTTTTCTTTTTCTTTTTGTGGGGGATTTTCTAGTAAAAAATGGAAAACCTGCTAGACAAATTCTTAAAAAGCTATAACACAGATAAATTTTTCTATCTTCACTCAGAGTTGATTGAAAAACCCATTTTATTAATTTCAAATTTAAAAAGGTTGTTTCACATGAAGCAACATACATACAAATACTTAGGAAAAGTCTTAAACATAGGAAAATTTGTCAAAGACTCGTAAAAACCCCATCTCACAAATTCCAGAGATTAAAATTCTGTCCATGTATTTATTCATTGGAACTTATTCAAGTAACTTTCAAATGTCTCCTCAGTTAAAAAAATTCCATTAAAATATATTTACCAGAAAATTTATCAAGTATTTATGTCATATTTGGTTCAAATAAAAGGGTTTCACTTCTCCTGCAAAAATCAGAAGTTTGCTAAATCATGATGAACATTAACATTATTTGATCCATTTGTTTAGAATGAGTGTCCAGACCTCTGTGAAAACAATTTAGTCGTAAAAACATTATCATTTTTATTTCTTCTGGTAGTGTAAGACCGACATCTTTTTTTATTATTATTTTTGAGACAGAGTCTCGCTCTGTTGCCCAGGCTGGAGTGCAGTGGCATGATCTCAGCAACTCAACCCAGGAGGCTGAGAGTGCAACCTCTGCCTCCTGGGTTCAAGTGATTCTCCCACTTCAGCCTCCTGAGTAGCTGGTACTACAGGTGTGCACCACCACGCCTGGCTAATTTTTGTATTTTCAGTAGAGATGGAGTTTCACCATGTTGGCTGGCTCTTCTTGAACTCCTGGCCTCAAATGATCCATCCGCCTTGGCCTCCCATGGTGATGGGATTACAGGCGTGAGCAGCATCTTTTGTTGTTTCTCTCAGTATTCCTCTTTGGGCTTCTTTTTTCTATGCAAATATCCATTTCCTTGCCTTTTATTGTTCCATAATTAATGCCCACCTCCATAATTTTGTATAGCAGTTGAAAGTTATTAATTTTTAAACAGCTTTATTGAGTTGTAATTTACCTATCATGAAGGGCATCCATTGTAAATGTATAATTCAATGATCTTTAGTAACTCTATAAATCACAATCCAGCTTTAGAACATTTTCATCATCTCAAAAAGTTTACTTGTTCCTGTTTGTAGTTAGTCCCTGCTCCCACCGCCAGCCCCAGGCAACTATTGATCTGCTTTCACAGTCTATAGATTTGACTCTTTTTGGAAATTTTGTAAAAATGGAATCACACAATATGTGGTCTTTTGTGATTAGCTTCTTTCACTCAGCAACGTATTTTTGAAGTTCAGCCATGGTGTAGCATGTCCTTTTTAAATTTGCTGAGTGGCATTCCATTATGAGGATATTTTCTTTATGCACTCACCACTTGATGGACATTGCATTATTATCAGATTTTAGCTATTTATGAACAATTGTGCTATGAACATTTCATGGACAAGTCTGTGTGTGGACATATACTTTTATCTCTCTTGGGTAGATATCTAGGAGAGGAATTGCTGGGTCATAGTTAGAGTTAAAATTTTAGTAGGTGTCAAACTCTTTTCAAAGTAGTTCCACCATTTTATATTCCCATCAGCAGTGTATTTTCTTTTTTTGCTGAAGTGCAGTGGCAGGATCATGGCTCACTGCAGTCTCACCCTCTTGGACTTAATAGATCCTCCCACCTCAGCCTCCCAAGGAGCTGGGACCACAGAGCCACCACGCCTGGCTAGTGTGTGTGTGTGTGTGTGTGTGTGTGTGTGTGTGTGTGTGTGTGTGTGTGTGTGTGTTTTGCAGAGACATGTCTTGCCATGTTGCCCAGGCTGGTCTCAAACTGCTGGGCTCAAGTAATCCGCCTGCCTTGACCTCCCAAAGTGCCAGGACTACAGATGTGAGTAGCATATTCGTTTCGGTTTTAATATGCATATACCGAATGATTAAAGATGTTGAGCATCTTTTCATTTACTCATCAATTCTTTGTCTCTTCATCTCTCCTCTGGTGAAATGTCTACTCAAATTTTTTGACCATTTTTATTTTATTTTTATTTTTATTTATTTATTTTTGAAATGGAGTATTGCTCTGTCGCCTAAGCTGGAGTGCAGTGGTGTGATCTCAGTTCACTGTAACGTCCGCCTCCCGGGTTCAATCAATTCTCCTGCCTCAACCTCCCAAGTAGCTGGGATTACAGGCACCTGCAACCTTGCCCAGCTAATTTTTGTGTTTTTAATAGAGATGGGATTTCACCATGTTGTCCAGGCTGGTCTCGAACTCCTGACCTCAGGTCAGCCACCCACATTGGCCTCCCAAAGTGCTGAGCTTACAAGCGTGAGCCACCGCGCCTGGCCACCCATTTTTAAATTAGATCATTTGTCTTCTTATTACTCAGTTGCAGGAGTACTTTTTATACTTATCTCTAGTAATATTTCTTATCTTAAAGCCTATTTTGTCTGATATTAATACAGCCAATTTAGCTTTCTTAGGATTCCTGTTCATGTGATACATCTTTTATCATCCTTTTACTTTCAACCTACTTCTGTCTTTGAATTTGATGTGTCTCTGATAGACAATATATAATTAAATCCTGCTTTTTAAAACATTTAGTCTAACAGTCTGTTTTTTCTGTCTAGTCTATTCACATTTAATGTATTTATTGGTATAGCTGGATTTATGACTGCCATTTTTCTGTTTGTTTTCTATATTTATCCTGTTCTGTTTCTCTGCCCTTCCTTGACTGCCTTCTTTTGTGTTAAAACATTTTTTAAGTGTACTATATTAATGTATCTATTGACTTTTTTTTTTTTTTTTTTGAGACAGATTCTCACTTTGTTGCCCAGGCTGGAGTGCTGTGGCACAATCTTGGCTCACTGCAACCTCCGCCTCCCAGGTTCAAGCGATTCTCGTGCCTTAGCCTTCCCAGTAGCTGAGATTACAGGTGTGGACCACTGTACCCAGCTAATTTTTGTATTTTTAGTAGAGACAGGATTTCTCTATGTGGAACACTCCTGTAATTCCAGCCACTAGGGAGGCTGAGGCAGGAGAATCGCTTGAACCTGGGAGGTGGAGGTTGTAGTGAGCCAAGATCACGCCACTGCGCTCCAGCCTGGGTGACAGAGCGAGACTCTGTCTCAAAAAACAAACAAACAAACAAAAAAGCCACACACACACACACACACACACAAATAACAAAAAACACAGTTTGATGACAATGTGTTTAAATGTGGATTTCTTTATGTTTCTCTTACTTGGAGTTCCTTGGGTTTTTTAAATCTGTAGATGAATTTTCAAATTTGGAAAGTTTTTGTCCATTATTTCTTCAAGTATGTTTTCTTCCCCTTTCTCTCTTTTTTCTGAGACTTCCATAGACATCACACTTTGACACAGGTTTGTATGCTTCATGATATACCACAGATCTCTGAGGTTCTATTCCTTTTGTTTCATCTTTCTCTCTCTTCCTCAGATTAGATTATTTCTATTCTACTATCTTCAAGTTCACTGATTCTTTCTTCTGACATCTCAGGTCTGCTGCTGAGTTCATTTTGTGAATTTTTCATTTGTTATTGTACTTTTTGATTCTAGAATTTCCATTTAATTCTTGTTTATAGCTTCTAGTTCTTTATTGAGATTTACTATTTGTTGAGTCTTTGACATTAATTTTTTTATTTCTCTAAACATAGTTACTATAAATTTTGTAACATATTTATAATAGCTGTTTTGATGTCTTTGTTTGCTGAATGCAACACCTGGTCTTGAAAAGTGACAATTTTCTATTGACGGGTTTTTTTTTCTGAGTATGAGTCACATCTTCCTGTTTCTTTGCATGTCTCATTATTTTTGTCGAAAACTGGATTTTAAAATAATATGCTGTAGTGACTCTGGATTCTGATTTTTCCCCTGAGGGTTGTTTTTATTGCAGGTCAGTTTTTTGTTTCGTTTTGAGACAGGGTCTCCTCTGTCAGCCAGGCTAGAGTGCATTGGCAGAATCACTATTCACTGCAGCCTTCAGCCCCCACCCCCAGGCCTCAAACAATCCTCCCACCTCAGCCTCCTGAAAACCTGGGACTATAGGTGCATGCCACCATGCCTGACTAATTAAATTATTTTTTTGTAAAGATGGGGTCCCACTGAAACGGAAAAAGTTCCCTTGTCCTCCTTCACAGGGCGTGGGATGGGGGTGTGGCTCACTTCTTCAATGCCCCGCTGTTTAAACCTCTAGGGGAGCATACAGACGGGGAGGCTGCAGGGATCCGACCCCACAGCAGTGTCTAGGGGTGAATGTTTACAGCTGAAGCCCCAGTGGGCTTGTGTTACAGGGTGCTCTTTTAGTTTGCCGTCTAGAGGTGGCATGTGTTAACCAGCTCAATTAGACCCTCTACCTTGTCGAAAGGACAGAGGGCTTTCCGTATCCTGGGGTTCTTGCCTTGGTGTACCGGAAGAATCTGATCACACGTGGGCTTGGAGAATGAGTGCAAGGTTTTATTGAGTGGAACTAGCTCTCAGCAGATGGGGAACCCAGAAGAGAGATGGTTTCCCGCCGGAGTCGGGCACTCAGAGAACCACACTCTGCATTGTTCTGCCAGTCGGTGGACTGTGGGCATACCAGTTCCTGTCGGTGCAGTGCTCTTGACATCCAGCCACCCGTGTGTTCCTCCGCTGTTGTGCGCTTCTCTACCTTCAGCAGCCTCTGTGTTCTTCCACCGATCTGCTCCGCTCCATATCCAGCAGCTTGTGTGTTTGCCGGCTAGGGTCTCAGGGTTTTTATAGGCAGAGGATGGGGGCGTGGCAGGTCAGGGTGGTCTTCGGAAATGCAGCATTTGGTCACGAAAACAAAAATGCTTGTCCTCATCCTCGTTCATGGGGGTGGAGCCCTAGCCAGGGACCACACCCTCCTCTACCAGCACTTCCCTCCCCCTTTTCCGTATCATTTAAAAGTGACTATGCTCGGGCAGGGCGCGGTGGCTCACGCCTGTAATCTCAGCACTTTGGGAGGCCGAGGCGGGTGGATCACGAGGTCAGGAGTTTGAGACCAGCCTGGCCAACAAGGTGAAACCCCATCTCTACTAAAAATGCAAAACCTTAGCTGGGCGTGGTGGCGGGCGCCAGTAATCCCAGCTATTCGGGAGGCTGAGGCAGAATTGCTTGAACCCAGGAGGCAGAGGTTGCGGTGAGCAGAGATTGCGCCATTGCACTCCAGCCTGGGCGACAGAGCAAGACTCTGTCTCATAAATAAATAAATAAATAAATAGGACTATGCTCTTCCTTTACCAGCATTTCCGTATCACCACTATGTTGCCCAGGCTGGTCTCGAACTTTTGGGCTCAAGTGATCCTCCCATCTCAGACTCCTTACATGCTGGGATTACAGGCACGAGCCACTACACCTGGCTGATTTTATTTGCTTGTTTATTATTTGTTTCGCCTTTTAGAAACTTGCCTGGATTAAATTTGCAGAACCTGTCTCTCTTAGGGGTGTTTTAGAGTTGTCTGTCTCAAGTGTTTTTTGTTTTTTGTTTGTTTGTTTTCTAATTCTTATTTTTTTAAAATCTTGGCTTCCTAGGGGGCACCCTCGTGTCTGAATATCTCAGTGGTAAACCAATGATTAGTCAGAGGTTTTACTCAAACACTTTGTGCCAGCAAGCCTTCCACTCTTTGCCTGTGAATCTGTGTGTGGGTTGAGGAGTGCTTTCAAAGTCTGGGCACTTTTCAAGTTTTCCCCAGGTTTTCCTTTCCAATGGGCTTTTCTGGTACTTCCTTTGTGTGGACAGTCTCCAGTCTGCCAGGAATGTATGCAGAGCTAAAGCCCTTTTGGGCCTTGCCTGTACATGTGTGGCGCAGCCCTCCAACCAGCCAGGGATGTGGGGAGAGCTCATCCAGTCCCTCTTCGGTTTTTTTGTTTCCGGGATCTCCTTGTTAAATTTCTAGCTTGGCTGCCTAGTGGGACTGCAACCTCAGGCTAGCAGAGCTATGGCTTTCCCAGTTCAATTCCCACTGAGCTTGATATTCTTATTGAGAATATTACTTGGCATATGTTTTTTGTTCTCTATTCTAAATCAAGTCAGCCCTTTCCAGCAGCAGCAAAGCTGCTGTTTTTCACAACCAGCTCTGCCCTGGTAGCATGGCTGTGCCATCCATACTGGACAGGGAGGGGAGAGGTGAGAGTACCAGGCAAAAACACCACAGATTCCCACTGTTCTTACCTGAAGTTCAGCAGTTTTTCATGAATAAACACTTCTCAATTTGTTGTGTGCATTGTCAATTTCTAGAGGCCTGAGATGTCTGTCTTTGACAATTCTGTCCGGTTTTATAGTTGTTTTTCATGAGACAGTTTGTGAACTCTTCATTCCACCATCACTAGAAGTCCGGCCCAATCGACAATTCTTTTTATTGTGGCAAAATACACACAACACAAAACTTGCCATTGTAACCATTTTAAAGTGTGCAATTCAGTGGCATTTGGTACTTTCACAATGTTGTGCAACCCTCATCACTATCTAGTTCTGGAACCGACCCATTAGTCCCATAGATAGTTTTATTGCATAAACAGGAATTGACCCTTCTGGTCTTAAGGCTTGAAACTTAACATTTGTTTTATCTGAGTTTCTTCACGAGGAAATAACTTTCAGGCCTCTCAAAAAAAAAAGTATCAAAGAATAAAAACTCACCATATCACCACATTCCAACAATAAGATGCCAGACCCCTCATTCATCATGTTTGCTTCCTTGCCCCTCCCCAGTTTCTGTTTTCTTACACATCATTACATTTCTCCCCTGCTATATAAATCCTTAGTTTTAGTCAGTCAGGGAGTTGGATTTGATACTGAGTTCCCATCTTCTCAGCCGCAGCACCTGATTAAAGCCTTGTCCTTCGTTTTCTCAGTCATTGGCTTTCTGTGCTGTGAGCAGCAGGACCTAGACAGAACCCCTGGTGTTTCAGTAACAGTTCCAGAACATTTTGATCCCCCGAAAAGGAAACCCTGTGCTTAAGCAGTTATCGTAAATGGAATCACATAATACGTGGCCTTTTGTGTCTGGCTTCTTTCAATCAGTGTAATGTTTTCAAAGCTCATCCATGTTTTAACATGTATCAGTGCTTCATTTCTTTTTATGGCTGAATAACATTTCACTATATTGATATACCACATTTTAAAATCCATTCATTTGTTGATGGATGCTTGGGTTATTTCCATCTTTTGGCTATTGTGTATGGTGCTGCTATGAACATTTGTGTAGAAGTTGTTGTGTGAATATTTGTTTTCTATTCTTTCAGGTATATATTTAGGTTGGAAATGCTGGTGAATATGGTAATTACATTTAACTTTTTGAGGTACAGCTAAACTATTTTCCACAGTGAAAAACATTGGCAACTAATGTATCTGATAAGAATCTAGTATCCAGAATATGTAAAGAACTTTTTCAACTCAACAATAGAAAGACAATCTTATTAATATACAGGCAAAGGACTTGAATAAACATTTCTCCAAAGAAGATAAACAAATGGCCAACAAGTACATGACAAGATCAACATTGGTCATTAGGGAAATGCAAATCAAAATATCATTTAACATCCTCACTAGCAATGTATAAGCGTTCCAATTTCTCCACATCCTTGTCAACACTTGTTATTTTTAATTTTTTAGGATAGCCAATCTAATGGATGTGAAGTGGTATCTCATTGTGGTTTTGATTTGCATTTCCCTTATGACCAATGTTGATCTTGTCATGTACTTGTTGGCCATTTGTTTATCTTCTTCGGAGAAATGTTTATTCAAGTCCTTTGCATGTATATTAATAAGATTGTCTTTCTATTGTTGAGTTGAAAAAGTTCTTTACATATTCTGGATACTAGATTCTTATCAGATACATTAGTTGCCAATGTTTTCTCCCATTCTGTGGGTTATCTTTTCACTTTCTTAATAGTGTTGTCTGATGTATAACAGCTTTTAATTTTGATGATGTCTAATTTACCTATTTTTTTCTTTTGTTGCTGGGTTTTTGGCATCTTGTCTAGGAGACAATTGCCAAATCCATGTGACAATTGTAAAGCTTACTATTTTACTGTACATTTTTCAAGGCCAAGTCCCACTGTTTGCAAATATTTTGTCTTAGAAACTTCATCTAAAACTTCACCCTGGAAAAAAAGATGACTTGGAAAAGAAAAATCACATACAACCATATTCTCTTTCATTTTAAATCTATTGTTTAAACGCAATCTGTAGTAACACAAGGCTTAGAGACACAAACTGTGACCACAGTGATCTTGAAGGAACTCAAACTGTTCTGAATCAGTAAGAACTTGCCCTCTAAATAAGCATATGTAGCTCAAAGTGTCTTAGAGACCAACTGCATAGTAAGATTCCCAAATTAATTTTTGTATAGAATACAGTGTTTATTAAGGATAAGTTATAAAATGTGCTAACTTGATTTATATTTAAGAGCATCCATAGCAATTATTTCAACTTAGAAACAGTTGAAAGATTTTTTTTCAGGAGTGTTTTGTGACTGATATTGTTCAGAGTTGCATGAGCATGATGATAATAAAAAGTGATTGACTTTTTTTTTTTTTTTTTTTTTGAGACAGAGTCTCCCTCTATTGCCCAGGCTGGAGTGCAGTGGTGCAATCTTGGCTCACTGCAACCTCCACCTCCCAGGCTCAAGCGATTCTTGTGCCTCAGCCTCCTGAGTAGTTGGGATTACAGTCATGCACCACCATGCCTGGCTAATTTTTCTATTTTTAGTAGAGACAGAGTTTCATCATGTTGGCCAGGCTGGTCTCAAACTCTTGACTTCAAGTGATCCACCCGCCTCAGCCTCCCAAAGTGCTGGGATTACAGGCATAAGCCACTGCACCTGGTTTTTGTTTGTTTGTTTGTTTGTTTGTTTGTTTGTTTTCTGAGACAGGGTTTCACTCTATCACCCAGGCTGGAGTGATATGATCATGGCTCACTGCAGCCTTGACCTCCCAAGCTCAGGTGATCCTCCTACCTCAGCCTCCCAAGTAGCTGGGACCAAAGGTGTATGCCACCATGCCAAGCTAATTTTTTTGTATTTTTTGTAGAAACAGGATTTTCAACCTTGCCCAGGCTGGTCTTGAACTTCTGAGCTCAAGTGATCCACCTGCCTCGGCTTCCAAAGTGCTGGGATTACAGGCGTGAGCCCCCGTGCCCAGTCAAAAGTGACTGACCTTTTAGTTGTTTTATTAGTGTTTTAAAATTCTGTCCAGACAACACACCTCCGTATTGTTTGCACCCAGAATGGGCTGCTTCTACTGCCTTTTAACATGTCATTCCTTTCTTGGAAAAAGTGGTTCTTAAAGTATAGTCCCCAGACCAGCTGTTTCCACATCACCTGGGAACTTGTTAGAAGCGAGCATTCTTGGCTTCACTCAAGACTGACTGAATCAGCAACCCTGGAAGTAGCGCTTAGCAACCTGTGTTGTAACAAGCCCTCCAATGATTCTGATGCAGTTTCATATTTTAGGACCACTATCTTAGAATATGGAACCTGCCAGACCTAAGACACTAGAGTTTAGGGCACTGGTAAATGCAGCCCTATGAAGTTGTGGTGTAAGGCAGAAAAACAGCCCTAGATTTTGGCAGACTTGGACATCTGTCCCTCCTGCTATCAGCGAAGAAAAGTGTCACTGAGTGGCAGATAGAATGTTTTAGCTTCTAGTCCCTCAAACAGTCTCCATGATACAAACACTGACTCAGTTAAGAATCCAGGAAGACTCTTGGAGACTGCGGTTGCTAAGAGTGACGAACTTGAACTGGGTTTGTTCTTTTCTTTGGGAATCCTGCAGCTGTGCGGCATGTAGCACCTGTGCCACCACACTCACGCTCACTGCTCCTCCTTGTGCTGTTGCTCTGTATAAATACACCTCCGATGTTGGCAGCCCACGGCCTGTGATTCAGCCTCTGTAGTGGAGCCCAGGCACCCAATGTGCTAAGAATAGAATTTTCCATTTCAACTTTATTTGCAAGAAGGTTTTCTGTATTTCATTCATCAGGTATTAAAAGTCTACTAAATACCAAGGAATTGTGCAGTGGTATGGGATTACAGTGGTAAGCAAACTGACATGGTCCCACTTTCAAAATGCTCTTTCTCTGGTTGGAGAGAAGGGGTTTTAAAAAGTAAATGCGTCCTCTAGTTTTGAATATTTTAAAAAATGTAAATGCAGCCAGGCACTGTGGCTTATGCTATGCCTGTAATCCCAGCACTCTGGGAGGCTGAGGTGGGAGGATCGCTTGAGCCCGGGAGTTTGAGACCAGCCTGGGCAATGTGGCAAAACCCCATCTCTACAAAAAAATAGAAAAATTAGCCAGGTGTGATGGTGCACGCTAGTCAGTAGTCCCAGCTACTCGGGAGGCTGAGGCAGGAGGTTGAGTCCAGGAGGTTGAGGCTTGAGGCTGCTGCTGTGAGCCGTGATCACACCACTGCACTCCAGCCTGGGTAACAGAGTGAGACTCTGTCTCAAAAAAATAAAAAGAAAATGCAAATACAAATTGTGCTAAGTGTGACTATGATGTCTAAATGCTCCCCTCAGAAATACAGGAGAATGATGCTTCCCACACTCCTATTCATTTCACCTACTTAAAGCTTTCTAAAGCGATTTCCAAACCTTAATGCCACATGAAAAGATACGAAGCCTTTCTGCTGCCTTCAGGGACCTACTTCTAGACTGGAGCTCATCACTGACATCATATGCTAATGTTTCTAGAGCATTTAATGAAAGAGGCATTATGGCATATAATAATTATAACTGTTTTGGTATTTACACCTTTTGATCCAGTCACTTCTGGGCATCCCTCCAAAGGGGATAATGTGGTCCTTAGAAAAAAGCTGTACTGCTAAAGATAGTTACTGGAGCTTTATATATTCAATCAACAAATTAAATACTCAGTTATTACTTTGCTAATGTGAGTAAATTGCTTGACCTCCCTGGGTGGCCTGGGTAAAATGGGGAGATAATCTCTATCTCAAGTTTGTGACAACTAAATGTCTGTGGAAATATCTCCCTAGCACTAGGCTCAACGAAGAGTAGGTGTGCTCTGGATGGGCTCTTTTCACCTTCCCTTTCTAATTATGTTGCATGTTATTATACATATGATGAGAATCTATGCAGTTTTTCTGTTTGTTTGGATGTTTTTTTGAGATGGAGTCTTACTCTATCACCCAGGCTGGAGTGCAGTAGTGCCATCTTGGCTTACTGCAACCTCTGGCTCCCGAGTTCAAGTGATTCTCCCGCCCCAGCCTCCCGAGTAGCTGGGACTACACGTGCACACCACCACGTCCAGCTAATTTTCGTGTTTTTAGTAGAGACAGAGGTTCACCATGTTGGCCAGGCTGGTCTTGAACTCCTGACCCCAGGCAATCCGCCCACCTCGGCCTCCCAAATTGCTTGGATTATAGGTGTGAGCCACCACACTCAGCTTCATAGTTAGTTTTTTGAGTCAGAATTTCACTCTGCCACCCAGACTGGAGTGCGGTGGTACAATTTCGGCTCACTGCAACCTCCGCCTCCTGAGTTAAAGTGATTCTCCTGCCTCAGCCTCCTGAGTAGCTGAAGCTACAGACAGACACCACCACACCTGGCTAATTTTTGTGTTTTTAGTAGAGGCAGGGTTTTGCCATATTGGCCAGGCTGGTCTCACACTCCTGAGCTCAAGAAATTCACCCGCCTCCGTCTTCCAAAGTGCTGGAATTACAGGCGTGAGGCACTGAGCGCGATGGAGAATCTATACAGTTTTATATCACCACCACTCCCCTCAAAATGCGCTGAATTTGGTCAAAAACCATTACTTCTCCCCTTCGCCTGGATTCTGAATGGTAGCATTCAGGTGTCGAGTGGTTGGAGTGTCCTAACTTTGACCACCATCGAGTGCTGTCCTTTCCTTGGGTGCTAACCCACTGCTTCTCCTGGTTCCCAGGCACCCCAGCCTGCTGTCCATGTGCAGGCCAGGAACCCCTGACTGCCTCCATGCTGGCGGCAGCACTTTCCCAAGAACAGAAGCAGGTGCTGAGTGAGTGACCCACGCGCCTACGAAAGAAGAGAGGGCCAGAAGCTGGTGCTGACGCAGACACCAAGGTTACTGAGATTCCGTTTGGTTTTTTATGAACTATCTTCCCCACAGGAGACATTTGTTCCTCCTTATCCAAACAATGCATTCAAACTTGGCTGTAAAGATTGTAGGAAGAGATGCACAGGGCAAGGTGGGAATGGAGAGGGGCTGGTGAGCTTCCATGCCCTCTCTAGGCATGCTGTGTTCCAAGCACATCAATGTATTCACCAACCTGGAAACTCCCCAAACCGCATTTAGAGTGTTTATATGAGGTTTCATTACCTAGGCATGGCTGATTAAACCACTGGGTGTTGGTGATTGAACCCAATTTCCAACCCCCTCCTCTCCTCAGAGGTTGGAGGCGGGAGCTGGAAGTCCCAACCCTCTAATCACATGGTTGGTTTCTCTGATGACCAACCCCCATCCTGAAGCGAGCTAGGGGTTCTACCTTGAGTCATCTGCTTAGCACAAACTTAGGTAGGGTCAAAATGGGCTCATTATGAATAACAAAAGACACAGCACTCAGGATATTCCAATGATTTTAGAAGCTCTGTGCCAGGAACTAGGACAAAGACCAAGTATCTATTTTTTATTATACCACACCACATAAAGGACGCCTGGTCAGATTCTTCCTGAGAGTGACCTTTTGTTTTGGAATAGTGACGGGTACACAAAGAGCTCTCCTAATCAGATCTCACAGCCTCATTCCTATAAGTATCAACTCCCTGGTTTGGCATGAGGTTGGTAAGGTCAGCTGTGTGCGCAGCCACTGCTTAGCTCTGGGAATACAATGGGTACAGGCCGTGGTGTCAAATACCTTCATCTACTGGGAGAGAGAGACATACCTGACTATAGTTATAGGGTGTATTCCAATTGACTTCTGAACTTGGGGACTATGGACTCTGTCTATAGGGGATTTGGGTGAGTGAAGCTTAACTAGGACCTCTGACAAGGACTGGTGGGTGCCTCCAGATGGAGAAAAGAAAGAACTCAATGAGCAAAAGCAGAGGCAAGGAAAAAGAGCCCATGGTAAGTAGGTGAGGAACTGATGTGGAGGTCAGGGTTGACTTGAGGTAGGCATGGACCCCTTGTCAAGGACCTTGTTAGCAGCATCAGTGATTTAGGTAGGGAGTTCTAGAGAATTTAGGTTTATTTTGAAGAAAGATAACCCTAGGCCGGGTGTAGTGGCTCACACTTGTAATCCCAGCACTTTGGGAGGCCGAGGCAGGAGGATCGCTTGAGTCCAGGAGTTTGAGACCAGCCTGGGCAACATGGCAAGACCCTGTCTCTAAAAAAAAAAAAAAAAAAAAAAAATTAGCTGGGCATGGTGACGTGCACCTGTACTCCCAGCTGCTACTCGGGAGGCTAAGGTGGGAGGATCATTTGAGGCTGGGAGGTTGAGGCTGCAGTGAACCATGATCATGTCACTGCCTTCCAGCCTGGGTAAGAGAGCAAGACCCTGTCTCAAAGAAAAAAAGAAAAAAAAAATCACCCTGGACAAGTGGATTGGAGGAACAGAGCCACTATCAACTCTTCCTTAGTCTACTACATTAACTTCCTGGTCTCCTGGGTTCCAATCAACCCATCCTGGGCCTAGTGTCAGAGCACTGTCTAAAATGATGTGAGCATGTAACTCTCCTGTTGTAACTTCAGCAGCTTCTCAAAGCTCCCAAATCTTCCAGAAGGCTTACAGCACCCTCATGATGTGGCCCTCTGCCTACCTTTCCCACCTGATATGCCCTCCACCCCACCATCCCAGGCTCTGGTCTTTTAGTTCCTTGAGTGTGCGGAAGCTGCCTCCTCCTCTCTCTGGCTCCTTTTCCTTCAGAATTCAGCTTAAATGTCACCTCAGGAAGGTCTTAACCCCCTGCTCCATATAAAATAGATGGTCCCATTATTTCCTACCACTATGTCAACCTGTAATTTATATATTAGTGGGTTTAGTCCAAGATGTTACTCTAAACTGCACCATTTTGTAAGCTCCCTGCTATTCTGCAGACCTTGGTCAAAGTGAAACATTTCACAGGGGTTTGGGCTGTGAGAAACATCCTGCCTAACCACCCGACCACAAGGCAGACAAAGGCCCAACTAAAGAAACATCCCTCTCATATCTTCCTGGGCAAAGGTCCAAGGGACACCATGATGACATCCCACTGGAACAAGGGCCAAACCGCCTCATCATGAGAACATCTTTATATCAATATCCTGCTAGGCAGCAACCCATACTGCCCAGACCCCTACCGCCCATACCTATAAATTGCCCAGTCTGTAAGCAGTGGTGGGCACTGGCATTAGGCTGGTTCCCCACTTCTGTAGGTTATTATGCTGGACATAAAGCCTGCGTTTGCTGTCGAGCCGCCCTCTTTCTGTGTGTGTGTGTGTGTGTGTGTGTGTCTTTCTTTAACCCTTGCCTTCTTTTCAAAACCTAACACGAGTAGACAAACGTTCTTTCTGAAGAGCCAGATTGTAAATATTATTGTAGGCTTTGCAGGCTATAGCTCTTCTGCCCTTGTAGTAGGAAAGCAGCCACAGTCATACTTAAAGGAATGAGCGTGGCTGTGTCCCCATAAAGCTTTCTTTACGGACACTGAAATTTTAATTTCACATAATTTTCATGTGCTAAGAAAATATACATATATATTTTGTGAGATGGTGTGTCGCTCTCGTCACCCTGGCTGGAGTGCAACGGCGCGATCTCTGCTCACTGCAACCTCCGCTACCTGGGTTCAAGCGATTCTCCAGCCTCAGCCTCCTGAGTAGCTGCGATTACAGGCGCCCGCTACCACGCCTGGCTAATTTTTGCATTTTTAGTAGAGACGGGGTTTCACCATGTTGGCCAGGCTGCTCTCGAACTCCTGACCTCAGGTGATCCGCCCGCCTCAGCCTCCCAAAGTGCTGGGGCTACAGGCATGAGCCACCACGCCCGGCCAAGAAAATATAGTTTTTTTATTTTTTCCAACTATTTCAAAAGGTAAAATTCATTCTTAGCTCCCAGGTTGTCCAAAAACAGACGCGCAGGATGGCCAAGCACCAGAGTTTATCGTTTGCCCATAATAATCGGGTTGATTCGGCCAAGGTTTCCCTCCCCCAACACGGTGCGCACTGGGAAGCGCGAGGACCACGTCCCTTGGTTTACCACTGCGCACCTCACAAGGCGCCCAGTGCATCCGGGTAGCGGGATGCCGGTTGGACCAACGCGAGGGTGGGCGGGGTCTAAGAGCTAAGCGTTGGGGGCGGGGCGGGACAGTGGGGAAGAGGACGGGTCGAGTGCTGGCTTCCGGCGGAAAAGCGCGCGAGCAAGATGGCCACCACCAAGCGCGTCTTGTACGTGGGTGAGCAGGAGGGGTTGCTAGGCGGAGTCTGAGTGAACGCGACCCCCAAGGGTCGGGGCGTGGGGTGGGACGCATCTCTGAACCAGGAGGACGGCGAGCTGCTGTCAAGGCCGGGTCTCTGGCGGTAGTGCTGGCGATAGCTCTGGCTGTGCTTAAACTCCTTCCAAGGTTTCCCACTGTCCTCAGGAAAAAGTGCAGACTTCTTAGCAGTACGCACTTCTCCAGCTTCTTTGCTTTGCTTCCCGATTCGCTGGGTCTCCCGAAAAATGACCCACTTGCCCCCAAGGTTCAGGTTATTTCACACCTTTGGGCCTCTGCTTTTGCGACTCCCTTGCAGTGAACAGCCTTGCCACACACCTCAGGTGCGTGAACCCGAGACGGAATGATTATTCTGACTTCCTAGCCCGCTGAGCTCCAGCGGGCCCCGAGGAGCGGTAAAGGAGTATTATGGCCCTTCGGATCCTCTCGTTCATTTGTTTTACAAACATTCAGTGCAGCGACGGCTCAGCCCCAGCCCCTGCCATAAAGGAAGGAGTTCCCAGACTAGCCAGAAAAAAAGTGGAATTACCTCAGTAGCACACTTTTGATAAGCGCTGTAGTGAGGATGGATCATGATAATATGGGCCTGGCTGCGGGACAAATGACCCATCCATCTGGAGAAGCGAGGGCAAATTCTGGATGCGGCGATGCCAGAGCTGATGAGCAGGAGTTAGCTACGTAACCGAAGCAGAGGCAAGGCCGTTCACTGCAAGGGAGTCGCAAAGGTGTGAAATAGCCTGACACTTGGGGGCAAGTGGGTCATTATTCGGGAGACCCAGGAAATTAGGAAGCAAAGCAAAAAAGCTGGAGAGGTGGGTACTGCTAAGGAGTTTGCACTTTATCCTGAGGACAGTGGGAAGCCTTTGAAGGAGTGTAAGCGAAAAGTTACGGGTTCAAATTTGCATTTTCCTAAGATCATTCTAGTTGGCTTTGTGGAGTTGATGGAATGGAGGCAGGGAGGTCAGTTGTGAAGCTATTGCAGTAATCCCAGGACTAGATGAGAGTCTGAAAGAAGGGCGAAGAGAGGAATATTTTTCATAAGTATGGGTGGGCAGAGATGAGAGGGGGATGTTTGTTTACCCAAAGAACTGAATGGAAGGGTCCTGTCCCCTGGCTAGCATGCTAACTGGGCTGCAAGGACTTCTGCAAGAGTATGGAGATCAGTGGCTCAGAAGGCCCTTGGCTTATTTGCAGGTGGACTGGCAGAGGAAGTGGACGACAAAGTTCTTCATGCTGCGTTCATTCCTTTTGGAGACATCACAGATATTCAGATTCCTCTGGATTATGAAACAGGTGAGTTAGTGTCTCTCACGTTCAGAATCCTCTTACTAGGAAAATACCTTAAAAAATTAAAGTCACATCACAATTCTAAATATGCATTCTAAATATGGTTAGTATACACTACAGGTAAGTTCAGGAAGGTGTCTGGTGACAGTGATCTCGATGGAGAAGGAATGTTCTGAGGCCATGTGGTTGTGAACTCTGAATACTTTCCAGAGTCTTCAGCTGTTGGGTTGAGATAAGACAGATTTTTCAATAGACCAGTAGGGAGATAGGTTTGAACTACATTGAGATTTGAATGTTGTTTTAATCTACCTGATGGGTACCCCATCCCACCTGCACCTTCTTGCAGCTGTGCTATTAAATGAGGCAGCGGGAAAGCCTAGCCCCATAATGGGGGTGGGTGAGGGCGGGGGTTCTTGGCCTCTGCACCCCTGGGTGGGTTTCCCATCGATTGGTATCACAACCACAGTTCAGTTTTCTGTTTACCTTTGTTGTCATTTTTAAGATTATAGTTTTAGGCCTAGTTTTATCATCAACCTTGCATATGATTGTTAGCAAAGTCTTTAAACTCTCTGGGCCTGGGAAATCTTTATTTGCAAAATGATAAGGTTATGTTGGCTTTCTAAGGGCCTTCTAGTCTCTGAGTTCTATGATAAACATTATTGTGCTTGGTCTTTCTAGTTAGTTCAGCATTTTCCTGAAGATAAAGACTGAGCATCTTTATCAGGTTTTAGGATTCATGCTTTATGCACAGTTGATGCGCAAAATATATATTTAGATAGATAATTGATAGGTCAAATGACTTTATTTTTCTAATTGCTTTGCATGCAATGGTTAAGGTTTTAAGTTTGGCTTTCGTAGAATAATTGAATACTTATCAATTAAAAATACAGTTTACTATTCAGCTATGTCCATTAAAAAAACAAAGTTTATTATTGCTTAAAATATTGTATAAGAAGAATCAAGAATGAGATTCCTTCTTCCTAAATAGTGATTGGATAGAACTTCTGGTGTTTGGATACGACATGTAACTGACTTCACTTTGTGACCATCCTGTTTCTTCCCACTACCCCACATAGTAATTACTTGTTTTTGTTTTTCCATTTTGTAGAAAAGCACCGAGGATTTGCTTTTGTTGAATTTGAGTTGGCAGAGGTGAGAGTCTGTGTTACTAGTGTCTAGTCCTTGGTTTGTGATGTTGTTACTGATTACAAAGGAAGCTTTTCACCATTTGGTTAGGTTTTTGGGCCTTAGGCTGATGCTTCCAGAGAGATCAGAAGTAAGTGCTGTTCTAAGGAAAGCGTCTCTCACATAATCAGACTGGACTGTGAATAACATGTCAGACCTGCCAGGCCCTCCCATTCTTGCCCTGCAGAGGAGCTAGCTCATGCACCCCTGTTCATTGAGCATTCTTGCCTGGAAGTAGTGATTATTTCTTGTGCCTTCAACTAGATGGCAAATTGTTGCACCACCAGCTCTAAAATCAGCCAGGAAGTGCTCTTTGTTAGAAACACACAAAACCTAGGCAAGAAATACAGAGGTGGCATTTTTCTGGATTTTTGCTACTGAGCATGTGTTTAGACACCATAAGAAGCATTTGGCTGCAAGCCTAAACTTGTACCTTTGTCTTTCCTTGGCAGGATGCTGCAGCAGCTATCGACAACATGGTATGGCTGGGAATCTTAATTCTAACTAAAGTTGCTTTTTGGTGGTACAGAGGCTCCTTATTCATATATCAGTGTTCTGGACTTCCAAAGTTACAAGGTTGCATGGGGAGGTAAAAATTCTCACATGAAAATATTCACTGTGAATTGATCACTTATAAAATTAGTTCTTACTCAGACTCCTTCGCCATTTCAGAATAATGTAAGTCCTCATCATCCTTGTTGACCAGTCTCTCACTGGCTCTCCCATGTTTAGGATAATTTGCAGACACAGTGCAAATTGATTGCACGGTGTAACTGCATATTTTGCAAAATAGCAGGATTTCATGAAGTGTTAGACCAATTTACAATTGAGAAGAGAAATTTAATTATGGCAGGTGCAAATCACTGATACAAATGATTTGGATATTCTGGAAAGGTCCTTGGGAAAAATGATGATGCTCTTTAGTATTTGTGCCTTCCTTGAGATCCTTTTAGTTTTCATGTCTGATAAGAAGTGCAAAGATACCATACTGTTGATAGAATTTTGTTGGAAAAATAATACTTCAGTGCCTGTTACTTTTCTTTCTTTCTTTTTTTTTTTTTTTTTTTTTTTAACAATCTTGAACTCATGAGTTCAAGACTTCTCAGCTTCTCAAGTAGCTGGAATTACAGGCTCAAGCCAACAGGGCTACCTGGGCTACCTGTTACATTTCTTTCTACCAAGTTACATTTCTTTCTACCGATTAGTGCATAGTTAGTCCTGAATATTAATGGTAAGAAACTTGTTTTTATTATTTTTAGTTTCATCACAGTAATTTCCCAGTCAGCCTTTTAAAATTTTTCAATTTTACCACGAAATCTTCATCACCACTTCAAGTGGAGTCACCTTAAATGACCTTTCCTGGTACCGATTATCTTTGGATAATGAGATGTTGTTTTATTTGTTGTTCTGTTATCCATTCACCAAACATATTCATCAGCTGTCAGAGATCATTTTTCTTTCATTTCAAAGCTTATCTTGACTTTTGAAGGTGAACTCAAATACTGGGAAACTGCATTTATTTTTGTAATTTTGGAGTGTTCTGAACCCAGAGTTACTTTTGGTAATACAGGTCTTTGTGTGCTGCTATGAAAGAAAGGGGTGTGAGTTCCCTGAAACCCACAGGTGGCTTTGGGGTGGCTGCATAGCTTACTGGTAGAGGCCCAGGGATTAAGGGAGGACAAATCATGAGTGTGTCTCAGAAGTATATGGAAAGCTGGCTGGCCCTCTTTTAACCTAAGAGAGTTTAAGCAGCTGGATTTTCAATCTTTTCAGAATGAATCTGAGCTTTTTGGACGTACAATTCGTGTCAATTTGGCCAAACCAATGAGAATTAAGGAAGGCTCTTCCAGGCCAGGTGAGTAGGAGCAACTTCCAGATTCCCTGTGATGTTCTGCAGTTTGGCCTTAGTTGCATTTTTTGTCTCTATTTACTTGGAAGTAGATGCTAAATGCTGCTTCCTGGTAGATAGGAGTAGATGATGGTTCACATTGGGAAGGGCATGCACCACCTTTTTAGAGAAACAAGTGAGTTTGAGCTTCTCAGCAAAGCCAAAGTGATTGTTTCTGTTATGAGAGAAATTCCTGCCTGAGCTCATCTTTCCCAGTTTTCTTGATATTCCATTCCTGGGGTCTCCATCAAGGGCTGAAATCAGCAAAGGCTACACCTTTGCTTTCGGCATAGCTATTTTCCTTAGCCCTACTGAGAGCTGGACTTCAGGGCCTACATTCTGGATGGGAACTTTCCTTACCCCTGGGAGTTCTCAGTGGGGAATTGTCTGGCATACAGGCCACATAGCATCTTCCACTTTGCTGACCAAAGCAGCTACTTTTCAGTTCAAGCTGACAGCTTGAATGAACATTTGTTTGATTCTTTCCTTTCAGTTTGGTCAGATGATGACTGGTTGAAGAAGTTTTCTGGGAAGACGCTTGAAGAGAATAAAGAGGAAGAAGGGTCAGAGCCTCCCAAAGCAGAGACCCAGGAGGTGAGAATGAAGCTCCTGCTTCCAGAGCACAGGCCGGCGCTGTCCACAGGAGACTTTTTTTTTTAAGTTTTAATGGAAATTTGCCAATATGTATATCAAAGTGGAGGGAATGAATAATGAATTCTTAGTACTTTGGTAAAGTCAATATTGAGTTCTTAGTACTTTGGTAAAGTCAATATCGAGTGAATTCAAGGGCGAAACTTTGGGTCTCTTGTCCATGTTGTGTTCTATGTGATGAGTGTCTCAGCTCTGCTCAGGTATGGATTTGTGATTATCAACTGACAGGGAGGAAGCTGAGGTGCCCCTCTTCACCCCTCCTGATCAGTCCCCCTCCTTCACTGAAGAGTTTGCCACAAGGGTCGTGGTCTTCCTATTCCTGTGCTAATGGAGGGGAGACAGAATAGGGTAGTGTCCCTTCCTTCAACCTGTACATGGGTTCAGGGTTCTCCAGTCCTACGGGAACCTGCTGGGGCACTTCCCCCTGATTCTCAGCATAGTCTCTGACAGTTGCTTCCTGGGCGTCCCCTCCTCTGAGTACTTTGTGAATGTTGTCATTCTTCTGTATTTCTTTCTTGGCTCATGGTTTCTCTCTCTTCTCTCAGCTGAAACAGTAGCAGTCTATCTCTAGTTTTATGCAGCCTCTGTTATGCTGTTGATCTTCATGGTCTCTTTCTAGTCCTGAGCTTCAGATATTTCTGCCTGCAAGTCTCATGGGCAGCTTAAGTTTGCCTAAAATGGATTCTCCCGCTTCTCTAATCCTGTCTTCCTGTGTTCTCAATCTTGGCTAATTTGCCACCATTCATCCACACATTGACCCACGCCAGAAATTTGAATGCAAATCAGAACTCATAAAGTGGCCATCACAGTCAGTGGAGTCCCCCTGGATCATCCTGTATCCTCTGCTTAGTCTTACCTACTTGGAGCACAATGCAAGGCCCAACATCTTCCACTGTCTTCTGAGCACTTAGGCCTGAGCAAGAGGGCTGCCCCCTTGCTTCCATGTAGTTAGCCAGTGTATATGCAGGGCCAGGCACAGAGGGACGAGGTGGTACATGGATGGGTCTGCCTAACTAGAGGACAGTGGGTGGGCTGGAACTGGCATTTGAAGATACTGAGAGTTGTGGATCATGGACCAGAAAAGTGCTGTTCTGTGACTGTGAAGCAAGAGGAGGAAGCAGATGCATCTGAGGGCAAGCATGATGAGATAACACCCCCGTGTGTGAGGCTCAGGTTAGCCAGTGCTGAGACCTCCTGTCGCTGGGCATCCAGCTGGGTGCTACGGCCATGGCTCCTGCCTCCTGCAGCCCTATCAGGGCCCAAGGCCTTCCCCGTCAGCACTTGCTCCAGCCTACGCACTGGAGTTGTGTTCTGGGTGGGTGTGTAGAATACTCGCACTCCTACTTAGGGCGTCAGGGAGCTCTCTCTAACTAGCAATTTCTTCTGCACCTAGGGAGAGCCCATTGCTAAAAAGGCCCGCTCAAATCCTCAGGTGTACATGGACATCAAGATTGGGAACAAGCCGGCTGGCCGCATCCAGATGCTCCTGCGTTCTGATGTCGTGCCCATGACAGCAGGTGAGCAGGACGCTGTGGTCAGAACGGCGGGACGCTGGTGGCTGAGCAGTGAGCCTTTCCCAGGTTCTTACTGCTTCACTTCTTGTGTCCTTGATATTGCTTCTGACCTAAGTTGATTTGAGGCATCTCAGATCCTGGGATCTAGTAACAGATAAGTCAGAGCAGGTGTTTTTGAAGCTTTATAAGTGCTGGCTTACTGTTTTTTAATCGTTTTTTAAAAATACAAGTAAATAATGTATTCTTTTTTTTAAAGAATAGCATATACATATATTCCAATAATATTTAAGACAATAAATTGAAAATTCATTTTCCCCTCTCTACATCCAGTCCTCAATTCTAGAAGTAACTAGTGCTTTTATTGAGTATTCTTTGTAATTTATTAAATATTGACTTCTATTCTCTTTTTAATCTAAATTTTATTATCTAGACATATAAAGAGTCAATTCAGTTTCACAAAGCTTGTTTTGAAAAAACAGTCGTCCCCTGGTGCTGTCCCTGTGCCCTGCTGCCAACACCATTTGCTGCTCCTCAGAGGAGCGGATTTCAACTCTTAGGTGTTTTGGTTTTTATTTCCATGTTGATAACAGTTTTATATTTCTACTTCCTGTTTTCCATTTTAAACATTATCTTCTGATTTTCTACTTCAGAGAACAAAGAATTAGTTTTTTAAAATCCCCTTCCCTGCCCCCTCATCTTCCCTGTATAGGTACCATAATTTTGGTTAGGTCCTAAGTTATTTTAACAATGTAAGCATCATGTGATAACCTCCTTTCATGCACAGCATTTTGTTTTGCCTGGAATTGATAATTGCCTTGTTTTTGCATAGTTTTCTGTGTAATCATTCCTGATTTTCTCCCAGACCATCCTGCTGGGGGTTTTGCATCCAGGTGTCTGCATCTTGTTAAGGGGAGATGAGGGCAAGGCTGAATTCCTCAACATTCAGTATATAAACTTTCACATAATCTCCATTTGTCATTATGGTACCTCAGCCCTCACTATGCGTAGGATGTCCTAGTCCAGAGACCCTCTGCTTTAACCTACCAAAGACTAGACCCCCAGCTGGCTACCAGGTTGGGGAGGGGTGGCCCCCAGCTGCAGAGTCAGGGAAAGGATCCCAAAGATTAACCACTTTCTTAAATGGGCTTTCAGCCAAACTTACTGTCTCCAGGATTACCTGCACCCTTTCCTCTGAGCTTTTGGAGTGCAAATTGAGTTGCTTCTTGGCTTTTACCAGCTTAAGATTCAGCTTTCTCGGGTCTGCTATATCATTTAGGACTCATCTATTTTGTTTTCTAACTTCAGAAATTTTGTTGCTGTTGTCTCTTCCTCCCTGCTTTTTAAGTTTATTTTTTGGCTATTTTAGCCACTTTAAAGTGTTTGTTAGCAGTAATTACTCTGTTCGAAATTTTTGAATCATCCTAAACAAAACCACTTATTAAAGGTACCTATTAAATAATAACTCCCCATTTTCTCCTCCCCTTAGCTTCTGATAACCTCTAATCTTTGTGTCTATGAATTGGCCTATCCTAGATTTTTCATGTAAGTGGAATCATACAATAGCTGTCCTTTTCCACGCCTTGTTGATTTTGCATAGCATAATGCTTTCAAGGTTCATCCTTGTACCATGTATCAGTGCCTCATTCCTTTTTGTGGCTGAATAATATTCCGTTGTATTTGGATAAATATCTTGTTCATTCATTTGTTGATGGGCACTTGCACATTGTTTTCACCTTTTGACTATTGTAAATGCCTGTGTGAATATCCACATGTAAGTATATGTTTAAATTCCTGTTTTCAATTCTTTTGGATATATATGCCTAGGAATGGAAATGCTTAGTCATATGGTAACTCTGTATTTAACTTTTTGAGGAAATGCCAAACTATTTTCCACAGTGGCTGGACCATTTTACATTTCTACCAGCAATGTATGAGTGTTTCAGTTTTTCCACATCTTCTCTTTTTTTTTTTTTTTTTTTTTTTTTGAGACAGAGTCTCGCACTGTTGCCCGGGCTGGAGTACAGTGGCGTGATATTGGCTCACTGCAACCTCCGCCTCCCAGGTTCAAGTGATTCTTGTGCCTCAGCCTCCCGAGTAGCTGGGATTACAGGCGTCTGCCACCATGCCCAGCCAATTTTTTGTATTTTTAGTAGAGACGAGGTTTCACCATGTTGGTTGGCCAGGCTGGTCTCAAACTCCTGACCTCATGATTCGCCTGCCTCGGCCTCCCATAGTGCTGGGATTACAGGCGTGAGCCACCATGCCTGGCCCACATCTTCTCTTAACAGGTGTGACATGGCATCTCATTGTGGTTTTTATTTTTATTCCCTACTGACTAATGATGTTGAACATCTTTTCATGTGCTTGTTGACCATTTGTATATCTTCTTTGGAGAAACATCTTTTCAAATCTTTGGCTTATTTATTAACTGGATTGTTTGTTTTGTTTTTTTTAAGAGACAGGGTCTTGCTCTGACTCCCAGGCTGGAGTGCAGTGGTGAGAACATGGCTTACTGTAGCTTTGAACCCTTGACCTCCAGTGATCCTCCTGCCTTGACCTCCCAAAGCACTGGGATTACACCGTGCCTGGCCATTTTGTTGTTGAATTATAGGAGTTCATTATATATTCTGGATATTAAACCCATGTTAAATATGATTTGCAAATAAGCATTCTCCTGTTCTGTGGGTTGCTTTGCCCTCTATTGGTACGGTTCTTTGATGCACGTCTTAAATTTTGATAAAATCTAATTATTTTTTTCTTTCACCTCTGCTTTTGGTGTGACATTTAAGAAACCATCACCAAATCCAGAGTCATGAAGATTTGCCCCTATGTTTTCTTCTAAGATCCTTTGGTTTTTCTTTTAAAAAATCAGTTTCCTACCAATTTAGTGTGGTTTTAAAAGGGAACAGAGCTCGAACATGTATATTCAATCCCCCTTCAACAGAATCTCCTATAGTCCTGGCCAGGTGTGGTGGTTTACACCTGTAATCCCAGCACTTTGGGAGGCCAAGGTGGGCGGATCATCTGAGGTAGGAGTTCTAGACCAGCTTGGCCAACATAGTGAAACCCCATCTCTACTAAAAATACAAAATTAGCCAGGTGTATGGTACATGCCTGTAGTCCCAGCTACTCAAGAGGCTGAGGCAGGGGAATGACTTGAACCCAAGAGGTGGAAGTTGCAGTGAACTGAGATTGTGCCATTGCACTGCAGCATGGGCAACAAGAGTGAAACTCCGTCTCAAGGAAAAAGAATCCCTTATAGTCCTTACAAGGTTAGTATCACAAAGGTTTATAATGAGTATCTCTTATTTTAAAACAAAAATATGAACACTAAACCAAAGTTTTTTCGAGGTTTTTTATTTTGTCCTATTTTTTAACCCCAGCGCTTTTTCCTTTCTCAATTCCAGAGAATTTCCGCTGCCTGTGCACTCATGAAAAGGGCTTTGGCTTTAAGGGAAGCAGCTTCCACCGCATCATCCCCCAGTTCATGTGCCAGGGCGGTGATTTCACAAACCACAATGGCACTGGGGGCAAGTCCATCTATGGGAAGAAGTTCGATGATGAAAACTTTATCCTCAAGCATACGGGACCAGGTAGGAGCCAGTTGGCATGTGGTGACGAGGGAGGCTGGGCAAGGGTGGGATGGCCAGGCAGGATGGAAGGACAGGTTGTAGTTCTGGCTGGCGGACACTAAGAGTCTGGAGGAGACCCAGCCACCAGACATAGGAGAACCATGCAGCCTTGCTAGGGTGGAGTTGGCTTGTTGACATTCAGGTACTGTTCATCCCCCAACCGTGTCCACAATTCCTATTAGCCCCGCTTGGATTCTGTGGTCTGCTGTTGCAGGCTCTTATGCTCTCAACCCCACTGCTCTCCCTGCCCTCACCATCAGATTTACTCAGTAAAATCTCGGTGGTTAGTCCCCCAGCAACTAGAGAAAAAACACAGAATTGTACTGAACAATCCCACTTGAAATTTATAACTATAGTTCTTAAGGGGACCCTTGCCAACCTGACCAGATTTCCCTACTTGATGCTCAGTCCCAACCGGAGATGATGTGTCCATGCCCGTCTTCACTTCTGAAGCCCTCATATCATCACCTTCCCACCTCATCTAATGCTTCACCTCCTGCATCTCTCCACTCGTGCATGCTCTTTCTTCCAATTACAGGGGATGAGCTGTCTCTCCTAGGCCAGCCTCTCCACCTGTGGACTGGATCCTGTCCCTCTCCTCTACTTAGGAACATGGCTTCTAAAGTTGTCCCCTTCTTGTAATCCATTTCCCCTGCTCTGCTAGATCAGTCCATTAGCATGAAAGCATGCAGTTATCAACCTTTAAAAAAAATCTTCATCCGGTTGCCGGGTGCAGTGGCTTAGTCCTGTAATCCCAGCATTTTGGGAGGCAGAGGCAGGCGGATCACCTGAGGTCAGGAGTTGGAGGCCAGCCTAACTAACATGGAGAAACCCCATCTCTACTAAAAATATAAAATTAGCCGGGCGTGGTGGCGCGTGCCTGTAATCCTAGCTGCTCGGAAGGCTGAGGCAGGAGAATCACTTGAACCTGGGAGGCGGAGGTTGTGATGAGCCAAGATCGCACCATTGCACTCCAGCCTGGGCAACAAGAGCGAAACTCCGTCTCGGAAAAAAAAAAACAAACTTCATCCTTGTACTCTTGTTCCCTCTCCAGCTATCACCCATGCCCCTGGTCCCCCATCTTTTTTCAAGAAGTAAAAGCATAACTTCTTGAAAACATGGTACAGACTTGCTGCCTTCGCGTTTTCTCTAATCCCTTCTAGGCAGACTTCTAGTCCCATCTCGCCATTGAAACCACTCTTGCCAAAAATACGAGTAGCCAGTTCTTGGCGATCATCTTATCCCACCTCCCAGATGTTATCCCACCTCCCAGGAGCATTTCATACTACAGGTTGAGTGTCCCTTTCCTGAAATGCTTGGGACCAGAAGTATTTTGTATTTTGGAATATTTGCATTATACTTACCAGTTGAGCATCCCAAATCTGAATATCTCAAATCTGAAATGCTCGAGTGAGCAGTTCCTTTGAGTATCATATCAGTGCTCGTGAAGTTTCAGATTTTGGGGCATTTTGGATTTTGGATTTTCACATTTGGGATGCTCAGCCTGTACTAACTCTGTTCTCCTTGACTCCTTCTTCACTTGGCTGGCAGGACTCCTGCCTCTTCTTGTCTCCTTTTACCTAGATGGCTGCTTTTTCTGTCTTTGCTGTCTCCTTCTTTTCCTGACCCTTAAACACTGAAGTGGCTCAGAGCCCATTCTTTGGTTCTCCAGAAGCCTGTTACCCTGTGCTCCGTTTTTCTAACTGGTGGTTTGTAGGGCCCCTCTTTACTATACTGAACTGACATGTGTAGGTGATATAGCCCACTGACCCACATCGTTATTTTAAAAATCAGTATTCATCTGTAACTATAATAGGGAAGAACATCAGAGGAAATAAACGAATTTGTATAATACTCGAATATGTTTCCAGATGTACATGCTTAAGCACAGCTGTGTCAGAACACAAAGTGAATTATTCAGGCGTCTGCCCCTGTACTCAAACGCAGCAGTTAGAAATGCAGACGGGAGTGTCAACTGGATACCACTAGGAGTGATGCTATTGGTGATACGGCTTTGTGAAATGGTAGATAAAGTTGATTAGAGTCCAAAGTAAAGAATAATCTGTTTATTTACATAGTAGTTACATTCCTAGAAGATTCCATGGAAAATCAAAAGCACTCCAAAACTTTGGGCTTATATGTATAATGGAATTATGTTTTAGGTGCAGATAACTGTAAACACATTTTTTACCTATACCAATATCTGGCAGGATATTTGTTGTTTTGTTGTTGTTTGGTTTTTGTTTTTTTGAGACAGGGTCTCTTTCTGTTGCTCAGGCTGGAGTGCAGTGGTGCAAGACGGCTCACTGCAGCCTCAACCTCTCCAGCTCAAGCAGTCCTGCCTCAGCCTCCCAAATAGCTGGGATTATAGGTGCACGCCATCCATAATGCCAGGCTAATTTTTAAGTTTTTTGTAGAGACAGGGTTTCATTATATTGCTCAGGCTAGTCTGGAACTCTTAGCTTCAAGTGATCCTCCCACTTCAGCCTCCCAGAGTGCTGGGATTACAAGCATTAGCCACTGCGCCCAGCCTCTAGCAGGATGTTTGTAAGGGCCAAGAGGATATGAGACAATTCATTGTGCCAGACATTGCAGAACATCTAGCATTCCAGGCCCCCACCTGCTAAATGCCAGTAGCACCCCCACAATATTTCAGACAGTCAAAAACACTTTCAGGCCAGGCACGGCGGCTCATGCCTGTAATCCCAACACTTTGGGAGTCTGAAGTGGCAGCCCAAAGCCAGAGGATCACGTGAGTTCAGGAGTTCGAGACCAGCCTGGGCAACATAGTGA
Source organism: Homo sapiens (assembly GCF_000001405.40). Classification (NCBI taxonomy): domain Eukaryota; kingdom Metazoa; phylum Chordata; class Mammalia; order Primates; family Hominidae; genus Homo; species Homo sapiens. The sequence goes on from NC_000001.11 coordinate 39,751,921, forward strand.
GACCCTATATCTACTGAAAAAAGAATAAAAAAATTATCCAGGTGTGGTGGTGCACGCCTGTAGTCTCAGCCGCTTGGGAGTTGAGGTGAGAGGATTGCTTGTGCCCCAGAGATTGAGGCTACAGTGAGCTGTGATGCACTCCTGTACTCAGCCTGGGTGACAGAGTGATCCCCATCTCAAAAAAAGTAAATTCAGATTTCCAAAGGTTTCCTAGGGACAGGACACCAACCCCACTGAGAAGCAGTGCCCTAAGCAGTCACACCCGGTCCCAGGGCTTTCAGCGGTATCTCTGAGTTAAGTTTGTGCAGACTGGCATCTGCATGCTGATGGCTCCCTGAGCTCCAGACTCCTGTCCAACTGCCTGCCTGTTGTCTTCACTGGATATCCCACGAGCATCTCACACTTTACATGTCTAAAACAGCTCTTGGCCTTCTCCCCTAAACTCTTCCTCCTCCTCTTCCCTGTTTCAATAAATGACTCCACCATCCACTTAGCCGCTTGATCAGAAACTTAGGAGTCATTGTGGACACACACACACATACATACATGTACACATACACACACAGACACACACATATACATGTACATTCTCTTACGTGACAAATGTCCATGTTACCAGGCCTCACTGTGTCATAGCTGTCATTTTGAATGGCTCTTTTCCACTGATTGTGAGCTCCACCAGAGCTTGGACTATGTTCTGCTCATCAGTGTTCCCAGGGCTTAACAGGGACCTGGTTGTCAAGTAGACACTTAATTGTTAAATAAATGAATTAATGAAAGAACAGACCAGTATAAAGTGATTGAAACACCTCACTTACCATTTCACTGACTATTAACTGAATCCAAGATAAGGTGGCCGCATTTGCATGTGATCTGTGCATCCCCGAGTCTGAGCCTGACTGGCTGAAGGGCTGTCAACAGCCTGCACAGACGTCCTTTAAGGGCTGGTAGCCAGGGTTCGGGGAGCTGATGGTTGTTCTCTCCCTCAGGTCTACTATCCATGGCCAACTCTGGCCCAAACACCAATGGCTCTCAGTTCTTCCTGACATGTGACAAGACAGACTGGCTGGATGGCAAGCATGTGGTGTTTGGAGAGGTCACCGAAGGCCTAGATGTCTTGCGGCAAATTGAGGTATGTGGCCAGGAATGGGCCTCCTCCTTACCCAGGCCCTAGGAGCACAGCCCTGTGTGAGGGCTGGAGAGTCTCTGTGGCCTGAGAGAGATGGCCAGGGGCTGTGTCCAGCGGGAGGGGCTGCTGCTGCCCAGGTTCCGGGGTGGAAGTGGGCAAATGGGCAGGCAGGGGTTGGTATCCCTAAACCACTGTTAGTCTCCGGCCTTACTCCCTCACTTCTATTCTGCCACAAAGGCCCAGGGCAGCAAGGACGGGAAGCCAAAGCAGAAGGTGATCATCGCCGACTGTGGGGAGTACGTGTGAGGCGGCACTCTCTCTGCTTCCCCCTCCGCTCTTGACCCTGCATATCCAGGAAGGAACTGCCAGCCTCAGAGGAGGCAGCACCGAGGGTGCCTGTTTGAAGCAAGCAGCATTTGGGATATGTGCCCTTCCTCAGGGTCTGCTTGGAGCAGCTCCTCTGCAGGCACAGCCTGGACTATTCCCAGGCACAGCTGTGGGCCCAGGAGCCAGCTCAGGTGCTCCCCTCCACCATGGGCAGGCTGTGCAAAAAGCCACTGGCTTTTCTCAGCATTTGCTGCTGGGCCTCTCCTGGGACTACCAGTGTGGCTCTTACGTGTTTTCTTTGCTAAAATAAACCCTAGTTCTTATATTGCTCTTCCTGCTAGTTCTTGGGAGTTGTCAGAGATTGTGTCTGTGGCTAAGCTGGACCTCTGAGGCAGGCTGGTGAGTGGGGAGAGCAGAGCATCTTTTTCACAGCTTTCATTTCCTCCCTTGGGCCGATCCCCTTAGATGTCAGGTGATGTATCTTCACACCAGGCATCGATGTCAGGGCAACGGAAATTAAAGACTGGAAAGCTCCGGTCTTCTGCTGCCTCTGCTCCTAAACCCAGCTGCCGGCCTTACAGCCAGCAAGTGTACTCTCAGTGGTTCATTTGTTTATTTGTTCACTTTCACCCTACAGATTTTAAAAAATGAAATTTTTATAACTCAAAGTGCCTTCTCTGTGCCAAGTACTATGCCTATTTGTCAGGAGACAGGAAGCCAACAAACTACATGTGCCTAATCCAGCCCACTGCCTGTTTTTATGAATCAGGTTTTATTGGAACACAGCCACGTCCATTTATTTACATATTGTCCATGGTGGTTTCTTACTGCAGTGGCAGAGGTGCGTAAGGGGCTATAGACACAATACAGGCTATGGTCCCTGTATTAGGGTTTTCTAGAGAAGCAGAACCAATAGGGTGTGTATATATGTAGAAAGAGATTTATTTTAAGGAACTGGCTCAAGCAGTGGTAGGAGCTGGCAAGTCTGCAATCTGCACAACAGACCAGCAGGCTGGAGACTCAGGAAAAAAACTGATGTTGCAGTTCAGCTCTGAGGCAGTTTGGAAGCAGAATTCTTCCTCCAGTGATCTCAGTCTTTTTTCTCTTAAGAATTTCAACTGATTGGATGAGGCCTACCCACATTATGGAGGGTAATCTGCTTTACTCTCTACTGACTTAAATATTAATCCATCTAAAAAATAGGCCAGGCATGGTGGCTCATGCCTATAATTCCACCACTATTGGGAGGCTGAGGCAGGAGGATCACTTGAGCCCAGGAGTTCAAGACCAGCCTGGGCAATGTAGAGACCCCCATCTCTAGGGGGAGAAAAAAAAGCCAGGTATGGTAGTGCACACCTATAGTCCCAGCTACTCAGAAGGCTGAGGTGGGAGGATCGCTTGAACCTGGGAGGTTGAGGCTGCAGTCAGCCATGGTCATGCCACTGTACTCCAGCCTGGGTGACAAGAGGGAGACCCTGTCTTGAAAAAAAGAAACCATCATCACAGCAACATCTAGACTAGTGTTTGACTAAAAACTGGATACCATGGCCTAGCCAAATTGACACACAAAATAGACCATCACAGTCCCAAGGCCTAAAATACTTACTATCTGAGCCTTTACAAAACAGGATTGCCAGCCACTGAAGAGAACAAATGGTCCCACCCCCTGCTGAGCTCACAGTCTGGCTCTCCTGTGTGCAGCCACTTCTTGGAGCTGGCTTCTCTCCACTCCCCCTCCAGATGCTGGTCAGCCAGGCGGTTATAAAGAATCTCATCTGCTGAAGGCTTTTAGCAGGGACTGAGTCCTGTAGCTGTTGGACACCTCCTGTGGGTTGGGTCACTCAGACCATTCAGAATCCACTGAGCTGAGCTTTTGCATCTTGGATTGAGATCTGGATGAGCCAGGAGGCAGGAGAGGCTAGGTGGTCCTCATGACCCTAGGATAGCTCTTGCTGAGGGATGGTGGCATTCTGCCCTACCTCTGGCTCCCATGTGCCGACTGGACTTTGTGAGCTCCAGCTGCTACAGTTGACTGAGTTCAGGCTCCATGTAGCTGGGATATACTACATGGTTACCCCTCACCCCTATGGAGCTTCCAAAAGAGACCCTCCCTCAAAGCACAGCCCCTTCTCTGAGTGCAAATAATGGCCATCAGAGGTCAGTCACAGGTGTTAGGCAGGCATCTATGAAGCTGGGGATGATAGCACTGACTTCAGTGCTTGGACGAGAACCAGGAGAGAGTGTGTAGAAAAAGCACAGCCAGCCTCCCATAAAAGGACAGACTCCTGTGACAACCTTGTCACTCTGTTCCTCCCTGATACTCTGGGGAGGTGGAGGCCAGTGGGCAGTTCTGAAAGCTCAGCAGGTTTGGAGCCATTGGGTGTGGACTCCTCTCCCAGTGTTCCTCCTGGGTGTTCACAGATGTTATTGAATGCACACTGGAACCCTGCACAGGTAAACTGAGGCTTTATTGGCGTGACTGCCAAAGGTCACACAGGGTGGTTTGGCAGAGCTGGGATTAGAAGCCCAGCCTGTCTCTCTTCAGTAGTAATGGAGTCCTGGGAGGTTTACTAGGCTTTAGCCTCAATCTGTGGCGGCAGGGTCCACAGCCCTGGGGAGTGACACAGTCATGGTCCCCATGATTGGCCAGGACCTGTGTGGAGAGACACAGGAGACAAGACCCTGCTCTTCCAGGCCAGAAGGGAGGGGAGCCCCAGAGCTGGGCAGTGGCATGCCCCACAGCCTGGCCACCTGCTTCGGCTACGCACCATGCAGCAGCTGCACCTGGCTGCCTCGGGAAAACTCTGACCTCTCTGGGAAGTGGAGCCAGTGGCTCTGTGGGCGTCCTTTCCTGCAGCCTGGAGAGCAAAGCGGCTTTCCCTGGGACTGTGTGGCTCCTGTCCCAACTGGCCTCCCCATTCCACATTCCCATTGCTGGACCAGCACCAGGACTGGGCACAGGGCTTCCTTTTGCTGATTCATTTCCCCCCTAACTCATTCAGAGTTGAGCCCCATCTGAGTCCCCACATGCTGGCCCTGAAACGGTTACAAAGGCTGAAACCAGGGATGGCAGGCCCAGGATCAGTGCTGTGGCTGTTGGAGTGTCCTCTCCAACAGCATGACAGCCGCCTCCAGGTGCTCCCAGCATCTGTTGCAGTCATGGCAGCCTCACGGCAACCTCTGAAGAAGGAATTATAGAACCAACTTTTTATTGTTGAAAATGGAGTCTTGTAGAGTTCAGTGATGGGAAACTAAAGTAGAAAAAGCACATCACAAAGAAACATATATAGTACAGTGTGATCCCAATTTTGTAAAAATATCTGTAATATGTAAGCATAGGTATTTGTATATCTTAAGAAAAAAAGCCTAGAAATAAAGCCACAAAAATATTAATAGTGTGTTTATTTGACTTGTGGGACTGTAGTGATTTGAATTGTATTTTATTTTTTATATATCCCACTTTCCTCCAAAACTGCATTATTTTTTTGAGAAGTGAAAGACATTTTTGAAAAAGGGGGTCAAGTGCCCATCCAGGGTTCCTTTCAAAAAGGGGGCCAAGCAGTTGACCTGGATGGGCAGTTCCCCCATGCAAATTGCCACCCAAGACACCTGGTGGGTACAGACCTCTCTCAGCAGGACATGGGATCCCATTGTCTGGGAACACAGCAAAGTTTCACAGCCGCTGCCACAAGTGACACTTGCTAGGCCTTTAAAGGCTATAAGAATACAAGTCCCGCCCTCTGAGGGATGCCATGTGTAGATGGTTTAGGAAAGAGCACAGCTCTGAAATAAATACATCATCACCTGCAGAACACATTTTGGTTTAATGGACAGACATAGAAGTGGCTCAAAAATAAGCAAATTCATTTGTAATAATACCAGCAAATACCTATTGTTAAGCATTTATATGTCAGACATCCCAAAGATTTGTGTACATATTTAGTCTTTATAATAGCTTTGGGAGGAAAGAACCAATATCATACTCTACAAAGGAAGAAGCAGAACCAGGATTCAAATCTATTTGGCACCAAAAATCTGCCTCTTGCTACACTGCCTCTATTCCTGTTTCTTTGGACCTTTTCCAGAACATGTTACTTCCCTGCCTCAGTTAGAAGTTAGTGACTACGAATCCCCTGCTGACTTGGCCTCAAGGCCAGTATTGCACCGCAAGGACCAAGACTGCTGGGCATTCCTCTTTTGCCTGTTGTATGCGTCCTCTCTTCCTGTCAACTGTCATTGATTTCTCATTGCTGTCAGTAGATCTGAAACAACCACCACCATCATCCTTCCAACCCTCATCTGGTGCAACGAGATAAACAGGCCATGCCCTGAGCAAAGAAAAGGGAAATGGTGGTATCTGTGCTGCCAGCCTGGGCCACCCACTGCAGATGCACATGCTTGGCTCAGCAAACGGATAAGGATTAAATTCATGGACTTTGTGTTCATTCACAATTGTTTCATTGCTCAAGGGATTTTTCTATTTTATTTCATTTGGTGACTATCTGGATGATAAAAGTTGCTGAAAGTCTGATGGCCAACTAGGTAGACAAAGCCTTATGTTTTTCCATTGTTCTGTATGAACCAGGAGGATCACGGCTCGTATTGGTTCCTGCTATGCACAGCTTGATTAATGGGTAAGGTGTACTCCATATCTACAAACCTTCAGGTAGTTTACAGACATTCTTGGTGCACCCCTAACTATGCCAGATCATTGGCTGGGCACTAAAGATACAGGTGGAGTAAAAAATTAATTGTCAAAATAACTGGCTAATTTAAAATTTACAATTGCCTAGAAGACCATCTTTGATGTTAAGAAGGAACAATTAAGTAAATACTAGGATGGCAAACAGGTTCCATAATTTCATTTTGTTGAGACAACAGTTTTGCTCATGTCACCAGGCTGAAGTGCAATGTTGTGATCTCTGCTCACTGCAACCTCCACCTCCCAGGTTCAAGCAATTCTGCCTCAGCCTCCTGAGTAGCTGGGATTATAGGCATGCACCACCATGCCCAGGTAATCTTGTATTTTTAGTACAGATGGGGTTTCACTGTGTTGGCCAGGATGGTCTTGAACTCCTGACTTCAGGTGATCTGCCTGCCTTGGCCTCCCAAAGTGCTGGGGTTATAGGTGTGAGCCACCATGCCTGGCCAGGTTCCATGTTATGTGCCAACTCTGCTTCGTGACAGCCACCAGAGCCCCACATTCAGGGTTATGAGGCTGCTTCTGGCTCACTATGAGGAGTTGGTAGACAGATTCTTTGGCTGAAGGTTGTTTGGAGATCAAAAAGTGCAGATAGAAAATGGAGGCGCAGATAAGGAAGCCACCTACAAGGCAGGTCTCTTCACCTCCAGGCCAGAGCTGAGATCCCTGTGCTGATAGGGAATTCTCCAACTTCCAGACAGCCTGGGGCTGCCCTTTGCGTACATGGGAGGGTCTCTTCCTCTGCGCTTGCACATGGAGGCCCTCCCTGGTCCAGGTGGAGGGGCTGCTGTCCCGCAGTGTGGCCCCAGCCTCCACCCCTGCTGCTGGACCAGCTTTCCCCAGGCCCCTCCCTGGGGGTGCAGCACGTGAACTCCAGAGAGGCGCATCCTTGGGCCCATGGGGAGGTGGAACCACTCTGCCGGGCTGTGCCTGTGGATGGGGCGGGCGCAGGATCTGCTTTTAATGACACGGTTTGGGCAGCTGGACTCTGTCTATTCCAGCAGGTAAATTACAGGCTTAGCAAGTCAGAAATCAAATAAACACTCCAACTCCCAGTGGCTGCTCCAAGGAGAACAGCAGTTTCCGAGAACAGCAGAGGCTGAGACAAACCTCTCCACCCAACTCAGCCTAATTACTACTTGTCACTCCCTGAAAAGGACCTTTTCTTTGACTCACAGGCCCAAGACACAGGACAGGGCTGCTGGGCATCCAGGGTGACACTGACTTTGGTGATCAGCCTGTTTTTGATGGCCCCTGGCCTCGCCCCAGACCCGGTCACAGGCTGCCCATGTTGCCGATACATGCTCGGGCAGGGATGGACTGCTCCTCAGCATGGCAGAAGATGGCAACCAGGTTTCACTTTACATCATATCTGTTGGCAGTGGCTGTGCTGATCATTTGAAAATTCCACTCAGATTTGGAAGAAAAACATTCCAGATTGATTACTGATGTCTGCCATTCAGAGGGGAAAGGGAAATGATGGCATCTGTGCTGTGCATTGTCATCCTGGGCCACCCAATGCAACCACATGCTTGCTCAGCAAAGGGAAAACTCCACAGAGCTGAGCTCCTGGTGGGGCAACATGGTGGCAGATAGATGGGTCAATTGGAAGCCCCAAGATTTTTCTGTTTCTCCAAAGTAAAATGTCCATGCTCTTACATGTCTTTCCTAGATGGCAGAGGCAAATGCAAAGCAGGAAGACAAGGGAAGATAAATGCCATTGGCTTTAGCCCTAAATCATGCTGTTCACTCAGCTTTTTCTTGAGTTGACTCCACATGTCTACCTGTGACCAGTGGATCAGTGCTTCAGATCCATGAATATACAATACTTCAGGGGTTATCCAGTTTTATACCCCACCTTGCACCTCGGGCAGGCAATGGGGAGCCAACCAGACCCTGACTACACACACCACACCCTGTGATGGATGGTGAAGAGCTCAAGGTGGCCAACAGTGGGCTCCAGGTGCCTCTCAGGTCATTCCACATCTATCTCACGACCTGAGCCAGTAAGGGGCATGGATAGGACCTCAGACAGGACTTCTGTGCCAACCCCAAAGAACCAGCCAGGACATGCCTCCGGGAGAGGCGTTTGCATTTGGGTAGAACACTGCCTGATGATTGAGACCACCTGGGCTGGAAACAGGACAGTCACACAAATGCCTGGCAGGGCAAGGGGAGCATAGGAGCCTGGCATGAAGGAGAAAGGGTCATGTACGTGGTTGTGAGGGTCCTCCCTGGCAATGCCCCGGCCTGGGGTCTGGCTGGGTTTGAGGGTTTCCTGCTTCTGAGGGGCCCGATCCAGATGAGAAGGGTGGCTGCAGCTGGGCCGGGCGGGTGGACTCAGTGGCAGCCGCAGGCCTTGACCACCATGTTGCGGTGCTTGCGCAGGATGACATTGTTGCTGCTGTCATAGTAGAGCACAGAGGTGGCGCTCAGCTTGGTGGGTGCACAGCACGCCTTGGGGACTGCGTCTGGCATCATCAGGTGCACCTGGCCAGGAAGAGGGCACAGGCAGGGGCATGAGCCCAGTGGCCTCCTCCAAGGACCCACCCAGCCCCACCCCAGCTCCACCTGCTCCCTGCCCTGGCCATCTCCAGGCCACATGGGAGCAGCACAATAATAATAACTATTAACAGGAATAAGAGCAGTCCTCAAGGCTCCAGGAGTGGGAGCTGTAGTAACACGCAGTGCCCAGGGAGGGACACATGGCAGGGGGTGTGCAGCAGGTGGGCAAGGCGCTAATGAGGGGCCTGGAGTCCCAGGCCAAGGGCTCAGACTTCCTCCTGGGGATAATGGGAAGGAGAACTGTGTGGCCAGGTTTGTGCCCTTAGTGAGGTCCCCAAGGGGGAGCCTGGAAGGACCACTTTCTTCTTTTGGCCCTTCGGACCCCCAGAGGCTCTGCCTCCCACACCCTGGCCTCCCTCCCCAGTCTCTGGGAGGCCAGGCCTCCGCCCCTCTCCTGTGCTGCTCCTTCCCCCAGAGGACTGCATCCGCCCTCAGCACTTCAAGGCCCTGCACGTGCCCGCACCTCTCCACTCCCCAGGCTCAGCTTGGACCTCTCTTCTGAACTCCAGACTTGTGGATCCTGCTCCCCTCGCCACTTCTGCACTTGGGGTCTAATGGGGCCTCAGCGGAACATGGAGTTCCTCCCGCCCTGACATCATAGCCCCCGCCTGGGAGGCCTCCTGGATGACTCCTCTTGCCTCCTCCCTTCCCTGGGAGCAGCCCCTGGCTCAACCTCCACCTCCATGCTGCCTTGGACCACCTGCCCCGTCCAGCTGCCATCACCTGTCAGGTGACCACAGCAGCCTTCACTCATCCCCTGCTCCTCCACCTTCCACCACCACCCCCACCCCCAATCCCAGCCTCCCCCAGCAGCCAGAGAGAGGTCCTTCTGGAGGGTGACATGGACCAGAACACTGCTTTGCTAAAGAGCTCCGACAGCCTCTTGGGTTACTTGGAATAAAACACCTTCATTCAGACCCCCAGGCCCTAGGGGAGCCGGCCCTGCCCACCCTGGTGTCACCTCCCTCCGCCCTCCTCCCACTCACTGCACCCAGCCCCTTCTCCCTGCTGGCCCTGAACCTGCCAAGCTCACTGCTGTCTTAGGGCCTTGGAATTGCTCCTTCTGCTGGAACATTCCTCCTCCAGCTGCTGACTGGCCCCCTCCTTCTGTGGAGAGGCCAGGCCCAGTCTCTCCCCACTGATGGAGCAGCCACTCTGCTCTTCCTCACAGGAGGCGTCACCTCCACGGTTGTTTTGCTTTGGACAAACCAACAAACCGACAGCCTCCCCTAGAGCGCAGCGCCTGTCTGTTTGCTGCCCAGCAGGTTACGAGTGCTCACTTTAGTTGAGCCCCTGAGGGGCAGGGGCAAGGGCAGAGGAGATGGAGTCTGGGAGCTGCAGATGCAGTCACCTTCCCGCGTGCCTCCCACACATGCAGCCATGAGAACCACACGGCATAAAGGGTGGCTGGGCTGGGCCGCCCCACGCGTCCTCATCATCCCTGGGCCTTTCCAAGGAGGTGGCTCCAGGTGTCCAGCAAACACCATTTGACTGCCCAGAAAGGAAGCATTATCATAGGCTCAGAGCAGCTTTTGGTAATTTATTTCCTCTCACACCAAGGCATAGTGTGCGCACGTGTGTGTGTGTGTGTTTTAATTTTTATTTTAGAGACAGGGTTTTGCTGTGTTGCCCAGGCTTGTCTTGAACTTCTGGGCTCGTGTGCTGCGATTACAGGGTGAGCCACCGCACCTGATCAAGGCATCACCGTTGAACCTCCTAAGGGGAAAACATAAGGCTGTGCAATACCAGGAACTGGGATTCTAGGTAAAAAGTTCTAGAAGGAAGCCTCGGTGCCAGAATCCACAAACACACAGAGCACTCAACAGTGAGCAGCACCAGTGATCCCATCAGAAACCTGCTTTTGTCCTTTAAGGTTGCCCCAGATACCAAGGCATCAAAAGCCAGGGGATCCAGAAAAAACAAAGATGGCCAAGAGAGAAACTGGGGGAAAAGCCAAAAGGTTGAGAGCCACACCATCTAGAAGCTTCCTGCCTGCGGTGCGGCACAGGTGGGTGAGTGCACACGCACACCCCACACACTGTGCACACATATCACGGGCGGTCAGACTTGCCAGCGTACTCGGCGGCCCGTGTGCTAAGATCACACAGCCCCCACACAGTGTACACATCTGTTTCATGTGCTGTGCCTCTGAGCGCTGCACACAGGTGCGTAAGTGTCCCACAGGAGTTTGTTCGGTGCATAGAACAGGCATGTGTACACGACTGTTCACGTATGTCCGTGTTTGGGTGCGAGTCTACGTGTAGTGTGGCTGTATAAGGACCAGTTCCTGCAGAGCTGTGGGAAGTTAGCGACGTTACTGACTGTGCAGACAAAGCCCCCTGAGACGCGGAGCAGGTGGCCTCACTGCCCTCCCAGCCAGCTGGACCAGACCCCTCTCCACAGGGCCCCCCACCCCAGGGGGCTGGGCAGGATGGGCATGGTACTGACCAGGGACTGCAGGATGGCGTGGTTGGTGGCATTCATGCAGGAGTCCAGTGGGAAGGAGCACTCCCCCTCACAGTAATAGGCCGAGTAGCCTTGGGGAGCGATGACCCAGTCCTGGGGGGCAAGGGAGAAGGTGAGTCCCATCCATGTGCCCCTCCCTGAGCCTCAGGGCCCAAACCCATCCTCCAGCCCTGCAGGGCCGTCTCCCCCAAGAGGCTTGAATCCACCCAGGAACCCCCGGCAGAAAAGGCTGGGCAGGAGCTCAGGCCCAACATCCCCCATATCTTCACTTTGCGTCCCCTCCCCAGCCGGCCCTCCCCTGCCCACGCCTCCCAGAGCTGCAGTCGTAGCCAATGCAGGGAGGTCTCAGTTACCCTGCAGCAATGCTGACAGCTTAGTTGGTTGATTCAGTCTTCATTTTCATGGTTTTAAAAAAAACAAAAAACTGAACAAAAAAAAAACCCTTTCTCACCATATTCTCACTTTAGAAAACTTGGAAAACACAGAAGAAAAAAATACATAAGAAAATTGAAGTCACCATGATTCTATGTCCTCCCTGCAGATTCACTTCTGATCTACAGGTGGTGATTGTCATTTCAGAAACAAGAAGAGTCAGCAATTACCAGCCAGCCGAGGTCCTGGAAGCTGACGTAGAGCTCGTGCCGACGGCAGACCTGCCGGCCGTGGGAGCCGTGGACGTCATCTGCAGGGACAGAAGGGGCAAGGTCTTTTCTGGGGTTCCTACTGTGTGCAGCTACTATGGGGTACCAGGGTGGGGGATGCCCTGATGAGCACATTTGTCAAATAAATGAATGACAGGAAACCATTTGGTCTCATAAAGCCCATCCCTGGAACTCTGCTTGTACCATGACCCAGCTCAGAAGCCTGCCATGGCTCCCAATGGCTAGAGTGACACTGTGCCCAGTCCTCCCCTGTCCTTCAGCCTATGAGCATCTTTATGCTCCAGTAAACAGCCCAGCAGGACCCTCGGCCATCCTGTGCCTCCTCCTCTCTGGAGACCCCTGTGACTCCAGCCCACCCTCTCCTGCCACACCCATTCCCGAGGTTCAAGTGGCTCACGACCAGGCCAGTCAAGGGCCGACTCCCTGGGAAGGAGGGCACGGGGTTGGGTCAGGCCTGTCCCTGATCCTGAAGGGCTTGGCCCAGTTGGGGAGAAAACTCGCATAAGCAACCGAGGATCCCACAGGGTGCCCAGGCACAACCGCAGGTCATGAGGGGCTGCGGCTCCCAGGGAAGGGGCAGCTGATTCTGAAGGAGGCTCCTGAGAAAGACCCGGAGGAGCCAGGGGGAGAGAGGGAGACTTCTGGGCAGCAGGGACAGCCAGGACAGGCCTCCGGAGTGCCGGTCACCAGGGTGCATCAGGGCCAAGATGGTGTCAGGAAAGGTGGCTGGAGAGTGGCCGTCAGCTTGAACCGACCTGAGCCTGAGGGCTCTGGGCCACCACTTGGTTCTCGCCCTGCCTCTCTCAGCCAGAAGCCCACAGGGCCTCGGCCCCAGCCTGCCCGACCCTCACCAAAGATCCCTGGGAGTCGGTTGGCCTGCGGCAGCTCGTTGCTTTTCTTCGGCTGCCTCCTCCTCAGTGGCCTCACTGCCCGAGGGGTGCGGATGGGACTCGGACTGGCCCTGAAGAAAGTGACCACGAAAGGCTGTTGGGAGCGTGGGGCCCGTTGACCCAGCAGGCCGGCCAGGCCAGGATCCACGCTGTGCCCTGAGACAGAAAGGAGAGAGGGGTCACTCACGGGCAGTGGCCCTGCAGCAGACACAGCAGCGGTCTCTCTGCCGGGGCCTGGGCAGGTCCAGGAGCGTGGAGGCTGAGGACCCAAGGGGTCCTGCTGAGCCTCAGTTTCCACATCTGAAGCCTGGAGTCCTTGGTCCAGCCCCAGCCAGTCCACGTCTCTCCTGGGGACAGATTTGGAGGAGGTGGGAGGGGGTGCTCAGTGAGCTGCAGGCGGTGTTATTAGTGACAGCTGCGTCACAAATAATAACATTTGTGAAGTGTTTTACAAGTTGGAAGATTTTTCCCATGGATCACCTCATTGGGTCCTTACAGTGACCCTGCAGCTCCTACTTCACAGGAGACCCAGAGTCCTACTGCCAGTGACTCCGAGAACCAGCGCTCCCACCTTGGTCCAAGGACCCCGAGACCTGTGTTCTGTCTTCCGTCCCGCACTTTCTGGGGTGTGAATGTCAAACTTATCACCGAGACAGCTCGTGGTAGCATCTGCCAGGTTGAGCGAGTGCTTGTTCTGCTGGGCACAGCCCAAGAGCAGGGCATTAACTGTCTCCCTGATGCCCACAAGGGAGATGCCAGGCAGAGCAGAAACATTGAACCAAGTCCCAGAGCCCAGGTTGCAGCCTGCGGCAGTCTCATTCCAGAGCCCGAGTTCTTATGCACGAGCTGGGCTTATGGACAGAAAAGAAAGAAAGAAAAGGCTGAAACAGAGATCTGACTTGGGCCTCAGCCCCAGGAGGAGTGAAGCCTGTAAACGGGATTGTCCCCCACAGCCGCTTCCAGACTGAGGATGCCGCTGAAAACATGATAACTAACCCTGGAGATGCCAAGCCTCACCAATAAAACTGTGTATCATCCTGTACTTGTTTGGATTTCAATAACCTTTCTATTGTAAAAGCAATTAAGTAAAGAAACTTTTGAGGCCAGGCAAGGTGGCTCACGCTTGTAATCCCAGCACTTTGGGAGGCCGAGGTGGGAGGATTGCTTGAACCTAGGCATTTGAGACCAGCCTGGGCAACATAGTGAGACCCTGTCTCAACAAAAAAATAAAAACAAAAATGAGCTGGGCATGGTGGTGAACTTCCCGGGAAGCTGAGGTGGGAGGACTGCTTGAGCCTGGGAGGTTGAGGCTGCAGTGAGGTGTGATTGTGTCACCACACTCCAGCTGGGCGACAGAATGAGAGTGTGTTTCAAGAAAAAAAAAACAAAACACAAAACTTTTTCTGGTTGTTTAAATAAGTCTCCACAATAAACATTTCAAATTTATAAAATCCCTTGGAGCAGTATACCGTAATTGACTTGATATTGGCTCATCATAGACATGTAGGTTATTTCCCGGCTTTCATGATAAAGATGGGAGTGCAATGGAGCCTCTTCACTCCGTGCATGGGTGAAATTTCCTGATACTGAATGGCAGAAGCATGATTACCAGCTCATTTTCATGTCTCTTTAAACAGTGCCAGTTGTTCAGTTTACACGAAAGTACATTTCACCTCCATGTTATAAGCACAGATGTACACACGTATGTACACACAGGCATATGTTTGCATAAACACACAGATGCACATACGCTCAGACAGACATCACACACACAGATGTATTTATTCCTACGTAGTTCTCCAGTACACCCTACAGGCCAAGGACACTGCCTGCCCCACCCTCAGTCCCACTCAAAGGTCAGCCCTTAAGCAGCTGTGCCTCAGCCCTGGTGTCCCTTGGCCACTTGACTGAACAACCAGTGAATCCAGAGACCAACCTTTGACCCGTGACATCATCCGCCACAAACAAATGCACTGGCAGGAGAGGCTCCCTCCCTCTCACGAGCATGGACAAGAGCTGCTGAGACAGGGAGGCTGTGAGCTGCAGATGCTAACATGGGAAGGAGGCCCAGAGAGAATCCACTGGGCAGGGCTTGGTTCACGGTGAGTCAAGGTTATGGGGAAGCAGCAGAAATACAAGGAACAGAGCTGGGGCACAGAGGAAAAGACAAGTGAGGTCACAACGGAGAGAGAACAGAGCAGCCTGAGTGGGGTGGTGGTGGTCACCAGCCCGGGCACTGGAGTGTCACTCTGCAGACTGGCTGACCCATGGGGACAGCCTGGGGCCCAGGGCAGCCCTCCTGGCTCCACTTGCAGCTCTGTCCTGTGACTCCCTGGGGAGCCCTGCCTGCCATGGGGCCTGAGAGGCCATCAGTCCTGCAGGCTTTCCTCACTATTTGCTTCTGTGCAGCTGTGTTCAAGGGTCTTATGGGGGGTCTCCCAGACACAGGATAGAATGTCGCATTAGATCAGTTACACCACAGACCCTCACAGAGCCCCTCTGAGCCAGGCCTGGCTTGGGTGCTGGGAACCCCTCTGTAGGTCTCACAGGCCAGGCGAGCCTGACTAGGGAACCTTGGAAGCAGCTAATCCCAGGTTCCCATTTTACAGAAGCAGAAACTAAGGCCCAGAGAGAGCAGCAACTGTCCAAGGTCCCAGAGCAAGGTGGGTCGGAGCCAGGATTGTCATATACTTTTCCAGCAAACTGCAGGGCCCAGCTGGATGTGGCTGGGCAAGATGGGGGGTGATGAAGGGGACTAACAGTGGGTCTGGGTTCAGAGCCCTGCATCTGGCAGGCCTGGAGAAGCTCCCCCATCCCCAGCCCTCTCCTTCCAGAGCCCAGAGCCTCCCTTCTCCATCAGCTCTGCTTCTTACCCACCCATTCTTAGGCAGGACTCCCTGGCTCCAGCTGGCTGCAGGGAAGGCCAAGCAGTCAAGGTGGGGGGCTCTCAGGCTGCCCAGCTGTGGGCAGGCCCCTTCCAGAAAGGTGGAGTTGGAGGCCCAGAGGGTCACTTGTCCGCTTCTAGATACCTCAGCCTTTTCCACACTGCTCCTGGGAAACTGACGCCCAGGGCAAATCAGGTGCCCCTCTCCAGGAGCCCCAAAAGGCACCCCACTGCCCACTAGATGACATTTCATTTCAAGCCCCCAACCCCAGCCATAGTCCCTGGCCCCTTTTCCACACCCCCAGTCTGTGCCCTCCATGAGCGCCAACTCTCCCTGCCCTGCTCTCCTTCCCAGGATCTGGCCTTTCCTGCAGGGTGAGGCTCCAATGGGCCCCTGGAAAGTCTGTCCTTGACCAGTGAGAACTTACTACTCTGACCACATGCCCCCAATGGCCTGGGAACCCCCAGAGCTACACTTATGCAGTGCATGCACCAGGCCAGGCTTGGTTGTCAACAGCACGTGTGCACGCGTGCATGCACACACACACACACACACAATCTTAATTTTAGTTTTTGAGACTATAGATTCAGGAGGAAATGCCTCACAGCCTCTTGGGTTACAACGGACCATCACACAAGTGGCCAGTTTGGGCCTCCATCCCAGAGAGGAGGGCCTAAGTGTCTGGTGTGAATGATGCAGGAACAATTCAAATGAAGCTGAGAAAACTCATCTAGTCCCTTGGTTAGGGTTCTAGAACTCCTCCTGTCCTAGGCTGTAGCCTTTGGCCACACACAGAGGAAGCTTCCTGGTGGATTTCAGCACCGGCAGCCTCTCCCCTCTCAGTCTCTCCCATCACCCGGTCCCTTCCCTTGGAGATGGTCCTGCTTTCCTTCTACGGACATCTAGAAGCTTAACATCTCATAGGTCCCAGGAGGAGAGATGTGGGAGGAGGAGGGGAGGCTTCAGGGAAACAAAATTTAACAACAAAGGCCCCAGAAGAAATACCAGATAACGGATAAAAACGTTCAAGAAGGCTGGGTGCAATGGCTCAAGCCTGTACTTTGGGAGGCCAAGGCAGGTGGATCACCTGAGGCCCAGAGTTTGAGACCAGCCTGGCCAATATGGAGAAACCCTATCTCTACTGTTAAAAATATATATACAAAAATTAGCTAGGCATGGTGGCACATGCCTGTAATCCCAGCTACTTGAGAGGCTGAGACATGAGAATTGCTTGAACCCAGGAAGCAGGGGTTGCAGTGAGCTGAGACTGGACCACTGTACTCTAGCCTAGGTAACAGAGCGAGATTCTGTCTAAAAAAGAAAAAAAATTACAGTAAGCTAAGGTTAATTGGCCCAACTCAGTGGCTCATGTCTGTAATCCCAGCACTTTGGGAGGCTGAGGCAAGTGGATCGCTTGAGCTCAAGTGTCCAAGACCAGCCTGGGCAACATGGTGAAACTCCATTTCTATAAATAAATTTAAAAAATAAAAAAAAATAAGCAGGCATTGTGATGTGCGCCTGTAGTCCCAGCTACTCAGGAGGCTGAATTAGGATTGCTTGAGCCCAGGAGGCAGAGGTTGCAGTGAGATCACTGCATTCCATTGCATTCCAGCCTGAGCGACAGAGCCAGACCCTGCCTCAAAAAAAAGAAAAAAGAAAGAGAAGGAAAAAGAAAAAACAAGCTCGTGAAGATAGCATGTCTTCCAATCACAAACTCACATCTTTGCTCGCCTATTTCTCACTGCAGTAGTAAAATGTCCCTTCAGGTGTACTCTGGGTTGAGTGATTTTCTCCCTCGTCAGTTTTTATCTCCATTTCATGGTTCAAGTACGAGGGAGGCGCTTGAATCAAATCTTGCTGTGAATGCACTGAGCTGTGCACGCTCTGTGTAAACATCACAGAGCAAAGCGGACATCCATTCCTCACCACTGCAGACCTGCGCCTTGCAGTGCTCGAGAAACACAGTGAGGAACTGATCTGTTTTCCTGTTGTTTTTAATTAAAGTCGCAGCTCTCTAGAGGAGCACTGTCCACCTAGGGAGGAAAGTAGGAGGCCAGTAGCAAACCCCTCCCAGAGCTGGGGACATGTATTCCCCTGGGGAACCCGGTGGCACCCGCCCTGAGGAGCGCACCACCCCGCCCAGATCCAGGTCCCGTCAGGGTGCCACCTGCTGCATGGGCCTGAGGTTCGGGGACACAGCAAAGGCACACCCCGTGCTCTTTTTGATGTCGTCCACCGTCAGGCCCTCCCAGAGCTCCCTCAGCGTCAGCTCTTTCTTCCTGTGCACGTCAAACACGGCCTTCTCGGTGATGATGCGGTCCACGCACCGCTTCCCGGTCAGCGGCATGGTGCATTTCTCCATGATCTTGGGGGTGTTGTCCTTTGTGCAGTGCTGCATGGTGACCACCACTCTGGTCTTCTGACTGGACACCAAGTCCATGGCACCGCCCATGCCTTTCACCTTCTTGCCAGGGATCATCCAGTTCGCCAGGTCGCCGTATTTGGAAACCTGCATGGCTCCAAGCATGGTTAGTTGGATGTGTCCCCCTCGGATCATGGCGAAGGAGTCGTCGCTGGCGAAGAAGCAGCCCCCGGGAAGCACCGTGACCGTCTGCTTGCCTGCATTGATGAGGTCGGCATCCACCTCATCTTCCGTGGGAAACGGGCCCAGGCCCAGGATCCCGTTCTCACTGTGAAGATGGACAGTCATGCTGGGACTGATGAAGTTGCTGGCCAGCAGGGGGATGCCTATGCCCAGATTGGCGTACATGCCGTCCTCAAATTCCAGAGCTGCGCGTCTGATGATGCGCGTCCTGGCGTCCTCTTCCTTTCCAGCGTCTCCATCTTCCTCTTTCAGGATCGTTAAGCGCTCAATTCGTTTCTCGTATTTCTGCCCCTTTATCACGCGATCTACATAAATGTTAGGAACGTGGATGTCTTCTGGGGGGAAAGCCCCCACCTCCACGATCTCTTCCACCTCCACCGCCGTGACGTCTGCAGCTTTGCACATGGGCACGTTGAAATTGCGGGCGCTTCTCCTGAAGACCACGTTTCCTGCCCGGTCGGCCTTCCACCCTTTCACCAGGGCGAAGTCTGCCCGGATGGCGCGCTCCAAAAGGAAGTGGTCGCCGTTGAACTCCCTCACCTCTCGGGGCTGGCTCATGAGCGCCAGGTGGCCGTCCGGGGTGTAGCGGATGGGGGCGCCCCCTTCCTGGACCAGGGTCCCGTAGCCCGTGGGGGTGTAGAAGGCGGGCACCCCGGCGCCCCCCGCGCGGATGCGCTCGGCCAGGGTGCCCTGGGGCGTGAGCTCCAGCTCCAGCTCTCCTGCCAGGTACTGGCTCTCGCACAGGGTGTTCTCGCCCACGTAGGAACAGACGATGCGACGGACCTGCCTGGCGGCCAGCAGGAGGCCCAGGCCGAAGTCCTCCACGCCCACGTTGCTGCTGACCACCTGCAGGTCTTTCACGCGGGTCCTGAGCAGCGCGGCGATCAGGTTCTCGGGGATCCCGCAGAGCCCGAAGCCCCCGATCATGACGGTCGCCCCGTCAGAGATGTCCTTCACCATCTCCACCGGGTCCGCGTAGAACTTGGCACGGAGCCGGGGACTGGTGGCAAAGCAGCGGGCGCAGCCCTGGGACAGCGCGAGCCCTGAGCCGCCGGCGGGGACCCCGCGCCCGAGCACTGACGCCAGGAGCCGCAGCGCCGCCATAGTCGGCCCGGGTCGGAGGCCAGGACAGGTGGTGTGAGCCCTGCGTGCGCCTCGGGCCGCGCGTCACAGAGCAGGGCGGGCGCCCGCGCCCTGACGCACTCCCTCCCAGCAGGTCTCCCCGGCCAGGCGCAGGCTCTAGGCTAGGCCCGCGACCCGCAACAGGGAGGGGGCCGGCTCCGCCCTGGGCTGGGGGCCCCCGAGTCAGTCCTCCGTGTCCAGCGCACAGGCCCGGGCGCAGGACAGAGCTGAGGTCAGGCTCCGCGAGAAGGGCACAGGCTAGGTCCCCTCCTGCCCCAGTGGAGCCTCAGACACAAACTCCAACCACCCCGCCCAAGCTTCCCCCCAGCTTCCCCAGCTCATTAAAGACACCAAGTGTCCAATGAGCAGGCGCCGCTGGGTGACACCGACGCTCATGAACACCTTCACTGGGCATCACTCTGTGCCAAGCACCCTCCTTTAATCCTGTGACAACCCGGAGAGTGAGTGCCTGCCCCACTACAGCCTCCCAGAGCTCAGGTTCACCCCTCACTGCGACAGTGGGGACAGTATCCCTCACCTCCATCAGGAAGGGTCCCTGCTCTGAAGAGGCCCCCCGTCTTGTCCTCTGCATCCCCCCGCCCTCTCCACCTCCCCCACTCCAGCTCCCTGCTCCAACTTGTGCGGAATTTTGCAGTTTTCTTCCCTCTGCACAGAATCACTGCATCACCACAGCAGCGTGCAGGCGTCTCCTCACCTGGAAAGGACCTGCCTTGTCCCGGGTTCTCTCCAGCCCCAGCCCATGTCTCTGCTCCCCTTCCCCAGCAAAGGTTCTGGAAAGAGCTGTCTCCTGCCTCCACTGCCTGTCTCCCTCCACCTCCTCAGTCAGACCCACACTCCACGGATATTTAGGTCATCAACAACCTCTGTGATGGCAAAACCCTTGGTCACTTCTCTGTTCTTGCCTTCAGTGCCCACAGCAGGACACAAATGACAAACCCTTGCTTCTGGAAACACTTTACTCTGGCGTCTAGATCACCTCATCCTCCAGGTGTCCTGCTCCCTCCCTGGCTGGTCTCTGTGGGCTCTCTGTGGCCCCTCCTTGTGAGGTCTCTGGATGTTGGAGGTCCCAGGGCTCTGGGCCAGGCCCTCTTTCTTCTCCATCACTACCCTCCTTCCCTAGATGACCTGGTCCCATCCCATGCTTTAAATCCACTTACATGCCAGCACCTCCCTCGCCTGGGTCTTCACACTCACCGGTCCCTGTAATGGCATTTCCATGAGGACCAGTGATCTCAGTAACATCCCAGGGGGGTCAGTAATATTCCAGCCAAAAGAGAACCCTTGGCCACCCACCTCAAACCTGCCCTTCATCTATCTTTTCCCCAAAAAGAAAAATCTATTGAAAAAAATCCACTGGCTCCAACCACACATCATTCAGGCTTCCTCCTGTTCCCTCACCTCCTCGCCAGCTATAAGCATGTCCTGACACTGAAATCGACTCATCTTTCTCCATCTCCACTGCTACCAACAAGTCGCTCACAGCGCCCACCTGGACCACTGTGGGGCCCCCACACGTCTCTCTGACTTCACTCTTGTCCATCTCAGTCTGCTCTCTCCACTGAAGTCAGGGGGTTCTTTATTTTATGCATATATTAAGTTTTAATTTTACAACAGTTGATAGTTACATAAAACTTTGTAAAGATAGTACAGAGGCTAAGGTGGGAGGATCGCTCGCGCCCAGGAGTTGGAGGTTACCGTCAGCTGTGATTGCGCCACTGCACTCCAGCCTGAGCAACAGAGCCAAACCCTGTCTCAAAGAAAAAAAAACTACACAAGGAGTTCCCATACACCTGGACCCAGTTTCCTCTGGGAAATGCTAATATTTTACACTAGCAGGGTACCTTTCTCATAACTAATGAACCAATACTGATACCTTATTATTAAGTAAACACCATGATCGATCTGGATTTCATAACTTCTCCCTAATGACCTTTTGCTGGTCCAGGACTCAACCCAGGACCCCACATGCACTGAGCTGGTCTTCTTAGGTGCCTCTGGGCTCCTCCAATTTCCCAACCTTCCCTTTTTTTTGATGAGCTTGGCGGTTTTGAGAAGCGCTTGTCAGGTATTCTGCGGAAAGCCCTTCTCTTTGGGTTTGTTTGACGGTTTTCTCGTGGCTGGACTGGGGTTTTGGGTTCACGGAGGGGGCCCTCTGAGGCTCAGTGGCCTTCTCCTTCCCTTTCACCCAGGGCACATGCTAGCACCGTGCCGGTCACTGCAGTGAGCCTTCCTCACCTGGCTGAGGCGCTGCGCGTCAGGTCCCCCACGCCCTGTCCACACCGCACTTTCGGGAAGCAAGTCACTGGGTGCAGCCCACGGAAGGGGTGGGGAGCTCTGCTCCACCCCGAGAGGGGGGCATCTCAGAGGGTTCTCTTTTAAAACCTGAATCAGATCCTGTCGTCCTCCACTGCTAGTAAATAAAATAAATGACGCTAAGAACCCCAGCACCTGGCCCTGGTTTACTCTGACTCAGAATGGCCCCTGGGTCCCCCGCCCTCACCGCTGCTCCATGGCGCCCCCTTGCCGGGCCTCAAACACACCCATCTCGTGCCCACTTTGGCCTCTGTATTCCTACTGCCTGGCATAAAAGAGGCTCTCCCCAGTGTCACCTGTGGAATGAACAAGGGCGTGAATCCCCATCCTGCGGAAGAGAAGACGGGGTCTGGAAAGGTAAGTCCCAGCCAAGGTCACTGAGGCAGGGCACTGCCAAGCTGGGCTTCAAACCCAGCCTCCTGGCCTCAGTGCCTGAGGGTACAGCCACTTCCCCTCCTTCCCTTCCCAGGACAGAAACTCCCAAGGTGGAGGCTGCTCCGTGGGAAGAGCCGCCTGCTTCCTGGGAAGCAGAGGGAGAGGAGGGAGCACCCCCACTAGGCCAGACCTCGTGCCCTGGACCTCAGTGACCCTTGCAGCGGGCACAGCTGGTGAGGCCGGGCACCCAGGGCCACAGGAAGCCACTACCGCTGCCTGTGCTGGCACAGAGAAGCCCCAGGGGCTGCAGAGCCCCCAGCCTCACCGTCCTCAGTCTCCACATAGAGGCGGAGTCCCAGGTCCTTGTGACGCTTCAGCAACCAGCAGTCACTGGCTGCTGTGACATCCAGCACCAGCCAGCCCTCGTCTCCAGCTCGGAGCGTCTGAAGATCCAAAAAGAACAAGTCAGACTCCCTGTGGACATGAAAGAACAATTAACCGGCGGCCGGCACAGCTGCCTCCGTGTCTCCAGGGCCCGCTGGGGGCTGTCACCGGAGTGTCTCCCACCTGACTCTGGCTGCGCCCCTTCTGAGCCTCATCTCATTGCCTCAGCCCACAGAGGTGTACACATGGGGAAACTGAGTCTCAGTGACCTGTCCAAGTCCCCACAGCCAGGATGGCAGGGCAGGGACTTGAAGTCAGGATTGTCACTGGGGCTCTTCCCACAGTGCAGGGGCCTCGGGCCAAGCATCCTTCCCATCTTTGAGGCTCTCTTTCAGCCCACCACGACTCCCTGCTGGGCTGCCTTGACCATGAGACTGTGAGGTGGGGGGTTAGGTGGGGCACCCGGGCCAAGGGGAAGGCACCTGTTGGACTGCTCCTGGACCACCTGGAACATGCTGACGTGGAGGGTCCTGTTGAGCAGGTGGATGCTGGGCACCTTGTAAATCCGGAACTCCGCAGCTGTGACCGCCTCCCCAGCCGGGATCTGGGTCAGGTCAAAGCGGAACTCCTTCCAATGGGGCTCCTGGTGGCCCAGGGCACGGTCTCGCTCCACTAGAAGACAAAGCAGCGCTGGGCTGGCACTCAGAATGGCTCGGGCTCTGGAGGGGGCAGAGCTGGTGTGAGCCACCGCCCCCAGCCACCCACCACTCAAGGTGGAGCGGACCCAGGGAGGCCTGGGTGGGGCCGGCTTCATTTAGTGCAAACGTTTGTTCCAGGCTTGGTCCCGGGGTGTAGACAGGGCCAAGAGGCCCTGCAGCCAGGCTCACCCTGAGCCCCGCAGCTGGCTGGTGCTCAGCAGGCCCCAGGCTCCAAACCCTGAACTCCCGTTGCGCCCCCTTCTCGGCCCGGCTGGTCCTGGGACTCAGAGATGAGACAGAGGAGGGAGCCTCCTCTGGGAACTTCCAGGCTAAAGGGAAGATGGACATTGGACCCAAGGCAGAAAAGGGCCCCAGCCCTGCAGGGAAACCTGGTAGACAGGAACATAACCGACATAACTGACGGCATCTCAGGGGACACAAGGCATCCAGAGCCTGCCCACTGCCTGGATGGGAGGTGCGGCAGGGGAGGGCTCAGGGCTGACAGCTGAGCTGGGCTGAGGCATGAGTGCGAATCTGCCATGGTGTCAGGGAGACGGGCCCTGCAGGGGCCGGCCAGCCAAGGCAGAGGGCCAGAGCAGAGGGGTCTGAGGGCAGGGCAGGGAAAGCAAGCACCAGGAAACAGCAGAGGGCAGGAGACCCACGTTTCCTTTCTGGAACAAGCTGGAAGAGGAAGGAGGGAAACGTGGAAAGGAACAAGAAAAACCAGGGCAGGAGTGACAACTCCCAGAGAGGCCAGTCAGGTGCTGGGGAAGTCGGAGGGTCTCACTGGGTGATGGGATCTGAGCAGGTGGCATCTGAACTGGCTTTGAAGGGTGGGATGGGTCTTGGTAGGTGGAGAAGGTGGCAGGGAGGGTGCTCTAGGGAGAGGGGACCTCGCATGCACAGGGTGGAGGCGCCCACAGGTCAGCGATGTTGGGGACGGCACATGAGCTCTGCTGCGGCCTGCCTGCTGAGGGTGCGAATCCCGGGCCAGGAGCCTGGGCTGCGCCTCTGGCCAGTGGGAAGCACAGGGGACGGGGGCAGCAGGGAGGCGGCGTGGGTGGAGGGGAATTAGAAGACACAGTGGAGGTGAGGGTAGAGGCCAGGCTGGAAGTGAGATGGGCAGCAGGGCCCCGTGGCAGGGGCTGGCCTGCCAATCAAACAAAGGCTGTAGTTGCGGAATAAAGCCCACATTTCCCCAGGTGTCCGGAAATACCCAGGACGCTATATTTAGGGCAGTCTCACTTTAGCCTCCCATCCGTTTCAAACTCTAGAAATCTGTGTTTCCAGAAAGCAGGGGTGGGAGCCGCCCAGTGCCTTCCCCAAAACCCAGCACTGAGATTTCAATGATATGTTTGTGAGTCTTTTTAAAAATTCTCTGTGGTTACTGGGCTCAGTGACCACGGTCAGGTTTGTAAAAGCACCAGGCTGTGCGGGCCGAGGCGGATGTGGGGAGCACTTCCTGTCCTCGTGGTGGGGACCTGGTCCGGCCATGGGCAGGCGAACAGCTGTGCGGGGCAGGGGATGGGGCCAGACGTGTGTGGGCAGGAGGAGGTGGCCGCTCATCCCAGCCCAGGGCGGAGAAGGAAAGAACGTGCCTTGTCCCACAGCACCCAAGGGTGTCTTTTGAAGTCTTACTTTTTGGTCAGAAATAATACTTTGAATTAAGTTTTTCTAAATAAATGTATTCTTTCACTCATCTAATAAGATCATCATGTTTAATTTAGAAATAAATTTATTCAGTTCTTACTGTGTGTACAACACTGTTCTGGGCAATACAACAATAAACAAGATACTTTTTCCACACACAGGGAGTTTACGGTCCAACGGAAGACATAAAATGCAAACAAAAAGCAACTAAAATATGGGATGTCATTTCTATTGTTCTACTGTAAATGCTATGAAGGAAACAGAAAAGGTTATGGGCTCAAGAGTAATGGGTGCTTTTCATAGGGTGCTCCGTATGGCCTTTGAGAAAGAAAAAGATTAAGATCAGACATGAACATTCTCTCAGGCGTTGCTGATAGGAATGCTGTGTAGAGGAGGAATTTAGCAATACCTAGCAAAATTACATTTGACACAAGAATTCCAAAGATGTATTGGCAAAAATATGAAAAGACATATGCAGAGAGCAATTCGTTGGTCACAGGAAACAGACCAAGCTATACCTGGTTCCATAAGCACCTCTAAATATTTATTTTCTACAAAATCATAAAAGCTGCCCCAAATGGTCTCACGCTGAACCAGCTTCTGTCTGGGGAAGCAGCAAATGAATTTGCTTTCTAAACCACCTTAATGTGGCTCCTGGGAAAATAAACAATCATGAATCACCAACCTGTGCTGATGGAAACCCTCAGCCTCCTCCTCCAGCCTTGGATAAAGCAAACTTCGGAAGCAACCCCACGCTTCCAGGAAAGGCCCTGTGGGCAGAAGTTGGCTTCCGCTGGCCACATCTGGGGCCCTGTGCCTGCCACTCCAGGCTAGGCTTCCAGATGCCAAACTCTGCGACCCTCAGCCCAACATCAACAAGGGCTCTGGCTATTTTTGTGCTCTGGGCAATTTAGTCTCACCCAGACAACCTAAATCTGTCTTATTTCTGACCAAAAAGTGGGACTTCAAAAGACACCCTCATCCTCCAGCTCAGAGCAGAATCTTGTGGCCTGTGACCCATCCCACCTCCCCTCAGACCCTCCCCAGCCCTGAAAGGCCCACAGGAAGAGTGTCCCAGGGCCCTCCCTTCGCTGGCCCTGCCATCTGTCCCTCCGGCCTCTTGTGCCTTCTACCTGCAGACGCCTCCCGCAGAGTCCCTCCTGGAAGCTGCTCTCCCCGGGTGGCCCCGTCCCTCTCAGTCCGACTGAGAAGGCTCCCAGTCCTCAGACCCCAGGCAGGTCAGGCTTTCAGCCTCTCCCGGCCCCCATGCCAGGGCTTGCTGTCTCTGGTTCAGCTGTTCCTCTGGACAGCGAGCCCTTGGAGGGCCGGGACGGAGCCACGTGGGTGGACATGGGAGGCTCGCACGTCAACTCATCGGCCCCTGTGTTTCGGGGCCCCAGAGCGGGGGTGCCCCGGCCCCTTCTTCCCAAGGGTCTCTTGTCCCCAGGACAGCGGCTCAGTGTCCGGAACTCAGAGCCCTTTGGGCTGGGTATCACTGCCAGTCTGGGTGTGGCTACCATGTCCCCATGTGACTCCATCAGAAGCCACCGACATTCCCGTTGCTGTGGACCTGCCTCCTCTCCCGGCCTGGCCCCTGAGGGTGGACAGCGGCTCCCCCAGAGCCCCGGGTGCATGGGCTGGGCCTGCCTGGCTGGTCCCACAGGCAGCAAAGGCGGTGGGGCAGGGGCACTTCAGACCCAAAAGAAGGCTTGGGCCCCACAGCCTCTGCAGGCCAAGGGAGGGCGGGACTCATGACCTGTTGGTTCTGCGTCCTGAAGGGGCTTCTCCCACCCAGAAATCTCAGCACCGCCTCAAGGCGAGCCCAGGGCTCCATGCTGAGGTATTTCCAGCCGGGTCTCATCACTGGCTTGCTTCAAGGGCTGTTTCCATAAATGGTGCTGCTCTCATAATTACCGGTCCAGGCCTCAGACAGTTCTGGACCCCAAATTAAAAGGGAACACCCACACATGCCTCCACATCAAGCCCGCCAAGGCCAAGAATAGATCCCAGGAGATGTAAGCAAGAAAGACGCAATTCCTCCAGTGAAATCCCGGGAAAGAATGAACTGTGGGAATTTTCCAGAAAGAAGTGGTCATGGTGACGCATCCTCTCTTGCCTATGGGAAAGAGGTTCCGGGAGGAGGGGGGCTGGGTGCACCTCCCCACCCTGTGCCTCAGCCCGGAAGAGCCCCCATCAGCAGGCAGGGGGTGGGCACATTCTTTGGTCAGACCTGGAAAGGCCTTCAGGCAACCCTGCAGAGATGGGGAAACTGAGGCCAAGGAGGGACAGAGGGTTTCCAGGGTTAGATTAGAGGCCCGTGTCAGATTAGAGGCCTGTGATGTGGATGTTCACACTTGGGGCCAGTGTGAAATGAGTGGCCCTGGAGTTCAATGGGACATATTGGGATGGGGGTCACCCGTCAACAAGGCCCTCCTATCAACAGACACCCGAGAATGCCCGTGAAGCCACCTTCCTCCAGGCAGGGCCCTGTGGGGACTTGGGGTTCCAGGGGAGGGCCCAGGGAGCTATGGCACCCATTGTCGGCCCGCACACAGACAGGGAGGGCCGGCCCTACTCTGTCCCACCTGACCAGACCCAGGCTCCTCCCTGCTCTTGGCACTCGCTGCCTCCTGCTGGGTTCCTCTTTCCCTCAATTTCCTGCCACTCAGGGGCTGGGTGCACCATGGGGGGTGCCAGGAAGAGTCACACTTGGTCCCTATTCTCAGGTTGTTCAGAGGTTGCTGGGGAGGAGGAGAAAGAGGGGCTAGGTGAGCCCCTGCATCACATAGACAGAAAGCGACTGGAATCCTAAGAGAAGTGCACACAATGCAGGACAGGTGCTTCAGTGACGGTCGCAGTCACATACAGGGCTTTGGAAGAAGGAGGCAGAGAAAACTTTCCTTGAAAACATATTCAAGAGGGGTGGAAGAACTGAGGAAGAGAACTGAAGAGTCACCCAGGGAAAGGCTGAGAGGCGGGAGATGCTGTGCCAGGTCACACTTTTTAAGCACTGACCTGTGTCAGGCACCATGCTGGGCACACGTGGTACGTCCTTTCTGTTCATGCTAACCTGACTGTGTTAGTTGTCTGTGGCTGTGTAACTCATTATGCAAATGTAGCAGTTTAAAACAACAAACACATATTGTTGCACATTGTTCTTAGGGCTAATAATCCAGGAACTTAGCTGGGTAGGTCTGGATCAGGGTCTCTTATGAGGTCACAGTCAAGCTGTCAGCTAGGGCTGCAGTCTCTGAAGACTTAGCTGGGGCTGACGGATCCACTTCCACGCGCTGTCTTTAGCTGCTCACCATGTGGCCCTCTCCATAGGGCTGCTCACCTCATGGCCTCCCCCAGAACGAGGCATCCGAGAGATGGAAGCCATGGTCTTTTATAGACTAATCCTGGCAGGGACCTATCACCACTAGTGTCATATTCTATTGGTCACACAGACCAGCACTGGCACAGTGTTGGAGGGGACACAGAACTCTGTGCATCTCAGGAAGTGGGACCATCGAGGGCCATGGTGAAGGCGGCACCATGACAACACTGTGGGGGACATTATTCATCCCAGGTTATAGATGAGAGCACTAAAGATCCCAGAAGTTAACTGATTTGCACAAGGCCACAACTGGAAGCATCCAAGGTGGGATTTGGGTCAAAGTCTGTCTGGACTCCAAAGTCTACATTCACTTCTCCTAATCCACGACCTCTCCAAGCTGCAGATATGTCAAGGGAGCACCAAGCGGTGCAGTTGACTAGAACGCTGAACTCTGAATGCCAGGCTGGGGAAACGTGAATTCCATTCTGGCTTGAAGGGACACACAGAAGCTCCTGAGCAGGAAAAGCCATGATGGGATTTTCACTTCAGGAACTGGCATTTCAAAAACATGCAAGAGGCCAGGCGCAGTGGCTCACGCCTGTCATCTCAGCACTTTGGGAGGCCAATGTGGATGGATGGCTTGAGCCCAGGAGCTGAAGACCAGCCTGGGCAACATCATGAGACCTCGTCTCTATAAAAAAATGTTTAAAAATTATCTGGGCATGGTGGTAGGCACCTGTACTTCCCAGCTACTTGGGAGGCTGAGGTGGGAGGATCACTTGAGTCTGGGAGGTTGAGGCTGCAGCAAGCTGTGATCGCGCCACTGCACTCCAGCCTGGGTGACACAGCGAGACCCCATCTCCAGCCGGGAGCCATGCCTCCTCTCCTTTGGCCTTGTTTGTCTCCCAGAAAACGAGAGAAGGATCTTGTCGGTCTTCTGAACTGTTGAACCCTCACACCCATGTTTGCCAGGTGGGTGAATGGACATTTCTTCCATTTGGGGATCATTTATATTGAGTTGTCTTTGGGCTTCTCTTTCTCAGTAAATGAGCAGACTTTGGGTTGGGCTGGGGCTATACTTTTATTAGCCCCCAAGATAAACAGGAAGAGGAACAGCACACAGTAGGTTTGCAGCAGTGCTTGCTAAGGAGTGTTCATAGACTGCTCTTAAAGCCCTGAATGAGTCAACTTTCTCCACACCCAGGTCTTGCAGCCATCAACTTCCCCAGAACCCTGATGTGTGCAGGGTCCAGGACTGTTCAGAAGGAACGGCTGCTACTCAAGATAGAGCCAGCAGTTAAAGGAAATCACCAACTTTTGCTTCTGGTCTTGCCACTAACCAGCTGGCCTTGGGCTAAAAACAAATAAAGCTGACATTTATTGAGCACTGACCAGCCACTCTTTTCATAATTTTACACAGATTAACTCATTTAATACTCCTAATCATCTAATGAGGTAGCTCTCCCATTTTACAGATGAGGAAACTGAGGCTCAGAGCATTAAATAAATTAGACCATAATCGTGTAAATTGTATCTTAGGTTAGGCTCTCTGGGCAACAGACACTGGGTCGGAAAGTTTACTGGGAAAACTGGAAAGTTTACTGCTTTTTGTAGTGAATGAAGGGAGCAAGTTTTGGATGCACCCACAACAAAGGCCTCAGACAACTGAGACCACACTGGGAGCTCTGGGGGCTGGTGGCCCTTTAGAGCTGTCTCTCTTTAAGGCAAGGGGGCTGGGCACTGGTACTGCCATAGACCAGCTGTTGGATGGTGGGTGTCCCCAGGGATGGTGCCTAACCTTGGGCAGTTCTTTAGGCCCAGTCAATCAATACCTAGAGAAGGGTAGGGCGTGGTGGCTCTCGCCTGTAATCCCAGCACTTTGGGAGGCTGAGGTGGGTGGATCACCTGAGGTCAGGAGTTCAGGATCAGCCTGACTAACATGATGAAACCCCATCTCTACTAAAAATACAAAATTAGCCGTGCGTGGTGGCGGGTGCCTGTAATCCCAGCTACTTGGGAGGGTGAGACAGAAGAATTGCTTGAACCCAAGGAGGTTGCAGTGAGCCAAGATCGCACCATTGCACTCCAGCATGGGTGACAAGAGCAAAACTCCATCTCAAAAAAAAAAAAAACAAAAAAAACCTAGAGAAGGACTCCCCTGTGAGCTGTCAGCAGCCGGCACTCCAGGCAGCTGGGTCACGAGCGACTCAATGCTGAAGAGAAGCTCTGGGAAGCCCCCCACAGCATCCACTACAAGGATGCCTAGGTGGAATGAGGATCTCACCCAGGCAGCCTGGTCAGATTCTGGAGCTATGCTTTTTACTACTCTGCTCTAGGTCCCTAAGTAAATGACTGGGGGATGGGGCATAATCCGCAGGCCCTTCCCTCATAATACAGCCACTTATTGAGCAGTGCCAGACACTTGCTTTGTTTTTGTTTTTGTTTTTTTTTGAGATGGCATTTCGCTCCTGTTGCTCAGGCTGGAGTGCAATGGCGCGATCTCGGCTCACTGCAACCTCCACCTCTTGGATTCAAGCAATTCTCCTGCCTCAGCCTCCCAAGTAGCTGGGATTACAGGCGCCTGCCACCACAGCCGGCTAATTTTTGTATTTTTAGTAGAGACGGGGTTTCACCATGTTGTCCAGGCTTGTCTTTAACTCCTGACCTCAGGTGATCCGCCCCCGCTTGGCCTCCCAAAGTGCTGGGATTACAGACGTGAGCTTCCGTGCCTGGCCAGACACTTGCTAGGTTTTTATGTGCCTTAACCTATTTAATCATTGTATTATGATACAGGCATTATTATTATTATTTAGACAGAGTCTTGCTCTGTCTCCCAGGCAACCTCCATCTCCCAGGTTCCAGCAATTCTCTCGCCTCAGCCGCCTGAGTAGTTAGGACTACAGTCCCGCGCCACCATGCCTGGCTAATTTTTTTTGCATTTTTAGTAGAGACAAGGTTTCACCATGTTGGCCAGGCTGGTCTTGAACTCCTGACCTCAAGTGATCCGCACACCACCACACCTGGCCGGATACAGGCATTATTATCCCAGTTTTAAAGATGAGGAAACTGAGATGCCGAGACTTTAAATGATCTGTTCAACAGCTCATAGCTCTTAAGCAGTAGACTCAGAATTGAAAGCCAGTGAGCCCCACTCCAGGGTCACTAACCACCACTCTGCTGCCCCACTTCCAGGGCCTACCCTCCTACAGCTGTGATCTACCTTTCATATCTGCTCCTGTGGGTCTGTGCATCCAGGACCCGGGGCCAGTCACTTACACTCTTTGAGACTCAGCTTCCTCCTCTGTGAATGAGGGCAGTCATAATCATTTACTCAGGGGTGAGAAAACACTGCGGAAATGGGTAGGACCAGTCACTAGGGATGGAAAGGGTGCACCATTCTGGTGGCCAGACAGAACTTTGGGGAAAAGGGACCCACCTTCAATTATTGCAAGGACAAATACCTTTGGGCATACAGTCACCCTAATAGTTGACTTTTAAGATGGATAAAAGATTTATTGTTAAATGAAAAACAACAAAGTTGCAAAACAGTGAGCATTAACGTATGCAGTTAAAAAAAAGAAAGAAAAGAAAACGCTGGGCACAGTGGTTCATGCCTGTAATCCCAGCACTTTGGGAGGCTGAGGCAGGAGGATCAGATGAGGCCAGGAGTTTGAGACCAGCCTGGGCAATATAATGAGATCCCGCCTCTACAAAAGATTTGAAGCAATTAGTTGGACATGGTGGTGCACACCTGTAGTTCTAGCCATTCAGGAGGCTGAGGTGAGAACATTGCTTGAGGCCAGGAGTTTGCAGTTGCAGTGAGCTATGACCATGCCACTGCATTCCAGTCTGGGTGAAAGAGCAAGACCCTGTCTCTGAAAATAAAAACATATTTTTTAAGCAGTAGTCTCAGTTTACATCACACGTTCCCATTCAACACAGTCCATTTCAGCAGCACACACTGCATTTAACGGTGGGCCAGGCCCTGGGCTGTGTGGAGAGGCAGCTGCTATTTTGGAGAAGAGCAGAAGATGTGGAGGCAGGGGGACAATCTGCTGTGTGGCCTTAGGAAAACCACCTATCTGCTCTGAGCCTCTCTCTCCTCTCTTTCAAACACAGATGTGACGGCAATTGTGAGATACCAATGAAGGAAGAGATGCAGAGGTTCTGGGCACGTGGGCATCGCTGGGTATCATCTCACACAAGCCCACAACAGCCCCATAAGATGAGTATCTCCATTTTACAGAGGAGGAAACTGAGGCTTGGGGAGGTTGACTGGAAAGCCCAGATCACACTGAGATCAGGTGTTGGCGTCAGGATGCAAATTCCTTGTGTGTGGGTCTCAGGTCAGAAACCCCCAATCTAGCCCTGTCTGTCCTGCCATTGTTCAGCCCCTCCTGTTTCCCGATGGGGCGTTGCTGTCTAGCACACCCGACAATTACCTTTAGGGCTCATGTATGTATTATGTGTCTCTAGACTAGAAAGTCATCTCCCTGAGGGCAGGGACTTTACTTCTCTCATTGTTATATCCCCAGCAACTAGAACTCTGCCTGGTCCGTGGTAGGTGCTACAGAACTATTTGCTGAATGAATGAATGGGAAAATGAAAGAGGTCCCTGGTAAAGAACCAAAGGAAGTGGCCCTGGGGCCCACGGAGATGGTGCCACCCTTCTAGGTCACACGGCTGGCAAGGGCAGAGCAGGACCCGGGCCAGGTCCCGAATTCCCACTCAGTCCTGCTTCTCCCAAATCCAGACGGCTCTGTTCATCAACACCCCTGTCCATGGCCACCGGAGACCACAGGAGCAAATCTGTCTGGTTCAGGAAGGGATCAGGACAAAAATGAAGCTGCCTGCATTCTGATCCTGGCTGGACTTCTGCCTGCTAGGCCTGCTTATGCCTCAGTTTCTCAATCTGGAACATGGGCACCTGCCTCTCTGCTGAGATGGGTGGAGAAGGATTCAGAAGGAGTGTGCAGAGGTGGTCCTTCCTGCCATCCTTCCTCCCTCAGGAGGGGCCGGGCTGCCCTGAGGCACTGGGGCCAAGGCATGGCGGTGTTGTGAGAAGGCGCCTCTGCCACAGAGCCACAGGGTCAGGGCTGGGAGGCACCTTGCTTTTCTGATGCCATCACCGTAGAATGGACGAGAAAGCAGAGGCCCAGGGAAGGGAAGGGCCGTGGCTCAGGACATGCAGGAGTTAATGGTGGGCCCAGGCAGCACAAGAACCTGGGTCCTGCCTCCCAGCTCAGGGCTCTCCCCTCCCTGAGCACAGAGAGACCAGGGACAGAATCCAACCGCTCCATCACTGTCCTGCCCAAGAGAGCCCAGGTCTACAGGCTGATATGGATGACAGGCCAGGCAGGGCCCCGGCTCTGACCCCAGCCCTGGCCTCCCAGTGCAGGCTCTGAACATCAGGACGCAGGCTTGGCTTCCTAAAGCACCTGCTCTGCACGGAGACCTGAGCCATGGTGGGAGGCCTATGAGAGCCCCGCCCCCTGGGTCCCACAGGCTGCCATCAAGAGTTGGGCCCTACGGGCACCAGACCTGGCTATTCAGGAGTCAGATGAAGCTGATAGGAGAGGTGGAGCCGGCAGGAGCAGGTGTGGGAGCCTGCGTGTGGGCGGTGACACCACAGTGACCCTGCTATTAGATCCCGTGGTGGCCTCTGCCCACATGACTGTAATCTCAGCTACTCGGGAGGCTGAGGCAGGAGAAGGGCCACCAACCTCCAGGGGCCTCCAAACATGGAGAGCATCCTGGTATGTGTCTAATCCATGCCCCCCCACCGCCCCACCCAGCCTCAGTAATTACCAGTTAAAGCTACTCTAACTGAGAGAGTTCTACTAGTGCAGTTAGCACAGCAGAATAAAGAAGGCCTTTCTGACAGCTGGCTGCGCCCACCCACAGCCTGGGCTTCCACTAACAATGATCTGCTTGTTAATCTCGCAGCGCTGGAGGCCCCAAGTCTTCATGAAATGCACAAAGCTGGTGTGGGAAGAAGCTGGGATTTGAAATCCACAGCCGTGGATGTCACCCCGGATGTGCGGTGTGGCCCTGGGCTGGCTATTTAACCTCTCTGAGCCCATGAAACAGGGCTGGCAAAACAGTCTCACATGAGTTAAATGAGGAATTGTAAGGCTGTGAAAGTTCACATGCTACTTTTCATTCTAAAAACAGGTACAAACACTTTTTGATTGGCTTTTAGAATCCATTTCTAGGTTTTACATGTGTATAAGACATGTGGAGATGTTCCTGTCACCTCCGAACTAGGCCACAGCTGGGAGGGCCTGGGGCCAACAGTGCCCAGGTCCAGGTTCACCCTCTGAGGGGAGCAGCACAGGCTTTCTACTCCTGCCCCTCTACCAATCACACAACAACCCTGAGGACAGATCACCAGGCACCTCATTTTACAAGGAGCAACGAAGGCTGAGAGGGTGAGGAACTTTCCTAAGGTCACACAGAGGGGTAGGCCCTGCCCAATTCATAGCAATAGCCCCACCAGGCTGTGCATGCCTTGACCCAGGGGATGCCAGGGGAGGTCGGATGTGGGCTGGGTGGTGACGCATTCTGATGGGCGGCTCCCTGGGGACATTCTTGGACGACTCCATCCACAACTCTTCTTGGTCCTGAGCCCAGTGTCAGCCTGTCCTGATGACAGAGCCCCAGCCCCAGCTTCACAGATGGTCTCCTCTGTCCCACATCCCCACCCTGTCCTCTAACTACAAAGGCAGCATCCAGATCCCACCGGCTAGAGTCCTGTCCCTGGCACTGGGCGCTCAGTGATGGTGAATGGCTGCCTCCTGCTGCTCGCCTCCACCACCAGCTCTGGGTTGCGGGAAGCAGAGGCTTGGCCATGCCCTCTTCTGTCCTAGTGTAGGAAGCAAATGGCTGATGGCCCCACAAAACCTGCTGCGGCTCAGTCCCCTGTTTTCCTCAGCCCAGACTCCTCAGAAAGGTCTCTGCACCTTGAAAGCCTGACCTGACAACAGAAATGTCATCTCTTTGAGCCCTGGATGGACAGTCAGGCTTCCTGGGCCTGTCCTGGCTCAGCAGCGTAGAGGCTGCGCTGTCCTAGGCATGGCGCTGCCTCTCTGAGCCTCACTGTCCTCATCTGGGAGATGGGGATGAAGACCGTGGCTGTTATCAGGGTTGTCGGGAGGATGAAGAATTAATGATGCTGTCTGTGGAGGGAGGCTGATGGCCGGGGCCAGGGACCCTCTCCCTCCTCTCAGCCCCACAGCTCCCCGACTTTGGGCTGATCTGTGGTCCTTGGTTCCCCAGACCCCAGACTGTCACTAGCCACAGACAGGAGGCAAAGCAGATGGGTGACCTGACCAATAGTAACTACATGACCATAGACCAAAGAGTTTAGTACTGGAAAAAAAATCTCTGAGATCTTAGGGAATAAATAGCTCCAGGGTTTGATACAAGATATTTGCAGACAGGAAAAGCCGGGCTTTGCCTGGGAGAACAAAGTGGGTCCAGCTGCCCACTGGACCATTCCACAGGACTGGACACTCACCCCATACCAGATCACATCCCAGGTGTTGGGCCCAGGGTGACAAGGCAACAGTCCCTGCCCCAGCGAGCTGAGTTTGCTCCTTCCCCAGCCGCCCCCCTGACAGCCGCACCCCACCCAGGCTCCGCACAGAGAAGAGCCTGCTGTGGACTCAGGGCACGCGACTCAGCTCTGGTCACTCCGATGTGACCACAGGTTTCCACGCTGAACTTTGTCCCTCTCCTCAGTACTGCCCTTATCACAGTGACAGCATCCCGGCCTCTGTTTACTCACCTGTCTCCCCAGGACCAGGCTGTCTTCCCGGGGCAGCCCAGGTGGGCAAAGACATCACCTGATTCTTACTCCTGGGTGTGTTTGGGGCAGGGTGAAGGCAGCGCCTGGGAGTCCACAGTCCCCCACACTCTGCTCCTGACCACCCCGCAGCCCAGGGGGCCCCCATGACCCTTAGACCTTCCCTAACCACGGCGGTCCCACTCCCCTGTGGTTCGCGTCCACCGTCTGTGACTCCCCGTTCGGCCAGGGCCCGGCACAGCCCGCGGATGCGCGCCCCTCCCCTGCAGCCAGCTTACTCCGAGGGTCCCCGCGCGGGCGGCCGCACTCACCCATGTTAACGAAGCTCATGACCAGGTCGGCGCGGCCCAGGCGCCGCTCCGCGGGCGCGCCGTCCTCGTCGTCGTCGCCGGCCATGGCGTGGTACAGGTCCAGCATGAAGAGCGGCGCGGACGCGGGCAGCCGGGAGGCGGCGGGTGGCGCGCGGGGCCGGGGCCGCCCAGGCAGCCCGAGCACCGCCAGGATCTCGCGCTGCACGTCCCGGCGCTCGCGCGCGCCCAGACGTCGCTGGGGACAGCCGGGCGGGGGTCGCAGGCCGGGGCCGCCCCCGCCCAGCGCGCATAGCGCCAGGCCCAGGAGCCAGAGCGGGCCGGGGAGCGCGGTCATGGCAGGCCGGGGGCGCTCAGCTGGGGCGCTCAGCGGGCGCGCATCGGCTCCGCGGCCGACCCAGGGCCTGGGGACGCCCCGACGGCAAGGAGGCTGGGCTCGGCGGGCGGCGGGCGGCGGGGCGGGGCGGGACGGGCGGCGACCGCGGCCTCAGCGCGGTCCCTGGAGCGCCCGCCGCGCGACACCTGTCCTGGCTCCTGGACGAGAGGACGCGGACGCCACCGCCTCGAGGCCGGGGCTACTCTGCGGACTGGGACTCTCGGCCAATCCGTCTGTCGCCGCCGTACCCGCCAGTCCGGCTGTGGCCGCGGTCCGAGCAGCGCAGGGGCGATGGGCGAGCTCCTGCAGCCACCCGCTTGGTGCGGTTCCCGCGAGTCCCTGCCCTGCCCTGCCCAGCGGTCCGCGTCGCCCGCCCCCACCCCGGGACTGACCAATGGGGGGGCGGGGGCGGGGCCTGGGAGCGGGGGCCACGCCTGCGAGGGGGCCCGGGGCTGCGGCCGGTGTCGCGGGTGGGGAGACCCCGAGGTGCTACCTGGGCGTGGCGGGTGGGCAGGCGGCCCGGGCGAGGGGCTCGCAGCCTGGGCGTCAGCGTGGTCATGGCCGTCGTGGCTTCCGCCGCGGGCCTCGGCGCAGAGATCCTAGGGCCGCGGCGCCCTTCCGGTCCCGCCAGTGGTGCCACCCGGCCGCCCCGCCGTCGCGTGCGCGGGTCGCCATGGCATGCTGCAGGCGCCTCCTTCCCGGCACCTGCTCAGCTGCTCCTCCCCGCGCCCCCACCTGGCTCCCGCGTGAGCCTGGGCAGCGCCCCAGGCAGGCCGCCCCCGCCAGCCCTCGCTGCGCGGCGTGCGCCCCCTGCGCCCCCAGTACTGATCCAGCTTCGCGGGGGAGACGCGCACCCGCCTCCTGCCTTTAGCCGGGCCAGGAGCTCTGGGGCCCTTCTGGAGCACCCGGGAGCCACCTGTGCACTTCTCAGTCGCCACGGCCCCGGTGCAGGCCTGGCAGGAGAAGGATCCCCGCGGAAATGCCTCTACTAACTCAGCCCCTTTCTGCACTCTCTGCTCTTCTCTGGGCGCGCTCTCGCCTTACTTATTCCTGTGTGGTTCAGGCGCTGCGGAAGGAGAAGGCACCTAGACTGTACTGGGAAGGCTCCTGGAGTTGACCTGGAGCGCCAGGAAAGGTCAGTGGAGGAAAGTGCTCCAAGCAGAGGGAAGAGCTTGTGCCAAGGCCCTGAGACCCCGGCGGGGGAGCCTAATAATGGCAGGTAACAGTCAGCACTTGCCACGCGCGAGGCATGTTCTCAGTGTGTGTCTTGTGTCATTTCTGTGATGCTTGCACATCGTCAGGGGGTACCTACCACTGGAACCTCCTCTTTTAACAAATGAGGAAACTGAGGCACACAGCGGTTAAGGGACTTACGCTAGGTCACACAGCAGTAGAGCTGGGCTGGGGCAGGGGGCAGCTCCTCAAGTGGAACCTGGAGAGCCCACGGGGCAAATGGCGGAGGCTGGAGGGGCTGGCAAGGGAGGGACTGCAAAGGGCCTCACAGGGGCTAGACGAGGGCCCTGGGCACCAGTGATTATGGTGCCCCCCCATGTGGATTGAAGATTAAACCTCGAAGCAAGTGTATAATGCCCCCAAAAATCACATTTAGAAGTCATCACTTCAATAAAAATTTCTATATTAAATAAATTATTAATGTAAATGGTCATTTGCTGGCTCCTTAAGCACATGCCTAGTCTGTCTTTTACCGAAGAAGTAAATTTCTGCAAGGGTAAATAATAAAATGAAATAAAATAAATATTATTATTACACTATTCAGAGCACTAAAAGAACTACTTTTTCCTGATTACAGAGGTAACTTGCTTTTGTAGAAACTTTTGAAAATAGTTTCATAATCACTTTTGCACATCATCAGGGGGTACATACCATTGGAACCTCCTCTTTTAACAAATGAGGAAACTGAGGCACACAGCGATTAAGGAACTTATGCCAGGTCAGTACAGAAAAGTAAAAATATTACCCCCAACAAATTTTAAAATCACCCAAATCCCTGTTTCCAGAGATAATCACTGGTAATATTTGATGTCTCTTTTTCTTACATGTATGTGTATTTTTTCATACAAAAAACAGGATCTTATTTGCTTTATTAGCTTCACGTTATATTGCAGTATTTCACTATGCCATTAATTATTGCACACTTTTTTTACTGGCTTCGTGGTATTTTTTCATCATATTGTTATCATAATTTTTTTAATCAAGCTTATGTTATGGGATAATTATATTTTTATATTATATACTATGTTGTTATGAACAATCTTGTAGAATAATCTGTGCACATCCATGGTGATTTCTTTAGGATGAATTTCTAGAGATGGATTTTTTTTTTTTTTTTTTGAGATGGAGTCTTGCTCTGTCACCCAGGCTGGAGTGCAATGGTATGATCTTGGCTCACTGCAGCCTCCGCCTCAAGTGGTCTTTGTGCCTCAGCCCCCTGAGCAGCTGGGATTACAGGCGTGCACCACCATGCCTGGCTAATTTTTGTATTTTTAGTATACACAGGGTTTTGCCATGTTGGACAGGCTAGTCTTGAACTCCTGGGCTCAGGTGATCTGCCCACCCCAGCTTCCCAAAGTGCTGGGATTACAGGCGTCTAGAGATGGAATATTTGAATCAAAGAGCATATACACTTTTTATGGTTTTTGATACATATTATCTGTTGCCCCAATAGCACGAGGGTGCTTATTTTCTATCACCCTTACCAACACTAGATATAACTGTTAAATACATAAATAAATCAATCTCTGCTGGTTTGATAGATGAAAACCTCTCTGCTGTTGTAACTTGCATGTGGAGGGTTACTACACACTGCTCTCTTGTTTTTGAAACCCTGTCCTCCCCTGGCTTCAAGGACGCCTGCTCCCTTGCTGACCACTCCTCCCTGCCCACTTCTAAAACATGGATGTCTGCTGGGTCTGTCCACAGTCCTGTTCTCCCCTTAGACTTGACCTGGTGATGAGCTCATCCACTGAGGCTTCAGTGCCGCCATACAGTCACACCCAACTCCAAATATATTAGTAGGGCAGGCCTTCCTGCTAGATGCCAGAAGCTACATCCAATGACCGATAAGACATGACCAGAGCCAGAAGCCAAAACCCTGGCGCAGACACACGTCCCTCCCTCCCAAGGGCAGTTCAGTCTATTGATTCTACCTTCAAATGCCTCTTGAATCCCTGAGCCTGTGCACGCCCCTTTGCACTCAGGTGTTTCATGGAGCACCTCCTCCCCACTGGTCTCCTTATGTCTCATCTCACTACCCACCCCACCCAGCCCTCACTCATTCCGCAGAATGCATATTTCCAAATGAAAATCTGAATCCTTCCATGGCCTTTCATTGCTTACAGCAGAATTTCCCCAGGTGAGGATTCTGAGGGCTTTCCTGCAAAAGGGGTTCAGTACACACTGCGCTATATATTTCCCCCTTGGTAGAGCCCTCATGCACTTAGCACTTTGTAAGCTCTAGAAATCCTGCAGTAAAAATAAATAAATAAGTAAATTAAATAAATAAATAAATAAAAACCTGTTTAGCCTTAACTTGGCTTCTTCCAAATGCATGTGACTATAGCTTTTTAGTTTTTTGAGGACCACATCTTGGGGACCAGCAAGGCACAAGGTGATAAGCGCCCAGGACCCAGTGGTCTGGCATCATCACCTGGCCCCTGCTGCTGACCCATCTCCACAGTTTTTTTGTTTTGTTTTGTTTTTGTTTTTGAGACGGAGTCTTGCTCTGTCGCCCAGGCTACAGTGCAGTGGCGCAGTCTCGGCTCACTGCAAGCTCCACCTCCCGGGTTCACGCCATTCTCCTGCCTCAGCCTCCCTAGTAGCTGGGACTACAGGCGCCCGCCACCACGCCTGGCTAATATATTTTTTTTTTTTTTTGCATTTTTAGTAGAGACAGGGTTTCACTGTGTTAGCCAGGATGGTCTCAATCTCCTGACCTCATGATCCGCCCGCCTTGGCCTCCCAAAGTGCTGGGATTACAGGTGTGAGCCACCGCGCCTGGCCAATCTCCACAGTCTTATCTGGCTGCTAACCCCATATACTTGGCTGCAGTCCCATGGGAATACTTGTGGTCCTCCTACCTGTCCTCCTGTTGACACTTCTGTTCACCTGAACATGTGGTTTCCTGTACCAAGAAGGGAAACCCCTTTCCCTGTCTGGTCAGGTGTTACCTCCCTTTAAGATGCAGTTGAAGTAACACCTCCTTTTCCTGATGCCCTCTTCACCTTCATGAGCAGAGCCATTTCTTCCTTCCTCACTCTCTCAACCACTCCTTTTACAAAATAAAAGGGCATGTATTCACATGTTTGTTCCCTGCACTAGGCTGAGAGCTTCTGCAGGCAGGGACCATCATCTTAATTTACCTTTGGATCCCAGTGCGAGGCTTGCATTTAGGGTTTCAGTAAGTATGTGTGAAACAGAGTAGCCTCTGTTTCTCTGAAATAGCCTCTGAAAACAAGAGTCTCTCAACAGCTTCAAGGAACGGATCTCGCAACCTTCATGAACTCAGTAAGAAGTGCTTCCATTGAGAAGTGCTCATTATTTCACGGGGATGAAGAACAGAAGCACCAAGCTGTGTTAAAGTGAGGAGTCAGTGGCCAGTGGGGCTCACTCTCTTCGCTGTGTGACCGGCTCTCTTGTACATCAGCAACAAATGCAAATCCATGAATCTTCATGACTGAAACCATAAGGTTAAATTCATGACTGCTAATACCTACTGCATATAGAAAATGAAAAGAAACAATTTTAAAAAGCAGAGAAAAGCTTTCCATAAGAAAGATGCTACAGGAAAGCCTGAGCGCAGTGGCTAATGCCTGTACTCCCAGCACTTTGGGAGGCTGAGGCGGGCAATTCACCTGAGGGCAGGAGTTCGAAACCAGCCTGGCCAACATGGTGAAACCCCGTATCTACTAAAAATACAAAAACTAGCTGGGCATGGTGGTGGTGCCTGTAATCCCAGATACTTGGAAGGCTGAGCCAGGAGAATTGCTTGAACCCGGAAGGCGGAGGTTGCAGTGAGCCGAGATCGTGCCTCTGCACTCCAGCCTGAGTGACAGAGTGAGACTCTGTCTCAAAAAAAAAAAAGGAAGGAAGGAAGGGAGGAAGGAAGGAAGGGAGGAGGGGAGGGAGGGAGGGAGGGACAAGAAAAGAAAAGAAGGAAGGAAAGAAAGAGAAACATGCTACAGGAATGGAGATTATCTCATGTTAACAGCGACACATTTAACCTTTGCATTTGTGATCTGAGGACCTTTTAATTATATTACAGGATCCTATAGTGAGGTCCTAGGTCATGCCTGTCAGCTCCAGAGGCCACCATGAGGTTGGTGCATCGTAACACCTCATTAAATGACTGCTGAGGGCCCAAAGGGTGTCTCACTTGCCTTTCTGGCTGGGTGCTGCTGGGAAAACTCCAGTTCATCATGTTCCCAGGGTGTGCTTACACGTCATAAAGAAACAAATAAACATAACAAGGCAGTCCTGTCTTCATGGGGGAGTCTTTAGTCAATGGGTCAGGTCACCTTCTGTTAGTAGACTAAATGCTTCAATTAAAAGCCAGGGCCGGGCGCGGTGGCTCACGCCTGTAATCCCAGCACTTTGGGAGGCCGAGGTGCGCGGATCACGAGGTCAGGAGATCGAGACCATCCTGACTAACATGGTGAAACCCCGTCTCTACTTAAAGTACAAAAAATTAGCCGGGCGTGGTGGTGGGTGCCTATAGTCCCAGCTACTCAGGAGGCTGAGGCAGGAGAATGGCGTGAACCCGGGAGGCGGAGCTTACAGTGAGCCAAGATCTGGCCACTGCACTCCAGCCTGGGCGACAGAGCGAGACTCCGTCTCAAAAAAAAAAAAAAGTCAGAAGACGGGCCAGGCATGGTGGCTCACTCCTGTAATCTCAGCACTTTGGGAGGCCACGGGGGGGAGCAGATCACCGGAAGTCAAGAGTTCGAGACCAGCCTGAAACCCCATCTCTACAAAAAATACAAAAATTAGCCGGGCATGGTGGCTTGCATTTGTAGTCCCAGCTACTTGGGAGGCTGAGACAGGAGAATCACTTGAACCCAGGAGGCGGAGGTTGCAGTGAGCCAAGATCACACCACTGCACTCCAGCATGGGCAACAGAGCAAGACTCCATCTTAACAAAAACAAAACAAACAAAAAAAAAAGTCAGAAGATGGCTGAGGTGCATGTGCCTATAATCTCAGCTACTTGGGAGAGAGAGTTGGGAGAATCACTTAAGGCCAGTAGTTCAGGCCAGCCTGGGCAACACAGCAAGACCCTGTTTTTTAAAAAAGTCAGAAGTTGTCAGATGAGTTAATTAAAAAAAGGCAAGAACAAATGACATGCTCTCTATAAGAGATGTTCTGTAAATATAAAAGCACAGATAGGTTGAAAGTAAATGAGTTGAAAAAGATATATCATGCAAAAAAAGGAGAAATAAGCCTGGAGTGGCTATATTAATATCAGGTAAACTAGACTTCAACATAAAGAACATTAGCAGAGATAAAGATGGATTCATTGCATCAGAATGCATCCTACTGAAACAGGAGGACATTATGTAGCACAACATGACAGGCCCAGAGTACACTAAATATTGTTGTGTATGGTTTAAAAGTGGTTTCAGAGTTCTCACACTTATTTTAGAAACCAGTGGAAATGGGTATTTTTTGAAGATTTCTACCTGAAATTAAATTTATTTTGTGATGCACCTGTAATCCCAGCACTGTGGAAGGCTGAGGCAGGAAGATCACTTGAGGTCAGGAGTTCGAGACCAGCCTGGCCAACATGATGACACCCTGTCTCTACTAAAAATACAAAAATTAGTCGGGAAGGGTAGCATGTGCCTGTAGTCCCAGCTACTTGGGAGGCTGAGGCAGGAGAATTGCCTGAACCCGAGAGGCGGAGGTTGCAGTGAGCCAAGATTGCACCACTGCACTCCAGCCTGGGTGACTGAGTGAAACTCTGTCTCAAAAAAAAAAAAAAAAAGTATTTTGTGAACCAAATGAGAATAGATTGGGGGTGGGGCAGGGGTGGGTGTGGAGGGAACCTCAAAGTGAAATTTACACATTGCCAAATCTGAATCAAATCAAAACAATTTTGGTAAAATCTTTGTGAGCAATGCAGAATCCCAGCAACAATTTGTTTAAACACACAGAGTAAGGAGCCTCCTCTCTGACCAGCAGCATACAGGATCTTTCATGGTGTCCTTTCACCCCTAGAGGGTTAACAGAGCAGAAGGTGCACTTAAGTATGCAACCAAGCAGCCCTTCCCTCCATGTAGCCGAGTCCACCCCTCATTGTAGGGGCACCCTTGAAGTTCATGCCTAGGTCAAAGTCCCCACACACAGCCTGGTTCTCAGCCAGCTGCAGCTTCAACTTGTACAACTAGTCTACCAAGGCCTGCAAATCATCCATGAACTGGCCCCAAAACAGCAGGGCCTCCTCCAACTTGTGCTGCCTAAGAAAAGCACACATAGGCCACTGTTTTTAGGGACCCA
The DNA here is from genome assembly GCF_000001405.40 of Homo sapiens. Taxonomy (NCBI): domain Eukaryota; kingdom Metazoa; phylum Chordata; class Mammalia; order Primates; family Hominidae; genus Homo; species Homo sapiens. The sequence continues at coordinate 39,796,036 of NC_000001.11, forward strand.
TTTTTTGTTTTCTTTTTCTTTTGAGACAGAGTCTCGCTCTTTTGCCAGGCTGGAGTGCAGTGGCGTGATCTCGGCTCACTGCAACCTCTGCCTCCCAGGTTCAAATGATTCTCCTGCCTCAGCCTCCCGAGTAGCTGGGACTACAGGTGCCTGCCACCACCCTCAGCTAATTTTTTTTTTTTTTTTGTATTTTTAGTAGAGACAGGGTTTCACTGAGTTAGCCAGGATGGTCTCGATCTCCTGACCTTGTGATCTGCCCGCCTTGTAAATGACACTATCAACAGAGTGAAAGGCAACCCACAGAATGGGAGAAAATAGTTGCAAATCATATATCTGATAAGTGATTAATATCCAGAATATATATGTTTATTTTTTTCAGAATATATATTTTAAAACCTCATACAACTCAACAACAATAAAATAAACAACTCAGTTGTAAATAGGCAAAATACTTAAAAAATCCTCCAAAAAAAGATCTACAGATGGCCAATAAGCATATAAAAAGATGTTTAATCTCACTAATTATTAGGGAAATGCAAATGAAATCCACAATGATACCTCTTCATAATCATTAGAATGGCTATTATTTTTTTAAAAAACAGAAAGTAACAAGTGTTGGTGAGAACATGGAGAAATTGGAACCCTTGTGCATTGCTGGTGGGAATGTAAAATAGTGCAGCTGCTGTGGAAAACAGGATGGCAGCTCCTCAAAAAATTAAATATAGGGCCGGGTGCAGTGACTCATGCTTGTAATCCCAGCACTTTGGGAGGCTGAGGTGGTGGATCACCTGAGGTCAGGAGTTCGAAACCAGCCTGGCCAACGTGGCAAAACCCCATCTCTACTAAAAATACAAAAAAATTAGCTGGGCATGGTGGCATATGCCTGTAATCCCAGCTACTTGGGAGGCTGAGGCAAGAGAATCACTTGAACCTGGGAGGCGGTGGTTGCAGTGAGCTGAGATCGTGCCACTGCACTCCAGCCTGGGCGACAGAGTGAGACTCTGTCTCAAAAAAAAATTAAATATAGAATTACTATAAGATCCAGCAGTTTCACCATTGGGTATACTATATATAGATACTTTATAGATTTGCCTTACAAGAATGGAAGGGAGGGAATCAAAAAGAACAAATATTTACACATCCATGTTCATAGCAGCACTTTTGACAGTAGCCAAAAGGTAGAAACAGCCTAAATGTCCATCAACAGATGAATGGATAAATACATATTGTATGGCTATACAAGAGAATATTATTCAGCCTTAAAAAAGAAATGAAAATCTGACACTCACTACAACATGGATGAACCCCGAAGACATTATACTAAATAAAAGAAGCCAGACACAAAAGGACAAATATTGTATGATTCCACTCATGTGAGGTACTTAAAGTAGTTATATTCATAGAGACAGAAAGTATAGAATGGTGGTTGCCAGTGGCTAGAGAAAGGGGAGAATGGGGACTTACTGTTTAATGGATACACAGTTTCAGTTTGGAGAGATGAAAGAGTTCTAGAAATGGACAAGGCGATGGCTGCAGACAATGTGAATGAACTTAATGCCGTGAACTGTACACCCCAAAATAGTTAAAATTGTAATTATATATTTTGCTATAATTTTTTCTGAGACAGAGTCTCACTCTGTCACCCAGGCTGGAGTGCAATCATAGCTTATTGCAGCCTCTATCTCCCAGGCTAAAGCAATCCTCCTGCCTCAGCCTCCTGATGGGACTACAGCTACGCCATCAGGCCTGGCTAATTTTTTTTTTAATTTTATTTTTAGTAGAGATGAGGTCTTACTATGTTGCCCAGGCTGGTCTTGAATTCCTGAGCTCAAGCAATCCTCCTGCCTCAACCTCCCAAAATGCTGAGATGACAGGCGTCAACCACTGTGCTTGACTCATAATTTTTTTAAGTGCTGTAATCCCAGTGCTTTGGAAGGCTGAGGTGGGAGGATCACTTGAGGCCAGGAATTCGAGAACAGCTTGGGCAACATAGCGAAGCTCCATCTCTACAAAAAAAAATATTTTTTTAATTAGCTGGGCATGGTGGGACCTGACTGTAGGGAGGCTGAGCTGGGAGGATCGCTTGAACCCAGGAGTTCAAGATTATGGTGAGCTATGATCATGCCACTGCCCCCCAGCCTGAGTGACAAAGCAAGACCCTATAAAAAAAAAAAAAAAAAAAGACCAAGAGTAATGCCTACCAGGGGTGTCCAATCTTTTGGCTTCCCTTGGCCACATTGGAAGAAGAATTGTCTTGGGCCACACATAAAATACACTAACACTAATGATAGCTGATGAGCTTAGAAAAAAATTGCAAAAAAACCTCATGGTCTTTAAGGAAGTTTCTGAATTTGTGTTGGGCCGCATTCAAAGCTGTCCTGGGCTGCATGTGGCATGTGAGCCTCGGGTTAGACAAGCTCGGCCTTGACATTTGTACTCAAATCACTCTCTAGAATGGACTAAGCAGAGTGCAGGCGCAGGTACAGAGCACCTCTGACATCTTATAGTCCAATAACCATGCACATGGACACATCCTAGTGACCTGAAGCCTTTATTCATTCCTTCTACCCCTCCTGTGGTAAAGGGTGGTGGATGGTTGAGGGTGAAGCAAAGGTTAAGTCAAGACCACCTGCTCTGGCCAGGCATGGTGGCTCACATCTGTAATCCCAGCACTTTGGGAGGCCGAGGCGGGGGGATCACAAGGTCAGGAGTTCAAGACCAGCCTGGCCAACATGGCAAAACCCCGTCTCTACTAAAAATACAAAAATTAGCCAGGCATGGTGGTGCATGCCTGTAACACCAGCTACTTGGGAGGGTGAGGCAGGAGAATTGCTTGAACCCTAGAGGAGGAGGTTGCAGTGGATGGTGCCACTGCACTCAAGCCTGGGTGACAGAGCAAGACTCCGTCTGGGGAAAAAAAAAAAAAAAAAGAGCACCTGCTTTGCAGTCACACAGACAGGGGTTCACATCAAAGCTCCACGTGGGCCGTGTGACCTGGAACCTCTCTGGGCCTCTGACTCCTTGTGTGTTGGATGGGATCATAATTGTACCTGCCTAGAGAGCTGGGGTAACAGCATTACACAGGGCCCATGCTCACGCAATGAGTGAGTAAAACCATCTTCCAAAGGAAGAGGGCCTCCAGAGGCAGATGTGGGCATGGGCACCGCAGCCTGGAGTCGCAGCTCCTCCACTCCTGGCTTGGACCTCTGAGCCTCACTTCCTCTCCTGTAAAACACGCATGAGACACACCTGCCTCGTGTGGGCCTGGGCCGCTTGCTATTACTAATAAAACAGCAGCAACCACAGGACAGCTTCACTTCCGGAAACTCCCTCTGTCACGTGCTTTGCATGAATCCTCACACCGTCTCACTAGGGGCGCTCTCCCCGTTTCACCAGTGACTTGGTGACAACCAGCCTTGCTCACGAAGCGTCAGCCGTATCCTTTCTGTGTGCAGTGGGGTGTGGGTTGTGTGGAGCCGCGGTGTCTGTGGAATTCACAGGCTGGGGCCGGAATCCATGGCCCCCGTCGCCGCTGCCACCCCCCAGGTGCTGGGGTGACCTGATCCAGGGTTGGGGTCTAAGCTGCTGGGGGGTTGGAGTCTTGGGCTCTGGCCCACGTCCGCCTCTGATTGGTTCTACCACCTGAGCCGGTCACTGACCCTCCATGGGCCTCAGCTTACCCTATGGTAAAGTGAGAACTAGGGGGTCAGACTCCTTGATCACCAAGATCTCTGACCACAGCCAAGGCTAAGGGAAGCGCAGGAAAACGTGGGGCTCGTCCAAATTCCCAGCCTCTCTCTGCCCCCTGGTGGACGCCGGCAGCCTAGCACCCGGGGGGAGATGACCCCGACACTGTGTGACCTCTGCCAAGGCACCCATCCCTCTGAGCCCCAGTTCCCACCGGTTACATAGGAATGATTATAATACCCACCTCTTTGGGCAATTGTGAGGAGGCAAGGAGATAATACATGCAAAGTGCTTGGATGGGATGGGTACTAGCCACTCAACAGAAGGCAGATCCTAGAATGGGGATGGCAAGTCCTGTCATCAGTGAAGAATGTAATGACTGCAAGCTTAGATGACATGTCTGTTACTGGAAACCAGAGTTGTTTACTTAAGCTGTAAATGAACTCATAGTCCCTGGGATAATTATCTCACCTCTGGATAAATAAACTCAACAGCCTTATGTATTTTATTAATTTTTCTTAAAAAAAAGCTTAAAATATTTTTCCTTTGATTTGTTCTCTTTCTTTGGTTTCTGACTTTATTATGTCCTTTCTTTCTGCTTAGGCATTTGTTTTATTGCTCTTTTTTCACCAACTCAAACTGAATGGTCACCTTAACAGTTTTATTGAGGTATAATTTACACACCATAAAATTCACCTGCTTTAAGGATACTATTCAATGATTTTTAGTACAGTTACAAAGTTATGCAACCATCATCAAAACCCAATTTTAGAATATTTCAATCACCCAAAAAAGAAATATCACACCCATTTACAGTTTATCCCCTTTCCTGCCCCCAGCCTTAGGCAACCACTAATCTACTTTATATATAGATTTGCCTTTCCTGGACATTTCACAAAAATTGATTTACGCAATGAATGAGTAAAACCGTCTTCCAAAGGAAGAGGGCCTCCCAAGGCAGGTGTGGGCATGGGCTTGCCACAATATGTGGCATTTTGTGCACTTAATGTTATTGAGGATTAATCTATGTTGTAACATGTGGCGGTATTTTGCTCCTTTTCATTGGCATTCTCTTGGGGGCTTGTTTATTTTTACATGTATTGTTTTCCACTAAATGTACTTAAATATATAAATTTGTCTGTAAGTGCTGCTAAAACCCAGCTAAGCTGTGCCCCACCAACTTTAATGTAGTTTTTCCACTATTCAGAAGTAAATATTTCTCACATTTCTTTATGACGTCCTTCTCCACCGAAAGTTACCTACTGTAAACTAAAAATAAAATCCTAAGTCCCCCACCAACTGAATGGATGCCCCCCTTGGCCAAGGGGACACCAGAAAAAACTTAGGAATGGAGTTCCAGCCATGGCAGGACAGGAGGTCCCCTTTGTAGTTTAGACACAACAGCTGACCAGCATTGATGTTAAAATAGAGAGCATAAGACTGACAGAACAGACTTTTGTGGCAATAAGATACAAAATTATAGGCTGGGCGCGGTGGCTCACGCCTGTAATCCCAGCACTTTGGGGAGGCTGAGGCGGGCAGATCACTTGAGGTCAGGAGTTTGAGACCAGCCTGGCCAACATGGCAAAACCCTGTCTCTACTAAAAATACAAAAATTAGCCGGGCATGGTAGTGCACATCTGTAATCCCAGCTACTTGGGAGGCTGAGGCAGGAAGATCACTTGAACCTGGGAGGCGAAGGTTGCGGTGAGCCAAGATCACGCCATTGCACTCCAGCCTGGGCAACAGAGTGAGATTCCATCTAAAAAAAAAAAAAAAAAAAGATACAGGCCAGGCCAGGCAAGGGTTAAGTCACCCACCCCTACACTTAAAGAATAAACTAAGTTCTAACAGCCACAAGGTTTTTCGTTTTCTCTAGCAGAACAATAAGCACTGGCCTTGAGATAAGCAATATGAAAATAATTGCAGCACATCCACTAACTGACCACTGTTTCCATAAGCCATAACTACAGCTTGGACTGGACAAGAGACTGATATCAATAATTTTCTCCTGATAGTAAGACCACCGACCACGGACTGGTTCTGGCCAGTTTACAGAGGCTGTGCACTTGAGCGCTTTTGTGTCCTGAAAAGACCTTTTGACATCTAGGGCCTAATTGTAATATATTTATTTATTTATTATGATTATTATTTTTGAGATGGAGTCTCGCTGTTGCCCAGGCTGGAGTGCAGTGGCACAATCTCGCCTCACTACAACCTTTGCCTCCTGGGTTCAAGCAATTCTCATGCCTCAGCCTCCTGAGTAGCTGGGATTACAGATGCGTGCCACCACACCCAGCTAGTTTTTGTATTTTTAATAGAGACAGGGTTTTGCCATGTTAGCCAGGCTGGCCTCAAACTCCCGACCTCAAGTGATCTACCTGCCTCAGCCTCCCCAAAGTACTGGGATTACAGGCGTGAGCCACTGCGCCTGGCCTCATAATTGTAATACATTTAAATGTTAAGTGTCCACTCCAGCCGGGCGCGGTGGCTCACGCCTGTAATCCCAGCACTTTGGGAGGCCGAGGCGGGTGGATCACCTGAGGTCAGGAGTTTGAGACCAGCCTGGCCAACATGGTGAAACTCCATCTCTACTAATAATACAAAAATTAGCTGGGCGTGGTAGTGCACATCTGTAATCCCAGCTACTTGAGAGGCTGAGGCAGGAGAATCACTTGAACCCGGGAGGCCGAGGTTGCAGTGAGCCGAGATCGCGCCATTGCACGCCAACCTGGGCAAGGGCCTGTCTCAAAAAAAAAAAAAAAAAAGTGTCCACTCCAGGGTGAACATGAGTCTCCAAAATTTTAATATAAACAAAACGTGAAATCTTGTTCTTCCACACATTCCCCACACAAGTGCTGCCAAGATCATCTGAAAAGTTTTAATCTACAAAGAAAGGTCCAGGACCATTGTCCATGGCTCTGCCCCTCCTACCCCCGGCTTTTCAGTTCCTTATCTCCCCATCACAATGCCGTCCTTCCCCACTTCACCGTGCCCCGATGTCCCTGACAACCCTCTGCAACTAGTCAAAGCCCCGGACTACCGTTGGGCCCACAAATTCATGTCTTTCCTGCTTGCTTGCTCCACCAATCAAGCCACTTCTCTTTCTAGGCCTCCTCAAGACCTCCTTCAATTTCTGCCTATCCATCAACTCATTTCTGCCTCCATTTTCCTCTTTAACCAGCTTAAATGTCATGTTCCATCATTTCAATCACTTCCTTGCAAACATCCTAAAATCCTTGGCTCTCCCTTTGTCCTCAGCACCAACCTATCAAAACTCCAAACATGTTCAGGCATGGTGGCTCACGCCTGTAATCCCAGCACCGAGGCCAACGCGGGAGGATCACTTGAACTCAGGAGTTCGAGGCCGCCTGAGCAACACAAAGAGACCTTGACTGTACTGGGGAAAAAAAAAATAGCCAGGTATAGTGGTGTGAACCTGTAGTCCCAGCTACTCAGGAGGCTGAGGTGGGAGGATTTCTGGAGCCCTGGAGATCGAGGCTGCAGTGAGCTATGATTGCACCACTGCATTCCAGCCTGGACAACAGAGCGAGACTGTTTCTATTTTTTTTTTTTTTTTTTTGAGACGGGGTCTTGCTCTGTCACCCAGACTGGAATGCAGTGGTGCGATTTCGGTTCACTGCAAGCTCCGCCTCCCAGGTTCACGCCATTCTCCTGCCTCAGCCTCCGGAGTAGCTGGGACTACAGGCACCCGCCACCTCGCCCGGCTAATTTTTTGTATTTTTATTACAGACGGGGTTTCACTGCATTAGCCAGGATGCTCTCGATCTCCTGACCTCATGATCCGCCCGCCTCGGCCTCCCAAAGTGCTGGGATTACAGGCATGAGCAACCGTGCCCAGCCTGACTCTGTTTCAAGAAACAAAACAAAACAAACCCTCCAAACTCTAGGTGAACCTAACTATGCCTCTCCTTTATGCTTACAGCCAGGCCAGGAAGCATTTTTTAAGAACTACTGGGGGTGTAAGTAACACTATAAATTCAGTCACCAACCTCAATGCCGTTAGACAATTCCAGTGCATTTTGATGTTTAGTTGCACTGTCCTCAGACTTCAAGCTTCCCTTCTAGCTCCTCGCTCTCAGCAGATCACCTAATGTTATAGCTGCCTAATCCTCCTTTCCTTCTCACTGCTGAAAGATGTTCCTTCTGTGCTCAGAATTCCATCCCTCCAGGCTTCTCTGGAACTTTGCACTATTCATTGGCAGGAGATGAGACTGTGTGGGGGGAGAGGAGTTAGGAGATGGTTGCAGGGGTACTTGTTTTCAAATGCAAATAAGGTTATACTTCTCCCCAACAAGCAATCCTTTGATACCTTTCCATTGCTCTGAAGATTTTTTTTTTTTTTAAATGGGGTCTTGCTCTGTTGCCTGGAGTGCAACAGAGTGCTAGAGTGCGGTGGTGCAATCTTGGGTCACTGCAACCTCTGCCTCCCGGGTTTAAGCAATTCTTCTGCCGCACCCTCCTGAGTTGCTGAGACTACAGGCACACGTCACCACACCCAGTTAATTTTTGTATTTTTAGGAGAGACCGGGTTTCACCATGTTGGCCAGGCTGGCCTCGAACTCTTAACCTCAAGTGATCTGCCTGCTTTTGGCTCCCAAAGTGCTGGGATTACAGGCCTGAGTCACCACGCCCAGCTTGAGGTGGGGGTTCTACTCCAGATGGGTTGCTCAGGGAAGGTCCTCTGAGGAGGTGGCATCACCTGAGTCCTGAATCACAGGCATGCACCAGCACACTCAGCTAATTTTTAAACTTTTTGTAGATATGAGGTCTCACTCTATTGCCCAGTCTGGTCTCAAACCCTAGGCTCAAGCGATCCTCCTGCCTCAGCCTCCCAAAGTGCTGGGATTATAGGTGTGAGTCATTGTGCCTGGCCAAGATGATTAATTTGAATGTCATATTTAATTAATTTGCTTAATTGTAGTAATCTTTTTTTACCTGAACCCATAGAATTTTGCAGGCACCATCTGGCCAAGTTTCAGGAGTCAATAATACCTTGGAAAAATTTAAAAGTTCATTATATGGTTTACTTTTGTTATCAAATAACTACATTTTTTGTAAAATTTATTAGACAATCCAATAATTTTTCTTCCAGATTTAATACTACTCTAGTGTTCTCTGTTTTCTCCTCCAGATCCATTATTTATTCTTCTCCATCTTGTTCTGTGTTCCTGGAAGCCAACCTTTATAAGCTGCAGGAAATGGATTTCCTACTCTCCACCTTCTGATTGGGCTTGACCAACGGGGAGCACTGGCAGAAGACAAGCATGGGAGGAAAAAGAGATCAGGGTATTCATTTCCCCAGATCCCTCCCTGTCCTCTACTTAAAGGTCATAAGTCCATCCAGGTGTCATCTCTTATGTAGGATTCTAGCGACATCTTCTCCCCTTGTTCCTTTAGGCTTAGGAGTAATAACACTTTTCTGTTCTTGCTAGTCCTGAGGATAAGTGTTTTGTCACCTCTTGTTGATTTCCCTGACTTCAAATACCAAACACTATTTTTTTGCTATTTTTGAACTTTATGTAAGTAGAATCATACAGTATATATTTTGGGGGGTAAGGTTTTTTTTGTTTTGTTTTACTCAATAATAGGTTTGTGAGCATCATCCATGCTATTGCATAAAACAGTAGTTTGTTTTCATTGCTGCATAGTATTTTTCACTTATACATTGTACTATTAATAAATATTTGAGGGTTTTTTTTCCCAAAAGTGCATATGTGTCTCTTGGCTGTACACCTAAGAATAAAACTTTGGGTGACAGGATATGTATACCTTCAACTTTAGTAAACAATACCAAACTGATTTCTAAATGCTAGTACGCATTTACAATTCTACCTGAAATGTATGAGTTACCATCATCTGTAGGATCTATAGTGATTTCTCCCTTTTCATTTCTGACATTTCTTTTTTTGTGTCCCTTTTTCCCTCTTTCCTTTCCTTTTCTTTCTTTCCTTCCTTCCTTTCTTCTTTCTTTTTTATTGAGAGTCTTGCTCTGTCACCCAAGCTAGAGCGCAGTGGTGTGGTCATGACTCACCACAGCCTCGACTTCCCAAGCTTAAGCAATCCTCCCACCTCAGCCTCCTGGGCAGCTGGGACTACAGGCATGTGCCACCACACCTGGCTAATTTTTTGACCCATTATTGAGAAGTATGTTAAAATTCCCATTGTGGTTTTGAATTTGTCTATTTCTTTTTTGAGTTCTGTCAGTTTTTGCTTTAAGTATTTTGAGGCTATGTTGTTGGAGAATCTAAGTTTAGAGTTATTTTATCTTTTTTTAATTTTACTTTTTTTAGAGATGATGTCTCCCTGCCTAGGCTGATTTGGTCTTATTTCTGAGCTCAAGGGATCGTCCCACCTCAGCCTCTGGAGTAGCTGGAACTACAGCACGTGCTACCATGCTTGGCTTAGAATTAGTTCATCTTTTGATGGGTTGAACTTTTTTTAATGAAGTGTTTCTATTTATTTATTTATTTATTTATTTATTTATTTATTTATTTATTTTTGAGAGGGAGTCTAGCTCTGTCGCCCAGGCTGGAGTGCAGTGGCATGATCTCAGCTCACTGCAACCTCCACCTCCCAGGTTCAAGCGATTCTTCTGCCTCAGCCTCCTGAGTAGCTGGGATTACAGGTGCCCACCACCACACCCAGCTAATTTTTGTATTTTTAGCAGAGACAGGGTTTCACTGTGTTGGCTGGGCTGACCTCGTGATCCACCCGCCTCGGCCTCCCAAAGTGCTGGGATTACAACCGTGAGCCACCTCGCCCGGCAGTCTCTCTTTATTTCTTTTTTTTTTTTTTGAGGGGGACGGAGTCTTGCTCTGTCGCCCAGGCTGGAGTGCAGTGGCGCAATCTCGGCTCACTGCAGGCTCCGCCTTCCGGGTTCATGCCATTCTCCTGCCTCAGCCTCCGGAGTAGCTGGGACTACAGGCACCCGCCACCTCGCCTGGCTAACTTTTTTGTATTTTTAGTAGAGACAGGGGTTTCACTGTGTTAGCCAGGATGGTCTCAATCTCCTGACCTCATGATCCGCTGGCCTCGGCCTCCCAAAGTGCTGGGATTACAGGTGTGAGCCACTGCGCCCAGCTCTCTTTATTTCTAATAATTATTTTTGCCTTAAAGTCTACTTTTTCTGATATTAATATAGTTATAACAGCATTGTTTGGTTGGTATTTGCATAATATATCTTTTTTATTGATTCACTTTCTTATAAACTTTTTAGTTTGAAATAATTTCAAACTTGCAGAAGTTTTGAAATAGTTCTAAGACCATCCATACACTCTTCCCTTAGATTACTCATTTGCCTTATTCTCTCTATCTATCCCTTATATATAATATATATTATATTAGTATATGTAATTTTTCCAACCCATTTGAAAGTAAATTGTATATATTATGCCCCATTACTCTTAATACTTCAGTATGTATTTCAAAAAAAATTATACTCTCCTACATTACCCTTACAAAATCAGAACCAGAAAATTAATACTGATAAAATACTACTATTTAACCATATAAACTAATGCATTAACTCCATTCAAATTACACCAATTGGCTGGGCGTGGTGACTTATGCTTGTAAGCCCAGCACTTTGGGAGGCCAAGGCAGGCAGATCACTTGAGCCTAGGAGTTCAAGACCAACCTGGGAGACATGGTAAAACCTTGTCTCTACAAAGAATACAGAAAAATTAGCTGGACGTGGTGGTGCACACCTGTAGTCCCAGCTACTTGGGAGGCTGAGATGGGAGGATCGCTTGAGCCCAGGAAGCAGAGGTTGCAGTAAGCCGAGATCACGCCACTGCACTCAAGCCTGGGTGACAGAGTGAGTTCCTGTCTCAAAAAAACCTAAAAAGCCTCTCCCTCTCCCCTCTCCCCTCTGCCCTCTCCCCTCTCCCTCGTCCCTCGTCTCCCTCGTCTCCCTCATCTCCCTCGTCTCCCTCTCCCTCTCCCTCTCCCTCTCCCCGGTCTCCCTCTGATGCCACCAAAGTTGTGAAAGCCGAGGCTGGACTGTACTGCCGCCATCTCGGCTCACTGCAACCTCCCTGCCTGATTCTCCTGCCTCAGCCTGCAGAGTGCCTGGGATTGCAGGCGCGCGCCGCCACACCTGACTGGTTCTTGCATTTTTTGGTGGAGACGGGGTTTCACCGTGTTGGCCGGGCTGGTCTCCAGCTCCTGACCGCGAGTGATCTGCCTGCCTCGGCCTCCCGAGGGGCCGGGATTGCAGACGGAGTCTCGCTCACTCAGTGCTCCATGTTGCCCAGGCTGGAGTGCAGTGGCGTGATCTCGGCTAGCTACAACCTCCACCTCCCAGCCGCCTGCCTTGGCCTCCCAAAGTGCCGAGATTGCAGCCTCTGCCTGGCCGCCACCCCGTCTGGGAAGTGAGGAGCGCCTCTGCCCGGCCGTGACCCCGTCTGGGAACTGAGGAGTGTCTCTGCCCGACCGCCACCCCATCTGGGAGGTGAGGAGCGTCTCTGCCCGGCCGCCCCGTCTGAGAAGTGAGGAGCCCCTCCACCCGGCAGCCGCCCTGTCTGGGAAGTGAGGAGCCCCTCCGCCCGGCAGCCACCCCGTCTGCCAAGTGAGGAGCCCCTCCGCCCGGCAGCTGCCCCGTCCAGGAGGTGGGGGGCACCTACGCCCGGCCACTGCCCCGTCTGGGAGGTGGGGGGCGCCTCTGCCCGGCCGCCACCCCGTCTGGGAGGTGTACCCAACAGCTCATTGAGAACGGGCCATGATGATGATGACGGTTTTGTCGAATAGAAAAGGGGGAAATGTGGGGAAAAGAAAGAGAGATCAGATTGTTACTGTGTCTGTGTAGAAAGAAGTAGATATTGGAGACTCCATTTTGTTCTGTACTAAGAAAAATTCTTCTGCCTTGGGATGCTGTTAATCTATAACCTTACCCCCAACCCCGTGCTCTCTGAAACATGTGCTGTGTCCACTCAGGGTTAAATGGATTAAGGGCGGTGCAAGATGTGCTTTGTTAAACAGATGCTTGAAGGCAGCATGCTCCTTAAGAGTCATCACCACTCCCTAATCTCAAGTACCCAGGGACACAAACACTGCGGAAGGCCGCAGGGTCCTCTGTCTAGGAAAACCAGAGACCCTTGTTCACATGTTTATCTGCTGACCTTCCCTCCACTATTGTCCTATGACCCTGCCAAATCCCCCTCTGCGAGTAACACCCAAGAATGATCAATAAATACCAAAAAAATAAAAATAAAAATAAAAAATAAAATAAATAAATAAATAAAAATTTAAAAAAACTAAAAAGCAAGCAACAACAACAACAAATTACACTAATTGTCCCCCAAATTACCTTTACAGGCCCAGCATCCAATTCAGTCGCCTTCAAGGAGTCTCTTCAGTCTAATTTATTCTAGAACAATTCTTCAGGCTTCCCTTCTCTGGCCAAGATTTTTGAAAAATACAGGTCAATGACTTTGTAGGTTGTCTTCAGTTTGGATTTGTCTGCTGTGTCCTCATGATTTATGCATCTCTGGCAGGAATACCACAGAAACGATGCGACATTCTTCTCAGTGTACCATATTAGGAGTCACACAATGTCAACTTGTCCCATTACTGCTGATGTTAATGTTTACCACTTGGCTAAGATGATGTCTGCCAGGTTTCTCCACTGGAAAGTTAACAGTATTTAGTACGTGTTAAGTGATGAGTAATGAATAAATATTTCATAGGGAGATGTTCTGAGAGTATAAAAATATCCTGTTCCATATCAAAGTTGCTTCACCCAGTTTCAACCCAAATCAATTACTACTACGATGGTTGCCAAGTGAAGATTTTCCCTTTTTTTATTTTTATTTTTATTTTTTTAAGACAGAGTCTCACTCTGTTGCCCAGGCTGGAGTGCAGTAGCACAATCTCGGCTCACTGCAACCTCTGCCTCCTGGGTTCAAGCAATCTTCCTGCCTCAGCCTCCGCAGTAGCTGGGATTACATACACCCACCACCACAGCCAGCTAATTTTTGTATTTTTACTAGAGATGGGGTTTCACCATATTGGTCAGGCTGGTCTCGAACTCCTGACCTCAGGTGACCCACCCACCTCGGCCTCCAAAAGTGCTGGGATTACAGGTGTGAACCACTGCTCTAGGCCAAGGTTTTTCTAATTTCAACATTTTTTTACATTTATTAGTTAATATTCTTATTCTATGACGAAACAGAGCTTTCCATTCTCCCCAATGTATTTATTCATTTATCTATTTATATCATATAAACACGTGGATTCCTATTTTTCTCAATGAACTACAATCCATTACTTGATACCTATTTTGAAAGTCATACTATCTTAGATTTGGCCAGTGGAAGATGCTTCAAGTTGGCAGCTGCGCCCTTTAGTGTGTCTTCATAATTCTTTGAGCATTTATTTATTTCCTGGCACAGCAAGGTATTCTAGGTTCATCTTGTACATTTCTTGCTCCAGCCCACAAGGAGCCCTAGTCCAGCACTGAGAATGCCATCTATAATGGGCGCCAAAGATGTTCAGTGCTGCCAGAGTGCCACTGATTTCAGGCAGTCTCAGCAGACAGAACAAGGAACTACGTCAATGTGTGTGTTCAGACACATACACATCTAGATCTATTTTTTGTTGTTGTTGAGATGGAGTCTTGCTGTGTTGCCCAGGCTGGAGTGCAGTGGCGTGATCTTGGCTCACTGCAGCCTCTGCCTCCTGGGTTCCAGTGATTCTCCTGCCTCAGCCTCCTGGGTAACTGGGATTACAGGCATCCACCACCATGCCCGGCTAATTTTTGTATTTTTAGTAGAGACGGGGTTTCACCATGTTGGCCAGGCTGGTCTCAAAATCCTGGCCTCAGGTGATCCACCCGCCTCGGCCTCCCAAAGTGCTGGGGTTACAGGTGTGAGCCACTGCAGCCAGCCATTTTCATTGTTTTTTAGTCGTTCTTACATTTTTGAGCTTCCATCTGGGGTTATTTTCTTTCCGACAGAAAAGCACCCTATGTTATTTCCTTCAATATGGGGCTGCTGGAAAGAACTATCTTTTTAATTTTTTGTCTGAAAAAGCCTTATGTTACCTTAATTTTTAAAGGATGTTTTTGCTGAGTATAGAGTTCTAGACAGGCAGCGATTTTCTTTAAGCCCTTTGAGTACAGTTGGCCTTCTCTATTGGGATTCTGCATCTACGGATTCAACCAACTATGGATCAAAAATATTTGGGGAGGCCAGGCACAGTGGTTCACACCTGTAATGCCAACACTTTGGTAGGCCAAGGTGGGCAGATCCCCTGAGGTCAGGAGTTCGAGACCAGCCTGGCCAACATGGTGAAACCTTGTCACTACTAAAACTACAAAAATTAGCTGTGGGTGGTGGCGGGCGCCTGTAATCCCAGCTACTCGGGAGACAGAGGCAGGAGAATTGCTTGAACCAGGGAGGTGGAGGTTGCAGTGAACCAAGATCGCACCGCTGCACTCCAGCCTGGGCGACAGAGCAAGATTCCACCTCAAAATAAATAAATAAATAAAAAAGTCGGGGAAAAATAATTTTTAAAAATAACAATACAACAATAAAAAATAACATAAATAAAAAACAGAATACAATCTGGGTGTAGTGGTTCATGCCTATAATCCCAGCACTCTGGGAGGCTGAGGTAGAGGATGATTTGAGCCCAGGAGTTTGAGACCAGCCTGGGCAACATATCAAGATTTTGGTATCCATGGATGATCAAGTCCCTTATATAAAATTTGTTCTGAAACAAATCCCCCACACATACTGAGGGACAACTGCATATTATTCAGTGTCTCCTGGCTTGCATTATTTTTGTTGAAAAGTCAACTGTTAGTCTAGTCTTCCTTTGAAGGTAAAACTGCCCTTTTCTCTGACTGCTTTTAAGATTTCATCCAGCCAGGCGTGGTGGCTCATGCCTGTAATCTCAGCACTTTGGGAGGCTGAGGCAGGTGGATGGCTGTGCCCAGGAGTTCAAGATCAGCCTGGGCAACATGTTGAAAACCTGTCTGTACAAAACATACACAAAAATTAGCCGGGTGTGGAACACAAAAAAAATTAGCCAGGCGTGGCAGCATGTGCCTGTAGTCCCAGCTACTCAGGAGGTTGAGGTGGGAGGATCACATGAGTCTGGGAGGTGGAGGCTGCAGTGAGCCACGGCTGTACCACTGCACTCCAGCCTGGGCAACAGAGTGAGACCCTGTATCAAAAAAGAAAAAATTGTCTTTGGTTTTTGGCCATTTTACTCTGATGTGCATAGGTATACTTTTCTTTTAATCCTGTTATAATTCATAAGGCTTCTTTCCTTCCTTCCTTCCTTCCTTCCTTCTTTCTTTCCTTTCTTCTTTCTTTTTCTTTTTGATAGAGTTTCGCTCTGTTGCCCAGGCTGGAGTGCAGTGGAGAGACCTTGGTTCACTGCAGCCTCCACCTCCCGGGTTCAAACGATTCTCGTGCCTCAGCCTCCTGAGTAGCTGGGACCATAGGCACGTGCCACCACGCCTGGCTAATTTTTATATTTTTAGTAGAGACAGGGTTTCACCATATTGCCCAGGGCGGTCTCAAACTCCTGGACTCAAGTGATCCGACTGGCTCGGCCTCCCAAAGTGCTAGGATTACAGGCATGAGCCACCATGCCCAGCAATTTTTGTTGTTGTTGTTGTTGTTTTTTTTTTTTTGAGATAGGGTCTCACTCCATTGACCAGGATGGAGTGCAGTGGCTCAAACACCGGCTCACTGCAGCATCTCCCTCCTGGGCTCAAGTGATCTTCTTGCCTCAGCCTCTGAAGTAACTGGAACCACATGCATGTCCACCACGGGTGGCTAACTTATTTATATTTATTTATTTATTTTTTTATTTTTTGAGATGGAGTCTCACTCTGTTGCCCAGGCTCGAGTGCAGTGGCGCGATTTCGGCTCACTGCAAGCTCTGCCTCCCATTCTTCCCGTCATTGGTTCTCCCATTCTTCTCCCATTGGTTCACACCATTCTTCTGCCTCAGCCTCCCGAGTAGCTGGGACTACAGGCGCCCGCCACCAAGCCCGGCTAATTTTTTTGTATTTTTAGTAGAGACGGGGTTTCACCATGTTAGCCGGTATGGTCTCGATCTCCTGACCTCGTGTTCCGCCCTCCTCAGCCTCCCAAAGTGCTGGGATTACAGGTGTGAGCCACTGCACCAGCCTCCAAAAGTCTTCTTGTTTAACTGTGGTTTGATGATTTTTACCTGTTTTGGAAAATTCTTGGCCGTGCTCTTCAACTTATCACTTCTGCCTCATTTCTGTCCTCCACTTGTATCCTTGGAATACAAGTATATGTGAGTTAGACCTCGCAGAATCTCTATGTCTCTGTTAGGAAAGGTAGTCTGCCATGGGTGCTGAGTGTTCCTGTCAGTCCTTGCTAAGTGTGCCAAACTTCAAGGCTTATCATCCTGTAACAGTGAGCAGGTCCTGTAACTATTCACATAGGCCACTAAGTAGATCAGGGCACCTGAGCATGACTGCCATGCAACTGCCCATCCCTGGAGTAGGGGGACTCGTGTGTTCACTGCTTGCTGAAAAGATGCCAGGTCAGTTCTTCAGCTGTGCTGCAACCCACTGTCTGTACAGCCACCATATGGACCCGCAACACCACCCCAAGGGACTTGGAGGCATACGTTTGTATGTTGGGGAGAGTGGGCCATGGAATATATATATATGTGTGTGTATATATATATGTGTGTGTGTGTGTGTATATATATATATGTGTGTGTGTATATATATAGTGTGTATATATATATGTGTGTATATATATGTGTGTGTATATATATGTGTGTGTGTGTGTGTGTGTGTGTGTGTGTGTGTATATATATATATATATATATATATTTTTAGATGGAGTCTCGCTCTGTCGCCCAGGCTGGACAGGCTGGAGTGCAGTGTCAGGATCTCGGCTCACCGCAACCTCCACCTCCCGGGTTCAAGCAATTCTCCTGTCTCAGCCTCCCGAGTAGCTGGGACTACAGGCCATTATGCCCAGCTAATTTTTGTATTTTTAGTAGAGACGGGGTTTCACCTTGTTGGTCAGGCTGGTCTCAAACTCCTGACCCCAAGTGGTCCACCTGCCTCGGCCTCCCAAAGTGCTGGGATTACAGGTGTGAGCCACTGCGCCCGGCCCCCACCAATTCTTTTTTTTTTTTTTGAGATGGAGTCTTGCTCTCTTGCCCAGGCTGGGTGCAATGGCTAAATCTTGGTTCACTGCAACCTCTGCCTCCCAGGTTCAAGGGACTTGGAGGCATCCCTGCCTCCTGCCTCAGCCTTCCGAGTAGCTGGGATTACAGGCATGCGCCACCACACCCGGCTAATTTTTTTGTATTTATAGTAGAGACAGGGATTCACCATGTTGGCCAGGCTGGTCTCGAACTCCTGACCTCAAGTGATCTGCCCGCCTTAGCTTCCCACAGTGCTGGGATTACAGGCGTGAGCCACTACACCCTACCGGAATATCTTTTTATTAGGGAAGAGGGTTGCTTTCTGGCTCACCTATAATCTTCTATAATTATTGACAATGACACTGCCTCTTGGATCATGTTTCCCTTGCTTGGTCCCTGGGTGAAGAGGACAGTCCCAGCGAGTGTATACATGGACTCCTGGTTCCCTATAATACTATGAGTTATGCTCCTTATCAACAGGATACCATGCTCTAGAGACAATGATTAGAAGTCTATCCTTTTGGCTGGGCGCCGTGACTCACGCCTGTAATCCCAGCACTTTGAGAGGCCGAGGCAGGCGGATCACGAGGTCAAGAGATCGAGACCATCCAGGCCAACGTGGTGAAACCCCGTCTCTACTAAAAATAAAAAAATTAGCTGAGCATGGTGGTGCGTGCCTGTAGTCCCCGCTACTCAGGAGGCTGAGGCAGAAGAATCCCTTGAACCTGGGAGGCGAAAGTTGCAGTGAGCCGAGATCACGCCACTGCACTCCAGCCTGGCGACAGAGTGAGACTGTCTCAAAAAAAAAAAAAAAAAGTCTCTCCTTTCCTTTAGCTACCACAGCCAATGAGATGGCACAACTCCTAGGTCAGCAGATCAGACTCTTATTTAGAGTGAGACCCGTCTTCAAAAAAACAAACAAAAAACTCAAAAACTAGTGCAGCATGCTCTGATATTCTGCCCAGTCATCAGCCCTGTGTGCATAAGGTTATTCATCACAGGATGGTTTGTGATAGCGTCAGTCTGGAAACAATTCAAATGTCTATTACTAAGGAAGGGACTGGTGAAATTAACTACAGAACATCCTCACCATGGAATACTAGGCAGCTGACAAACGAACAAACTCCACACACACACAAAACAAGAAAGCTCTTTATGGACTGACATAAGCTACAAAATACATTGTTAAATGAAAAAGGCAAGATGCAGAACAGAGTATACTCTCCTTTGAGTAAAAGGGTGGAATAACATTTGATACTTGCTTTATTTATATGAAATAGACACCTAGGAAACTAATAAAATTGACTTATAGTGGATGGATGAGGTGGACAATGGAATAAAGATAGAAGTAGAAGTAGCAGGGAGACTTTGTTTATTTTGAGACAAGGGCTCACTGTTGCCCAGGCTGGAGTGTGGTGACACGATTGTGGCTCTCTACAGTCTTGACCTCCCAGGGTCCAGCGATCCTTCCACCTCAGCCTCCTGAGTAGTTGGGACTACAGGCACATGCCACCACACCTGGCTAATTTTTTGCTCATTTTTTAGAGACAAGGTCTCACTATATTGCCCAGGCTGGTCTTGAACTCATGGACTCAAGTAATCCTCCCGCCTTGGCCTCCGAAATTATTAGGATTACAGGTGTCAGCCACAGTGCCCAGCTGAGACTTCTTAAGGGATATCAATTCTTTGAAGAAATAGTTGATTTCTTGAATGACGCGAATATATTACTTGGCCAAAATATTAAGTAGAAGAAAAAATGTGTTGAGTTAATGAAGGCTCTGTGTAACCCTAAGGAACTTATTTTCCCAATTCCCACCTCAGTTTCCCCAAATAAACTGGAGGACCACTGAGGGCTCCCCCTCTTTGGCTCCCAGACTTTGGGTACAGGCCCTTAGGACTCCAGTCTGTATCTCTGACCCCAGCCCTGACAGAGGTTCAGAAGGGGTCTGCCTCATTTCGTGTGCCTCCCTCCTCCTAAATCACAGTCAGGGCTGTCAGCACTTTAGTCCCTGTCCTGCTCCCTGGAGCCACTGAGCCAGGTGGAGAACACCTGGTCCTGCAGCGGATGGAGAGAGAGAGATCACATGGAGGAGGCTAACTCAGCTCTGTGCTGTGCCTGGAGGTCGCGTCTGTACTCACTGCTCAGAGCACACTACTGCCAGGGTTGGGTCTGCAGTGGGGCCTTGGAGCTCTCTTTATATCTCACCCCTCACCTTCTAAATGGCAGGTTATGATTTCCTAATATGCTGTGACAGAGCTGAACCCTCCATCCCAGCTGCAGGCACCTGCCTCTGTGGAGTGGCTACTCTAGGCTAGGTACTTCAGCATATTCTCTCTTTTCATCCTCCTGCAGTCCAATTTGGCAGATAAGGAAACTGAGGCCTAGGGAGGTTCTGGGCTCCTGCAGAGCTAGGGGAGGAGGAAGGAAGCAAAGACTAATCAGGCATCCCTTAATTGGACTTGCCTGGGAGGCAGGCACTGGGCCTGAGTAGAGGGTGCTGGGAGCTGAGTGTGGTCAGAATACAGGGAACAGAAAGGCTCAGGGTGACCAAGGCTGAATGGGGGTGGGGCAGGGTCCCTGAGGACAGGGCTGAAGCACTTGGACAACTGACTACAGTGGGGCATTTTCAGGTCTGGGCTTGTGGAGTGGACAGCTGAGGTCCCTGAGTGGGGGCACAGGATGGCTGGAGGGGTTGGGGAGAAGGTGGTGAACCTTGGAGGAATCCAGGAGGGAGATGATGTGACGTCATCTAGGGATGCAGGGGGTGCGAGAGGGGCAAGAAGCAGCAGCACTTGGTGACTGATGGGATATAGAGGTTAGGGAGAAGGCGGGGTGAGAGTGATGACTAACATTTATTGGACACTTTGTATGTGCGTGGCTCAGTAGCAAGTGTTTCCCATTTGTCACAGCACTTAATCCTCAAAACATCCTAATAGTGTTGGTTCTATTGTCACCCCCATCTAACAGATGGGGACTGTGACTCAGCGGTGAGAGTCTTAGCAGAGGTCACAAGCCAGTCCTCAAGTCCCTGGGAACCACTTGGTTCCCACCGTCATCTCCCCCGAGATGCTAGGCTGTTTGTGTCCACCAGGGGGCAGAGAGAGGCCGGGAATTTGAACGGGACCCACGTTTTCCTGCGCTTCCCTTAGCCTTGGCTGTGGTCAGAGATCTTGGTGATCAAGGAGTCTGACCCCCTAGTTCTCACTTTACCATAGGGTAAGCTGAGGCCCATGGAGGGACAGTGACCAGCTCAGGTGGTAGAACCAATCAGAGGCGGACGTGGGCCAGAGCCCAAGACTCCAACCCCCCAGCAGCTTAGACCCCAACCCTGGATCAGGTCACCCCAGCACCTGGGGGGTGGCAGCGGCGACGGGGGCCATGGATTCCGGCCCCAGCCTGTGAATTCCACAGACACCGCGGCTCCACACAACCCACACCCCACTGCACACAGAAAGGATACGGCTGACGCTTCGTGAGCGATGCTGGTTGTCACCAAGTCACTGGTGAAACTGGGAGAGCGCCCCTGGTGAGACGGTGTGAGGATTCATGCAAAGCACGTGACAGAGGGAGTTTCAGGAAGTGAAGCTGTCCTGTGTTGCTGCTGTTTTATTAGTAACAGCAAGCTGCCCAGGCCCACACGAGGCAGGTGTGTCTCATGAGTGTTCTACGGGAGAGGAAGTGAGGCTTAGAGGCCCAAGCCAGGAGTGGAGGAGCTGCGGCTACGGGCTACGGTGCCCATGCCCACACCTGCCTCAGGAGCGCCCTCTTCCTTTGGATGATTCTTTTTTATAGACAGGGTCTTGCTCTGTCGCCCAAGCTGGAGTGCGGTGGTGCAATCATGGCTCCCTGCAGACTTGACCTCTTGGGCTCAGCTTCCCAAGTATCTGGACTACAAGCATGCACCACCACACCTGGCTGATTTTTAATTTTTTTGTAGAGATAGGGTCTTGCTATGTTGCCCAGGCTGGTCTTGAACTCCTGGACTCAAGTCCTCCTGCCTTGGCCTCCCAAAGTGCTGGGATTACAGGCGTGAGCCACCATGCCCACCCAGCCTGGATGATTCTTTTAGTCCGTCATTCATCCCATGAGCATTTGTGCCACATGTGCTCTGAGCCTGGTTCTGTGGTGGGCACTGGTGCCACCCTGGGCCCTGAGGTGCATGAGGGGGCGGAACAAATGGAAATTGAGGCAGGCTAGGCCTAGAGCCTGTGGGCTTCCTGGGACTGGGCACTGAGCAGTGAGCTCGGGAGACAGAAGGCTGAGCCCAAGGCTGTGGGCTTGTGCCACCTCTGCCTAACCAGGGTTTGTTTACCTTCCACCCAGAATCACATAATGGAGGTCCGTTCCTCCCCTGCACAGCATCCTGCCCTCAGGATAGCCTCAGGGCTACCCACACAGATGGGAGCTGCCTCATCTGGGGCCACTCCAGGGCCGGGGGTTCTGCTGGGAAGAAGGCTCCTACATCCTTGCCCCGCTGTCTGAAGCTGGTTTGGGCCAGTGAAGAGGAGCCTTCCCTGGCCGAACTCCTTTTGTCAGCCCAGGGAATATCCAGGTCAGGGGGTGGGGTTTGGCCTGGGGATCAGGGGCCCAGGGTCATGTTTGGGATTATCCTAACAGGCATTGCACCTGCATAAGACAGTGCAGGATGGGTCTGCACAAGACCATATAGAGGAGAGGTGAGCGGGGTTGAAGGCCAGTCCACACCCTGCTCCACTTGGCACTGCTGGGGGCTGGAGCAGGGCTGTATCAGCCTAGAGGAAACAGGTTCTTATTTCTGAGTCATCATGAGCACCACATAGGTTGGCAGTGCCCTGATGGCAACAGTCCCTAAAGCGCAGGGGTGGAGCAAGGCTTGATGTTGGCCTGGAGCTCCAGGGCCAGTTGCTATTTGAATGAAAGAGTTGCAGCAAGCTGGTCTTTTCCCCAAACCCATGGCCCTCAGGTGTTGCTCAGGAGAAGGAGGGATGGAATTGGCCATGGGCTACCACCTCAGGAGGCTGGACCTCTCAGAGGAGCTTCTAGTGCTTTGCTTAAGATATGTCCGCCAAGACCCATGCCAACACTCTTGGAGTCTCAGGGGCTCCTGACTTTTCATTCTCCCAGGCCCCAGTCCAGACTGACTCTCCCAAACGCCCATTGTGGATTATGTCCAAATTCCTTTGCAGGGCCATTTCTTGTTCACCACAGACACACCTGTGTCCAGAGTGCACATAAGACAAGCCACTGCTCTGAGGGGGAGCTCCTGGCTGGGGGGATTCCAGGACCTAGATCTGTGAAGCCACCTGCCTCGGACATCATGGAGGAGGATGGCAGTGTTCGGAGGCTCAGGAAGCGCAGCACCGTGCCCGGGTGGCAGTTGGCCTGGAGTCTATGCAATGTGGGGTGAACCAGGACCACTCTCTGGGACGTCCACCCAGGAGAGCCAGGAAGGTGTTCCAGGCTGGGCCCCAAGGCCTCTCTGTAGCCTCCTGAGGCCATGTAAGGACCCAACCTGTCCTGGCCCAGAAGTCAGATTCCTCAGCCAAGGAGTTGCAGGGACAAGGAGAGGTGGCCAGTGTGGTGGGAGGACGCCTTTGTTGGTGGGAGGACGCCTTTGTTGGTGGGAGGACGCCTTTGTTGGTGGGAAGACGCCTTTGTTGGTGGGAGGATGCCTTTGTTGGTGGGAGGACGCCTTTGTTGGTGGGAGGATGCCTTTGTTGTAGGTATTTTCTCAACGGTGGGGCTGGGCTGCCTGCCAGGTGCCAGGGCGCGGCTCTGGCCTCCCGCTGCACAACCCACTTTGCCGCCAAGCCCTGTACCCGGCCCAGCAGCTCCTTCCCGCGCTTCCGCTGCCAGTCCCGGGAAAGTGAGAGGCAGGATGTGTTGGGCGGGCTGAGCAGGCTGGTTCCCAGCCCACCTGGCCTCATGCTTCTGGCAAGGATCCTGAGCCTAGACAGGAGAAGGGACTCACTCAGGGCCCTCTTGGTGCTTGGCATTTAGAACTGCATTCTTCCAATTAAAAAATATGTACAAACTTTTGCTCAATAAAATGTGATAAAACTGCAATGCTGAATATGAGCTCATACACTTATTAGCTGTATGTCCACGAACAAGTTACTACTTATCTTCTCTTTAGCTCCATCTCTTTATTGAAAAGCGAGGACAAAAGAAGAAGAAAATGTAAAAATGGGGATGATAGTTGTCCTACCTCATGGGACTATTACGAGGATTTAATGGGTCGTTACATGTAAAGCTCTCAGAACAGTCTTGCACGTGGTGAGGGCTATGGAAATGTCTGCTGTGATCTTGAGCGTGATGGTGACCATCAGTGGGAACAATGCTAACCAAGAATCAGTGGCACAGAACAGAAATTCACTCAGGCAAGCTCCAGCTGAGAGCTTTTAATCACGTCTTCAGAGATGGCACATGGAACCCGAGGGTAGGGGCAGCCAGACCTCAAGAGGCCTGAGAACCAGGATCTGAAGAATGAGAAGCCCGGAAGCTCCTCTCTGTCTCTGGGCCTCACTGTCTCCTATCCACCCTCTTTCTGCACATCTGCTTCACTCTTATACCTCTGAGCAGCACGACTTCCCCCAGTTCTCTCATGGCCAAACATGGCTGGCTCTCAGGTCTCAGGTCAAGTAACCAGAGGAAGCACACTGGCTTCTCTGAATCCCAACAGCAAGATTGTGGGACAGGGAACCCATTGCCCAATTTGGGTCATGCACCCACAGCCCATGGCTGAGGGGCCGCCAGGGACCAGTCCCGTGGTGCCGAGGGAGAGCCTATAGGCTGGGCAGGCATCCCCAGGGGCATCTACTCCAATGGTGCTCTGGGCAGCAAAGAAACCAGTGTGCTAGTCCTGGTGTCACTGCAGGAGATCCCCAGTGTCGCTGGGCCCTTTTCCTCTTCTGTTCACTCTGTGATTGCTATAGTCCCTTGTCACAGCACTCAGGGTGTCTTAAAATTGTTTATGTGTCTGTTTTCCTCACTAGACTGTGATTTTCATTCATTCTCTCAATACAGTAATCACCAAGTACCAGCCATGTGCTCAGGATACAGAGATGAATCCAACTCAGTGCTTGCTGCCTCCGCAGAGGCTCAGTCTGGCTTGGCATGTGGTCATGTGAAACGGATCGTCTCCATGTCTGGTTTCTCCCAAACTCAGGTGCTAGAGACTTTGTTTCCCACAGCATTGACAGTGTCAAGATCCCACTCTTCATGAAGTTTACAAGACTCCTGAGCTGTTATGAAAAGTGAGCGTCCAGGCCAGGCGCAGTGGCTCATGCCTGTAATCCCAGCACTTTGGGATGCTGAGGCGGGTGAGGTCAGGAGTTCAAGGACCTCACCTGAGGTCAGGAGTTCAAGACCAGCCTGGTCAACATAGAGAAACCCTGTCTCTACTAAAAATACAAAAAATAGCTGGGCATAGTGGCGTGCACCTGTAATCCCAGCTACTTGGATGCTGAGGCAGGAGAATCCTTGAACCTGGGAGGTGGAGATTGCAGTGAGCCAAGATGGTGCCATCACACTCCAGCCTGGTTGACAGAACGAGACTCTGTCTCAAAAAAAGAAAAGGAAAGAAAAAGAAGGGAAGGGGAGGGGAGGGGAGGGGGAAGAAAGAAAAGAGAAGAGAAGAAAGGAAAAGAAAAGAAAAGAAAAGAAAAGAAAAAGTGAGTGTCCACAGGAAATGGTTCTGAAGGGGCCAGGCATGGGCGGGCATCACCTCCGCTGGGTGATTGAAGGGCAACAGTGTGCAGCTGACAAAAGAAAAACTTGGCTGGTGCCTATAATCCCAACGCTTTGGGAGGCCAAGGCAGGCGGATCATCTGAGGCCAGGAGTTTGAGACCAGCCTGGCCAACATGGTGAAATCCCATCTCTACTTAAAAAAAAAAAAAGAAAAAAAAATTTAGCTGGGCGAGGTGGTGCGTGCCTGTAATCCCAGCTGCTTGGGAGACTGAGGCAGAAGAATCACTTGAACCTGGGAGGCAGAGGTTGCAGTGAGCTGAGATCGTGCCACTGCACTCCAGCCTGGGTGACAGAGCAAGACTCGGGCTCAAAAAAAAAAAAAAAAAGAAAAAGAAAAAGAAAAATTTCCCAGCAAGTGAGGAGCAGGACGGTGACTGTGGCTCCTCAGCTCGGGTGACGGCTGTGCTAACTGGAGGCCACGGATGCTTACTGGTATTGCTCGGCTGCTGTAACGCACCGGCCCTGCTGCTGGGCATCTCTTGAGGCTGACTTTGCTCCTCTCCACATCTTTGCTTCCATTTCAGGCCACTCTGATCTCTTCCAAAATCAACTCGTGTCCCTATTCCAAGCATGAGCTATCCCTAACGAGCCTCCCTGTGAGCAGGATGGGGCAGACACGCCTCTAGGCTCCTTCCAGCTCACTTCTAAGGCATTAACTTTACACTCTGCCTCCTTCAGGGTCATTCTTTGGGTTCTCAAAATCCTTTCTCTCCATAAAGCTGAGCACTTGGCTTTCAAAATTATTCATGCGGGTGACCACATTGAGGTCTAGTTTGGAAGTTGAAAAACTAAATGTTGTTTTTTCCCCTTCCTTTGTGCATTCCTACTATAAAAATACTAATTCTTGAGGCAATGGAATGCCTCTGGCTGACGAGGGAAAGGGTCACATACAAGGAAGTGTGGAAAAGAAACAGACAAATACTAGTATTTCAAGATGTTTTCCTATTACACATAATCAAATAATTGAAAATCCAGTGTAGTAGGATCTCTGGTTAGGGGTGATGGAGTTTAAGGGCTGCAGTGAAGAAAGCAGCGGACTCACCTTGCTGTGGTGTTGGGGACAGCTTGGAGGCCAGTGCAGAGGAGATGATGCTTGAGCTAGGCCTGGAAGGGATGGGTAACAATTTCCAGGGAAACGAGAAGGTGGGTTGGGGGAGAGCACTCCGGGCAGCATTAATGAGACTGAAAGAACAAGGACTAAAGAAGGAAAAGCTAATGATGTGCAAAGCACTGTTTGTTTGTTTCATTTATTTATTTTATTTTATTTTTATTTTTTTGACATTGTGTTTCAAAGTGTCCCCAGTCTAGAGTGCAGTGGTGCAATCATAGCTCACTGCAGCCTTGACCTCTTGGGCTCAAGTGATCCTCCCACCTCAGCCTCCCGAGTAGCTGGGACTACAGGCACACGCCACCAAGTCTGACTAATTTTTGTGTTTTTAGTAGAGACAGGGTTTCGTCCTGTTGCCCAGGCTGGTCTTGAATTCCTGGGCTCAAGCAACCTGCCCACCTTGGCCTCCCAAAGTGCTAGGATTACAGGCGTGAGCCACTGCACCGGGCTCAAGCACTGTTTTAATAGATACTTTTAAAGTATTAATTTAATCATCACAACTTTTGTGGGACTTTTAAAAGATGAAACTGAGGCACAGGGTGCTGGGCGTGGTGGCTCATGCCCGTAATCCCAGCACTTTGGGAGGCTGAGGCGGGCAGATTGCTTGAGCTCAGGAGTTGGAGACCAGCCTGGGCAACACGGCAAAACCCTTTCTCTACAAAAAATACAAAAATTATCCGGGCTTGGTGGTGCGTGCCTGTAGTCCCAGTTACTTGGGGGGCTGAGGTGGGAGGATTGCTTGAGTCCGGGAGGTTGAGGCTGCAGTGAGCCAAGATCTTGCCACTGCACTCCAGCCTGGGTGACAGAGTGAGATCCTGTCTCAAAAAAAGAAAAAGAAAGAAAGAGGGAGAGAGAGAGAAAGAAAGAAAGAAAGAGGGAGAGAGAAAGAAAAAGAAAGAAAAAAAAGAAAGAAAGAAAGAAAAAGAAAAGAAAGAAAGAAAATAAAGAAAGAAAGAAAGAAAAAGAAGAAACCAAGGCACAGGCATGTTAAGTTACTGGCCCAAGAATTCTAGTTTGGCAAGCTGAGACCCAAGCCTGAGATGTGTGGCCTCAAGGCTGGGCACGGTGGCTTACGCCTGTAATACCAGCACTTTGGGAGGCCAAGGCAGGTGGATCACTTTGGGAGTTCGGGAGTTCAGGAGTTCGAGACCAGCCTGGCCAACATGGTGAAACCCTGTCTCTACTAACAAAATAAAAATTAGCCAGGCCTGGTGGCATGTGCCTGTAGTCCCAGCTACTCAGGAGGCTGAGGCAGGAGAATTGCTTGAACCTGGGAAGTGGAGGTTGCAGTGAGCCGAGATCACACCACTGCACTCCAGCCTGGGCAACAGAGCGAGACTCTGTCTCAAAAAAAAAAGAAGCTCTAAAAGCCTCAGGAGCTCTAAAAGCCACACTATTCTCTGTATTGAAGCATGGAAAATAGCTTTGTGATGGCAAGTGGGGGATTTGGCTGAAGGAGTGAGCAGGATAAAGACCTCAGAAGACCTCACACACCATCTAAGGCACTCAGACTGGAGGATCCTGATGATAACAGGGAGTCAGTACAAACGCAGAATCAAGAAAGAGACACAGAAGATGCTATTAGAAGGATCATGGGTTGAAGAGGGTAGGACCAGAGGCGGAGACCAATTAGGAGGCTGTTTGAACAGCCTAGAAGGGAGATGACCTGGCCTGAAGAGCAATGACAGCTGGAACAGGTGAGTTCTGGAATGGTAAGTGGTCAGGATGGTGTGGAAGATGTCCACATCCTAATCCCCAGAACCTGTGACTGTCATTTTAAATGACAAAAGGGACCTTGCAGATGTGACTAAATTAATGATCTAGAGATGAGGAGATTATTTTAGGTTATCCAGGGGCCCAGTGTAATCATAGGGGTCCTCCACAACAGTGAGTAGGAGGAAGGCAACATGACGGCAGACACAGAGATCCAAGTGATGTGGCTATAAGCCGAGGAATGCAGGCCACCTGGAAAAGCTGGAGGGCGGGGAGTGGACTCTCCCCCAGAGCCTCCAGAGGAACTGACCCCGCCGACAGCTTAAGTTTAGTGCACAAAATTCGTTTCAGATTTCTGATCACCACACCTGTAAGAACGATCCTAAATTTGTGTTGTGTTAAGCCATAAAGTTTGTGGTTAAGAGTTGTCCCTCACTATCTGTGGGGGATTGTTTCCAGGACCCCCTAAGTATGCCCAAATCCATATACTCAAGTCCTGAAGTAATGGCAGGTACATGTGGAATCCACTGTATACACAGGCCTCGCATCCTGCAAACACTGTATTTGTGATCTGCAGTTGAAAAAAATCTGTGTCTAAGTGGACCCATGCACTTCAAACCCTTGTTGTTTAAGGGTCGATGGCATTTGTTACATCAACAATAGGAAGCCAATACAGATGGTTAAGACTTTGTGACCAGGTGGTTATCAAAGAAGGAAAGGGAGGGGTCCCAGAAAGGGTTGAGGAAGAGGTGAGGATTTTGGCTTGGGTGATGGGGCTGGCAGTGAGACTATTACAATCAGGACTGTGGATAGTGAGGAGGGGGTGGTTGGGGAATGGTGGGATGGTAACGTGTCCTGTCTTGGACATGGTGAGTCTGAAGTGTGCATGGGACATCCAGAAGGAAGGTCTGGAACCTAGGGCAGAACTTGAGAGTGATCAGTACACACAGGCTCCAATCTGAAAACTGCTGGGAGAACATGTGGCCAAGGACATGGGTTTCCTTTTTTGGCTCATACTCTGTGATGTGAGACCAAAAGTCTCTCCTAAATGCAGCTGTTGGGCACTTAAACCACCCTCCTAGCACCCTTCCTTACTCACTTCCCTCTTTGACAGTGAATAGAAGCCACATAGACTCTTCCGAGGAGTACCCATGTGTCACTTCTGGGACAGGCAGCCTCACTCCTGCCAGGGCCGTGCAGGGCAGTCCACAGGCCAAAGGTCCAAGTAGATTCAGCGCTGCTGAGTTGCTTCTGGGTAAGCTCTGCTGGCTCCTGAAGAGCCACCCCTGTCCCACGGGTGCATGCGAAGACGCTTTTTAGTGTGTGAGCCAGTTTAACTCAAGCTATACCTGTGGACAGCACCAAGGTATTTCTGATAGTAACAGAAATATCTGAGGGGAATTTCCCATGGGTCAAACTGAACATGCAAGCACTGAAGACAAAGGGCACGGGATAATAGTCACATATCATTAAAAAACAAACAAAAAAGCCTGCTCATCCTGCAGAACAGGTGGGAGCCAAAGCCTGAGAGTAGATGAGATCATTCAGGGAGGGCTTGCGGCCCAAGAGCAGAGGAGGGCCCAGGAAACCGATTTCTCTAAGGTGGGCAAAGTGAGGGACGGGGACCATGACATGTTCATCTTCATATACTCAGGGCTGATACACAGTAAAAACTCAAAGGATGCTTGATGAATGAATTCATTTCTATTTTATCTTCTGTAGGATATAAAAAGGAAAGAGGCCGGGCGAGGTAGCTCACGTCTGTAATCCCAGCGCTTTGGGAGGCTAAGGCAGGAGGATCGCTTGAGCTCAGGAGTTCGAGACTGGGCAACATGGCAAAACTCTGTTTCTATAAAAAAATACAAAAATTAGCCAGGCACTGTGGCACATGTAGTCCCAGCTACTCGGGAGGCTGAGGTGGGAGGATCACTTGAGCCCGGGAGACGGAGGTTGCAGTGAGCCAAGATCGTGCCACTGTACTCCAGCCTGGGTGACAGAGTGAGACCTTGTCTCAAACAAAAACAAAAATAGAAACAAAACAAAGGAAAGAAAGAGAATGTGGGAAAATGCAAAACCAAAACCCAAAAAAAGAAAAAAAAACCAGATACGTTTATTATCCAATAAACTGAATTGAGTATTTAAGTTTGAAACTGGATTCTACCCAGAAAGCACTTAAAATGTAAACAACATGAATATAAAGTTATCTTAGGAAAATGAAAGTCTGACCAGGAAATAAATGCAAAATCAGTTACCTTTAAGATAACCTCATAGGCCCATAAAACTAGAAAAAACAAGGCAACAAGGCCCCCAGCTGGTGAGGCTGTGGGGAAGCAAGGGCTCCACCAGCCCCAGATGAGAACAATGTGGCCGTCGAGGCCAGGAGCCCGGAAAGTGCACACCCTGGAACAAGGAGCCTTGGGGGTAAACATAAATGAAATGCACTTAGGCGAAAATGGAAATTTTTACAAGGAAATAGAGGTATCTCAGGAACCCAAGGAAGCACACTAGGCCTCAGGAGGGTCGGGACCGAGGAACTGGGAAGTCAACAGGAATCTCTCTCTCCTTTCCTCATCTGGGATTCCCTCCTGCATTGTCTGCTTTTCTCCTTCTCTGAAGATCAGCCTTCTCTGTTTTGTAGTGCACCCATTCATAACAACAAATAGTTATTTCGTGTGTATGACCAAACACAGTTCTTGTATTTCTCTGTTCAAGTGTACCCAGCTAGGACTGAGCTGCAATTTGAAATTCCTGGGAGGAGTGTGATTGGCCTGGCTGGCCCTCCGCTGGTCTAATAAGCTAGGAGGCAGGGTAGTCATTCCTTTATGAAGTTATGATCTCTGATTCCTTTTTCCACAGGAAGATAAATCAGTGAATGTGATAAGATAAGATGGGGAGGGGATGCCCCAAGGCAGAGAGACAGCTCAAAACTTCGAGCTCCAGGCGCTGGTTCCAGCCAGAACATCCCGTTAACCTTTTTCCTGCTTCCACAGTCCACATCCTTGTTATGCCTTTACAGTCTATTTTCACAGAGCAGCCAGACTTATCTTTTAGCGTGTAAATCAGATCATATTCCTCCCCTCACTAAACGAACAAACCAGCCAGAAAACTCTTTAACTCCTTCCTTTAATAAAATCCAGGCCTGGCGCAATGGCTCTCGCCTGTAATCCCAGCACTTTGGGGGCCCGAGGTGGGTGGATCATTTGAGGTCAAGAGTTCGAGACCAGCCTGGCCAACATGGTGAAACCCTGCCTCTACTGAAAATACAAAAACAAATTAGCCGGGCGTGGTGGCAGCTGCCTGTAGTCCCAGCTACTCGGGAGGCTGAGGCAGGAGAACCACTTAAACCCAAGAGGTGGAAGTTGCAGTGAGCTGAGATCGTGCCACTGGACTCCAGCCTGGGTGACAGAGTTGAGACTCTGTCTCAAAAAAAAATTTTTAAATTAAAAAATAAATAAAATAAAATCCAAAGTCCTTATCTAGTGCCTGGCTACTTCTCTGACTTTGTCTTTTACAAATCACCCTGTCATTCACTCTTCTGTAGCCACACTAGCCTTCTTTCTAGCTTGTAAATATGCCCAGCCCAATTCCTATCTCAGGGCCTCTGCATTTGCTGCTCCCTCTACTCCATCTTCTTGTATGACCAACTCCACATCATTCCAGACTCAGGTGATGCCACCTCCTCAGAGGATCTTCCCTGAGCAACCCATCTGGAGTAGAACCCCCACCTCAGGCTGGGCATGGTGGCTCACACCTGTAATCCCAGGACTTTGGGAGGCCAAGGTGGGCGAATTACCTGAGGTTAGGAGTTTGAGAACAGTCTGGCCAACATGGCAAAACCCCATCTCCACTAAAAATACAAAAATTATCCGGGCATGGTGGCAGGCACCTGTAATCCCAGCTACTCAGGAGGCTGAGGCAGGAGAATTGCTTGAACCTGAAAGGCAACAGAGGTTGCAGTGAGCCGAGATCACGCCACCGCACTCCAGCCTGGGTGACAGAGTGAGAACGCCCACCTCAGCACACACACACACACACACGCACACACACACACACACACACACCAATAACTCTCTACCCTGTTTTTCCATTTTTCATAGGACTTCATACTGAAATTTTCTTTATTGCTTGTTACTTGCATTATTTTCTTTCTCCCTATGAGAATGTAAGCTGCATTTGGGCAGAAACCCTGTCTGTATTTTCCCAGCAGCAGAGCTAAGCCTGGCACTTAGTAGACACCAAAAAAACACTTGAATGAATGACTGAACAATTTAATTTCAATGTTATACTGAGGCAGCACAGCGCAGCACTTCAGAGCAACGACTTTGGGGCCAGACCACCTGAGTTCACCAGCTCCCCATCTCCTGCCTGCATAAACTTGCACACATTGTCTTACTAATCTGTGTTTCAGTTTTGCCATATGGAAAATGGGGTGGAGGGGGAGGATAGCAGTACCCATCCTTCAGTATTGTTATGAGGATTAAATGAGTTCACACATGTAAAGGGTTTGAAAGGGCTTGCCACAGAGCAAGCACTCAACATGTCCTCACTCTTATTATTCACTATTAATCATGAGTCCACTCAGTTGAATTATCAAAATTCATCTTTCATTGTTCTGCCCTCCATAGCTCCTCTTTTATCTTATTTTCATGTCTTTTATCAGTTTCCTGTGTTCTGGGAGACCATCTGAAGTTTGTTTTCTTTACTAAATTGATCTTCTGTGTTGGACCTGGCATTCGTTGCTTCCATGCAGTTTTAATTCAGCAGCCATGTCTTTAATCTTCTCCTAATCTCTTCTTATCCCAGATTATTCCAGTTGTAGGATTGCTGGTTCTAAGTGAATTATGTACCATCTTTTGAATCCTACTGAAACTTCAATCAGGTATCACCTACATTTTCTTCTATTATTTGCAACAGGTCTATTTTCAGAGGTAGGTACTCCTCTAAATCTTCAGAGAAAAGCTAAATCACAGTCTCTGCAACTGCAGACTGTGCCTTACCTAATCCTTCTGGAAGGAGGTCTCTACAAAGGGTGACTGATCATCTTGGTTTGCCCCCACTGAGGGGTTTCTCAGGACATGAGACTTTCAGTGCTAAGACTAGTAAATCCCAAGCCAAACAGGATGACTTGGTAACCCCACCTGTAGACAGTGTCAAGGAAGAGCTGTATTATATTAAGAAAAATGGTCTTCCAAATCTTTCACAAAAGGAGGAAACCATTTTCTAGTATTTAGAATGACTAGCTCCTTCCAATTAGCATTTTAAAATGTGAAAGTCTCTTAGAAAGGGGGAAAAAAAAAAACCTGCTTCAACCCCAAGCCTCCCTTTAGCAACCCCCTCTCCTTCCTTTCCTAACTTAGACACTCACCACTTTCTCTCCTCCCATTCACTCCTCAAACCACTGGAATATGGCTTCCATTTTCTAACCCTCAGCTGACCCCTCTTTTACCAAGGTTACCACTGATGTCATCACTAAGAACCAATGGATACTTCTCATTCCTTATTGTGCATGGCCCCTACACACTTCCCTGCAGACCACTCCCTTCTCAAAGCTCTGTAAAATGCTCTGTTAATGTTCAAGGCTCTGCTCTAGATTGTTTCTCTTCTCACTACACCCCCTGCTCGAGTGACCTCATCTTCCACGGCTTCAAATACCGTCAATACTGATGACTCTGAGATCCCTATCTCCAGCCCAGAGTGCAATCTGGGCTCAACTCGAATATCCAGTTCCATGAGGATTCTCTACAGATGCCTCAAACTCCCCAAGTCTCAAACTGAACTCATCCTCAACCCAAACCTGCTCCTCCTCCAGTGTTCTTATCTTGGCCAAAGGACTTGGCCACTGTCTAATCAACTGTTCAAGTCAGAAACCTCAGCCTCATTCCTGACCCCTTCCCTTCCTTCACCTCCAACATTTCATCAAGTCCTATAAATGCTACCTGCTAAATATCTAAACTGTCCCCTGCCTCTAGGCTGTCTGCAGCCAATCCATTCTCTGCATTGCACCAGAGTGATCTCTCCAGGAAACACGTCTGATGTTTTCTCGGGATTCATGGTTTACAGGGTCCTCTATGACCTGGGTCCTGCAGACCCCTCCTGCCTTTTCCCCGAACACTCTCCTACCTGGCTCCTGCCCATTATTCTCAGGTTTTTTGTTTGTTTGTTTGTTTGAGATGGAGTCTCACTCTGTTGCCCAAGCTGGAGTGCAGTGGCTGATTTTGGCTCACTGCAACCTCTGCCTCCTGGGCTCAAGCAATCCCCCTGCCTCAGCCTCGTGAGTTGCTGGGACTACAGGCACATGCCACCATGCCTGGTCTCGAACTCCTGACCTCAAACGATCCCCTCACCTCAGCCTCCCAAAGTGCTGGGATTACAGGCGTGAGCCTTGGTGCCAGGCCTCATGTTTTTTCAGATGCCATTTCCTCAGGAAAGCCTTCCCAGACTCTTCTAGAACGAGTCAGGTAAAATCTTGTGTATTCCCTAAACGACTCTATTACAGCATTTATCATATTCACTGGGATAGCATGCAAGACTCCAGCTCTCTGAAGACAGGAACTGTCTTGTTCACTGATATATCTCTAGCACCTAGAATAGTGAATGATAAGCACTCATTTAAGTCTGTTGAATTAATAGGTATTCCTAATTATAAAGCTGTTTGACTCCTAAAGTCCTCTACTTGCCTTCATATTAGTCCAGAACTGGTTCAACTTACCACGTACCTGATGAAAAATACAACTACTTTTTAATTCAAAATAACTAGAAGTGGCATAATCCAGTAAAAAGAACACTACTGCTAAACCAGGAGACCAGGGTTCCAGGCATAGCTCTGCTACTTACTAACTCTTTGTGTTGCTGTTGGTGACTTACTTAACCTCTCTGGGACTCACTTTCTCTGTCTGCTCAATTATGTGGCTAATCTGGATCAGAGATTTTCAAAGTGTGTCCCACAGCCGGGGGGCGGGGAAGGGGGTGGGCACTAAATCAGAGGGACCAGAAGACTGTGCACCCTACCCAGACCTGAAGCCAGTCTAGTTCAGTATATATTATATATTGCAATTCATGTATGACTTGGGAGAAGGAAAAAAAAAAAAGGATCCACAGCTAAAAACAAGTTTGAAAACAACTGAAACATGATCACCGAATTCTCTGCACCCTTTACATGCTGATATTTAAAACAACAGAAAGCCACGAATGTAGTAAGAAGGTAGTTTTGCCGGGCACGGTGGCTCACGCCTATAATCCCAGCATTTTGGGAGGCCAAGACGGGTGGATCACCTGAGATTTCAGGAGTTCGAAACCAGCCTGGCCAACATGGCGAAACCCCATCTCTACTAAAAGTACAAAAATTAGCCGGAGGTTGCAGTGAACCGAGATCGCGCCATTGCACTCCAGCCTGGGCGACAGAGAGAGTCCATCTCAAAAAAAAAAAAAAAAAAAAAAAAAGAAGGTAGTTTCTAAAAAGCACTTGAAGAGTCTGACTGCCAAAGTTCAGAGAGAGTAAGCTGACACTTTTGTCTGCCATCAGGAACCCACCAGTCTCCAAGCAACTTGACTTCATTATGCAGATCCAGCAAGACACAGAGACATTTTTGAATCCACAAATAACTTCTATGTAAGTCTTTATACCTTGGAGCCGGACACAGTGGCTCACACCTATAATCCCAGCACTTTGGGAGGTCAAGACGGGAGCATCGCTTGAGACCAGGAGGTCAAGACCAGCCTGGGCAACATGGCAAAACCTCATTTCTACAAAAAAACAAAATTACCTGGGCATGGTGGCAGGTGCCTGTGGTCCCAACCTCCCTAGGCTAAGATGGGAGGATCACCTGCGCCCAGGAGTGCCACTGCACTCCAACCTGGGTGACAGAGTGAGACCCTGTCTCAAAAATATAAAAAGTCTTTATACCTCGATCCCCTTCATATTAACAAGGAGGCTCAGGCAGAAGGCACAGACTTAAATGGTTTTCCTTTATGCCTTGCTTTCAGGTCATTTGTCACTTCACTTCTGGTGACTCAGAGTCTGACCCCAGCCTCACACTTGATAATGCACCATGCACGGTTCTTGCAGAGATAGGGCCTTCCTTTTGCATGGGAAGTACTCGGTAGTTACGGTGCGCTAGTCAGGGTTGTAGTCAGAGGACCTGGAGTTCTCTCATCTGCCACCTACTCTGTGTCACTGCTATGGACACCTATTATTTGGTCTACTCAGCACCAATCCCATCCCTGCCCTCTTCCTGAAAACTCTCGTGTTCCCTGGCTTCATTCTATCATACTGTTCTACAGGGAGGGCCATGTTCTTAGATGGTACGCTGTCCTTCTTAATCCAAGGGTAGACAACAGAATTCAGCTCTACTCAATTGCGTCTTTTCCTGGGGCTTTTAAACTTGGGATTTGGTCCACTTCTTTTCAGTGAAGAAAAGCTGTAAGATGTGAGGTGTGGCAGCTTCCAATGACCACGACCACGTGAAGAAAGCTGGTTTGCATGGAGAGAAACGTGAAATCGGCACGCTGAGAAGAGATGAGGCAGTGCTGGTAGTGTCTGAGTCCTTGGGAGCAATTGTTCCTGAGGCCCAGCTGCACCTTGCCTGTCCTTTCAGGAGAAGCTCAGTTGTTTGACTTTTAGATTCCATAAGCCAACAAATCGTCTTTTATACCTAAATTAGTTTAAACTGGCTTTCAATCCCTTACAACTGAACTAACACCAACCCTGTGTTAAGTCACTGAAATACTGTGAGTCTGTTTCTTCATTTGTAGAAACGACCTCAAATGTTTTTGGCAAATACTAACAAGATATGTAGTTTTGTTAAAACCATACTGGGCCATAAATTTCTAAGGAATGACTACTACAGATATCTCATGATGAAGATAATGGCAAGTACCACCCAGAAGGCATATGGACTTAGTTAAGCTCAGCCCTGCTGCTAGAAAACCAAGTGTCTTACTGACTAGCAGACAGCAACTCCACAGTGGACACAAATGCTTGTCTGCCCAGGTGCCCTCCCCTCCTACCAACCCGCTCACCCTTCTCCTCTGGGAATCACTCCACCTCCACTCCATCCTTTCCATGGGAACTGTCCTGTCCTTTCAGGAATCCATCTCCAGACTGGCTGATGGGCCTCAGGATAAGCACTAGACTCAAGCTGGGCTAAAAGATCCCTTTCCTGGGACTTTTACTTTTAAAAAATGGTGGTAAAATTCACTTTTAAGCTTATAGTTCAGTAATGTTAAGTGTATTACAGTATGAAAGTGTATTAAGTAGTTTTAAGCGTATAGTTCAGTGGTGTTAAGCATATTCACATTGTTGTGCAACTAATTTCCAGAACTTTTGCATCTTACAAAACTGAAACTCTATCCCATTAAACTTCTCCATTTACCCTTCCCTCCACCCCCAGCCAACACCATACTGTTTCTATGAATTTGACTATTCTAGATACCTCATGTAAGTGGAACTATACCATATTTGTCTTTTGGTGACTGGCTTTTTTTTTTTTTTTTTTTGCTTTGCTGCCCACGCTGGAGTGCAGTGGCGCCAAGGCTCACTGCAGCCTTGCCCTCCCGGGCTCAAGCATCATCTCACCTCTCATCCCCGAGTGCTGGGTAATAATTCTTTTATTTTTGTAGAGGTGGGTCTCATTCTGTTGCCCAGGCTGGTCTCAAAACTCCAGGCTCAAGCAATCCTCCCACCTCAGCCTCCCAATGTGGCATGAGCCACTGCGCCCGGCCTGACTGGCTTTCATGCAGCATAATGTCCTCAAAGTTGTAGCATGCGTCAGAACTTCCTTCCTTGCTAAGGGTGAATATTCCATCATATGTACTTACATTTTGTTTATCCACTCACTCTTATTTATTTTTGAGATAGGGTCTGCCTCATTCTGTCACCCAGGATCTGGAGTGCGGTGACACAATCACAGCTCACTGCAGCCTTGACCTCTTGGGCTTAAGTGATCCTCCCACCTCAGCCTCTTAAGTAGTTGGGACTACAGGCACACACCATCACACCCAGCTAATCTGTTTATTTTTTGTAGAGATGGGCTCTTACTGTGTTGCCCAGGCTGGTCTTGAACTCCTGGGCTCAAGCGATCCTCCTGCCTTGGCCTCCCAAAGTGCTGGGATAACAGGCACAAGCCACCATGTGCAGCCCTTAGATTCACTTTTTTTTTTTTTTTTTTTTTTGAGATGTAGTCTCACTCTGTCGCCCAGGCTGGAGCACAGTGGCGTGATCTCGGTTCATTGCAACCTCCACCTCCTGGGTTCGAGTGATTCTCCTGCCTCAGCCTCCCAAGTAGCTGGGATTACAGGCCTGCGCCACACCCAGCTGATTTTTGTATTTCTAGTAGAGACAGGGTTTCACTATGTTGGCCAGACTGGTCTCGAACTCCTGACCCCAGGTGATCCACCCGCCTCAGCCTCCCAAAGTGCTGGGATTACAGGTGTGCACCACCACACCCGGCCTAGATTCACTCTTGATGGACAACTGGGCTGCTTCTACCCCTTGGCTATTGTAAAGAACGCTGCTATGCAGAACAAGGGTGTATCTCCCTGAGACCCTGCTTTCAGGTCTTTGGGATATATCCCCAGAGGGGGGACTGCTGGATCATATGGCGGTTCCCTTTTTAATTTTCTGAGGAACTGCCATACTATTTTCCACAGCAGCTGTACTATTTTACATTCTCACCAACAGTGCAAAGGGTTCCAATTTTTTCACATTCTTGCCAACACTTGTTATCTTCTGGGTTAATTTGTTTTGTTTTGTTTTATAGCAGCCATTCTAATGGGTACGGGGTGTCCTAGGGCTTTTGAACTTAGAACCAGAGAAAACATCCGCACAATCTGTCCCCAGTTGTCAAGGCCATAAGAGGTGAAACACAGGTGCTACTAGCAGCCCTGTCTCCTGCCATGTAGAGAAAGCCTGTTTACAGTGAGAGAGGAGTGAGCTGATTTGCAGAGAAAAGAGAAAGTCTCTAAAGCCTCAGATTGGGTAGTACAAGTTGTGGCTGGAGCCTAGATACTTTCCTGCCCTTGAATTTGATGAGACACCTCATTAACCCAATCATAAATCCACCTTTTTACTTAAGTTAGAGTTGTTTCATTTGCAACCATGATTCTTGCCATAAACATCTTTGTACAAGAGTTAGTTCTTCAGTCTTTTCTTTTTTTTTTTTTTAACCTTTTCTTCCTTTGATTCTTTCTTAGAAGTAGATGGGATATAAATAATTTGTACATTCAAAAACCCTAAATTTGTACATTCAAAAACCCTAAAGAAATGCCCTTGCAGAAGTAGAGGGTTGTGGTTAGAGTATGAGTTTGGAGTCAGCCCAAACTGGCTTCAAATCCTAGCTCAACAAATGTTTATGGGATGTGTTAACTAACTTGATGGTGGTATAGATAGATAGATGGATAGACAGATAGATAGATAGATAGATAGATAGATACACACATACATATATACACATATATAAAATCACTTTATATAGTTTAAATATATATAATTTTATCTGTCGATTATATCTCAATAAATCTGGATAAAAATAAAAGGCTGACTTCAAGTAAAAAAACAAAAACACAAATAAGTGCTTTTAAGCAGCAGGCCCTTGTAGATGCCAGGGATAAAGCAGTGAACAACAGACAAACATCGCTGCCCTCACCAAGCTTTATCTCTGCTACTCGGCAAATATTTGCATGTTTACTCTGTGCCAACCACTGTTCATTAAGCTGTGTTTATAAAATGGTGATAACAGATTATCTTGTCCGTTTGTTTTAAGGAATCATTATAACGTATGCATGTGCTTGATATAATGCCTGACACACAGAAGCACTCAACACAGAGAAGCCATGTCTACGTTTAGACAGGGAGGTGTGTCTTGCAGAAATTAGCCTCGATATACATTGGGTGCCCACTATATGTTCCACAATCATCTTAAAATAGTACTCAGATCCTGGCAGAATTTACTTTCCAGTGGGAACAAGAGATAAATAACAGGTGCTATGAGCTGTGGCAAAATAATGAGCCAGAACAGACTCTGGAGCCACCCACCTATTTTCAAATCCCAGCTTGCCCTTGGGAAAGTCACCTAACTGCTCTACTCAGTTTCCTCAGTTGTAAGACAGAGACAACAAGAACAATGACAAAACTACCTCATAGGGCTTTGTGAGGATTAAATGAGTTAATATGTGTAAAAGTGCTTAAAGCAGTGCCTAGCTCATAGGACTACCTAAGCACCAGCTAATGTTAACACTATTACGTATTAACTGCTAGGAGGAGAAATTAAGTCTCCCTAGAGTCAAAGAAGCTTTTTCTAAGGAGAGGACATCAGATCTGGGCCTTGAAGGATGTGCAGGAGTTCACTAGGTAAAGAGCAGGGGAAAGGACATTTCAAGGGAAGAAAACAGTTCAAGCAAATGAGCTGACCCATGGAAGAAATCATATCATTGAAACAAACAAAACTTAACAGCTGAAGCCTAGGTGGGTGGCAGCTGAAGCCCGAGGCACCGTTTCTGGCCATTAGTACTATAGTCCACCAAACTAGTCAGTCTTAAGTCAGAGCTTGCCCTGATAACTTCCAAGAAATGATACCATATCATAAACCAACATTTTAATAGCATTAACAATTTTTCCCCAATGAAGCAAATAAATCCAATTTGTACTTACCATTTACTGGGCACTACAGTGCCAAAACACTATGCTATTTACAACAGGACCTCACTTAATCCTTACCATGTCCCGTGGAATACAGATAACTTCATTTTATACATGAGGAAACAGGCTTTTAAGCAATATTCCCAAGATCACACAGATAGTATATTAGAAAGTAAAGTGTTCAGCTGCAAATACAAATAGTGGTTTCTTTCTCCCCCTGTCCCCTCCCTGCCACATAAAGTCTGAAAGTAGGCAGTTAAGTCATTAGTTCAGTTATTCAACAATGCCACCAAAACACCTTCCATCTTTCCTCCCCACCATCTTTACAGTATGAGCCACTGGCCCTGATGTTTATACAGTCTCCCATTCCCTATAATGCTTTCTTATTCTCATCTTAAAGTCCTACCAGCCAGGATTTTCTCAAGCTTTACTTTTTGAAATATTTCAGAGGTC
Organism: Homo sapiens; assembly: GCF_000001405.40. Lineage (NCBI taxonomy): Eukaryota > Metazoa > Chordata > Mammalia > Primates > Hominidae > Homo > Homo sapiens. The sequence continues at coordinate 39,837,536 of NC_000001.11, forward strand.
AGCTCAATACAACTCACTAATTTCACAGATGGAGAAATAGATTTGCCCCTAGCAAACTGAGTTAAATTAATTAGTTAAATGAGCCTGGAATTGAGTGCTCCTTCCATGATACCAATCTAGTGGTGACTGTAAGTTGCCCACCAAAACCTGTCCTCCCATTCCTTCTTGGCACATGGCTTGACTACGTTTCTCAGCCTTCCTGGCAGGTAGGTGTGGCCATCGGGCTAAGTCATTGCCAATGGAAAGTGAGAATGTAGGCAGAAGTATCCGTGCCACTGCAGGGTCCAGGCCTTGAGGCAGCGGGTCTACCTCCTCCCTGTTCCTTTTCCCCTTCCCATCAGCTAGGACCAGTGATGACCCAGCTTCAAGCATGCAGCAGATGAGGACAATGCTCCAGAGGATGGAGAAGCAACATGATACGAGGAATCTGTGTCCCTGAATGACCATTTGGTGCACAGCTGCCCCAATGACCTGGATCACTCACTTCAGACAGGTTAATTCCCTTCAGAGCTGTTACGTGAGAAAGAATAAACTTCTTTGTTCTTTAAGCCACTGTATTGTTGAGTCTCTTTGTTATAGCAACTTAGCCTTTTACCTGAACTAATACAAACATGCAGCTTCCTTTGTAAGCATTCAGAGTAGCTTTACAAATAACCAGTTAGCCATCATTTTAGAAAACAGCCTTAACTGCCCAAGTAGGTGATAATCAAATACAGAAATTCCTGCTGGTGGCTATCCCAAAATTTCTTCATCCTGGTTAAAAAGTATTTAACAATTGAAGCAGATCACTTATGTAGAGACCTACTTAGTTTTTATGCTTTCATGCAATTGATTCAACAAATATTTGACTGTGTCTAGGTGCTAGGGATATTGACAAGTCACTGCATTCATAAAAGGTTGATTTCATGCATGTGTGTTTGGGGGAGGGGGTTGTTAGTTTTATTTTCTTTTTGAGCAACATGGTCTTGCTCTGCCACCCAGGCTGGAATGCAGTGGCATGATCATGTTTCACTGAAGCCTCAATCTCCCAGGCCCAAGCCATCCTCCTACCTGAGCCTTCCACGTAGCTGGGACTATAGGCATGACCCACCATACCCGGCATGCATACATATATATATATGTAAGTATGTATGTATGTATATATTTGTGCTGACTGGGTCTCACCATGTTGCCTAGGCTGGTCTCAAACTCCTAGGCTTGAGTGATCCTTCTGCCTCAGTTACCCAAAGCGTTGGGATTACAGGCGTGAGCCACCACTCCCGGACTGTTATTTTTTAATGTTATACTGGGTGTTTTGTTTTGTTTTAAGCAAAAAAATCCTCTTTGGAACTAAAGAGAGCTAAGAGAGGACAAAAAATTACTGAGAGTTAGGAAGGATCAAGCCATATTCCTGGAATACAGATGAGCTGTTCTCTTGCTTAGCCCTAAGAATCAAGCAAAGTATTTTCAAGTCTAGATCTCTCTTCAGAATCAAAGTACTTTCTACCCACTTACAACAGCACTGCCTGAACTGTGAGAAGTATCTAAAGCCTAATCAAGATTTTTACTGACAGAAGCAGATGAACCTAATAGCTCACTGAGTATTGGAATTAATTGCCAAAGCCATTTAGATAGCACTGCTGGTGTGATGGACTGGAGGCTCTGGATACCTGGACTGGAGGGCTCTGCTTGCCTTGGGATTGCTATGGCCAGATGGTACAAAATGGCATTCCTCATTCTCACTCCAGGCTGAGCAAATAGCCCAAAGCTCTATGGTACTTTTCAGCTCTCAAATGAGATTTGGTATGAGATTTAGTAATAGAGTAAGAAAGGTGATCTAAGGTTTGTCCCAGCTTTGCCTTGCTCTGTGACTGGAACATCCATGTTTTAGGCCTCAGTTTCCCCATCCATACAAGAGATAAAGAATTCTTTCATCTCTACATTTACGACCACCACAAGACAAATTACTTTCCTTCCCTACACTCAACAGCGAAGTCATTCATAGGGGAGCAGGCACAAAAGGGGAAATCTACTCAGGGCAATGCTTCAGACCAGAGCACCAGGCAGATTTCTAGTGAGTGTTCTGCCTTTCCCAGGCTCTTTGCTGCTGATAAAGGAATTTCATTTGGCTGAATTTACAATTTCTAAGAATATGAACAGTGGGCTCAACCACACTGCCTTACACTTAGTAAGTGCTTCATAAATATTAGACACTTTTTTTTTGGTAAAAAAGGCCTGATTTCCAATTGCCATAGAGATAACAATGAGTTCAATGAGAAGTTACTGCTCCAGGTATTTCAGATGGAAGGATTAAAAGCTTTTTGACGTACAATTATTAAAACTAGTTTTTCCTGCTTGTCTACTGAAACCTTTTTAGGCTTTAAAACATACTTAGCAACTTGAACGAAGAATATTTCAGAGAAACTAAAGGTTCTTCCCTACAAACTGCCAGCTTAACACAGTGCTTAATAGCTTGAGTCTACCAGCCTCACCTCAATTCCAGCTCTACCGCTTGCTAGCTGTACTCCATTGCTGAGCCTTAGTTTCCTCCCTGGTTAACAGCAAAGGAAACAGCATCTCCCTCCCAGGGCTGTGTGAGAAGATAACATATAAAAACGACTTGGCACTGCTTGGCTCACAGTAAGTACTCATCTCCACTCCCACCGGGAAGATGTGGCTTCCCACCTTGTTAGGTCCTAAAGTAGTTAATAAACTTCTTTGCCCAGAGAATAAATTTATTTTTGAGATTCAAATCAGTTAAAAGTGGGTGAGGCTCTGGAATTCAGCACTGTTTAAAAAGGTCAATCAAGTTAGATAGTTTTTTTACTCTACCTTCTCCTCTATGAAGTCTTATATGCATAGGAAACAAAACATTTATCAAGAATTGCTTTTCAAGGTGCAGCAGAAATGCTCCTCCTTCCATGATCCCTTCCCTTCCTTCTAAACTGAAATTCTACACAGCTCTTACGGCCTTTGATACTGTCTTGCCTGGATTGGTGTTTGTGTACACATGCAATTATTTATAAGCTCCCTGAAGGCAAGAACCACATCTCATCTCTGCATTCCCTTTAGCCTAATTCAGGGCCTCTCATAGAGTAGATTCTGCACAAACAAAATGTATTTGAATGGGGAGTTAACGCTTAAAGGGCACAAAGTTTGTTTGGAGTGACAAAAACGTTTTGGAAATAGTGGCAACGATTGCACAACATTGTGAATGTAGTTAATGCTGCTGAATTATACCCTAAAAATGCTATATTTGATGTTATATATAAATAAGTATCTGTTTAACATTGCTGGCAGCTCAGGTCACTCCAGAAAGAGGGCTTCAATTGGAAGTAATAGATCTCCAATAAAAGACCCTCTCTAGATGTCTTCAAGGACTATAACGTGTTAAATAAACACCCGCTACATAAATGAACAGACAGCATGATCTACAAAAAGTGTCAAATTTGAGAAAAAGCTATCACATTGATAACAGAGCATACTGTGTATAAACTAGGCATGGACTTGTATATCTTTTTAAGGATCAAAGAGGCTCTTGTAAATTTTTTCTTTATTTAAACTTCAATAAAAATATAGATTTGTAACTCAATAGAAAGACAGCAGTGATAATAACTCACACATGAGCAGCTCGCAAATTTCAAAGTCTTTGGTCTTCAAGTCCTATGTCACAGCTTCCTCAGTCTGATTCCCTCCTTCTCTGTAGAATTCTGAGAACTAGTTTGGTTCACTTAATCATCTCAATGGAGATGGCCCTTTCCTGCCATTCACTCAAATCTAGAACTCCCAATATGTGGCTCACAAATACTTCAGTCATCTACAAAAGCATCTGGAAATTAGATAATTTTAGCCAGAGTCAGGGACATAAAACTTCTTTAAAGGGATGCAGTCAATCCTGGTATTCACCACAAAGAAGATCCTCATGTATAAAAATGTGGAATCTGTGCTGCTTTTAATAATAGAACCTTTAAGGTTCAAAGAAAAAAAAAATGCTTTCCTGAACTACATCATTTCCAGACACATCAGCCACACAAGGAGCTGACAAGACCTGCTGTTTCTATTATAGAGAACGTGAGACTTTAAAACCACATCAAAAGAAAATGGTGGGAGCTTTTCTGCTATGCAGAGAATTCCGCATAGCACTCCTTTGCCCAGACTGGGAGACAAACATACCCCTCCCTCCTGAACTGGATCCCCACCACCTTTCCAAAGGCCACTGGACATGTCTCTTAAACGCTGCATTTCAGCTCTTGATCATTCTGCCCTGGGGATCCCTTCTCTTTAGGTTCTTTGTTATGGTCTGGGGAAACACTCTGACTTTCTATGGTGTTGACAGCATCTGAGTCCAATCTTCTTCTTTTCTTCAGTTGGTTCAAGTGGGATTTGGATTTTATGTGCGCTGATAAGACAAAATCAAACCAAACAAACAAAAAAACTCATTAGGAATTTTCTAGAATTAATCCTAGAAGCAAGTAAAATTAACTATACAATGCTTTTCTTCAACAATAAACAGCAAGATCAACACATGTACTAGTATAGCTGCTTAGCATTTTTAAGGGAAGAATAAATTATATGGCCAGCCAGCTAGCAAAATAGAGTGAGCTACCACATATCAAGTGCTCCCTGTTAGGTACTTTACATCACCAATCCTCATGGCAGTCTTGTAAGATGGTACTATTCTGCTCATTTTATACAAGGGAAACTGAAGTTCAGAGAGGTCTTACAAAATGTCCAAGGTCACACAGCAGGTAAACTCTTCTACTTAGACCTATAGCTCCAAAAAGAGATCCCACTTTCCAGAATCAGGTCTCTGTAGTATGGGGCTTCCTGTTATAGATGCATTTTTAACTTGTAAGGTTGAAAAGTTAGAAATTCAAATCCTCATCTGTATTGCAGGGCATTGCCTGTTGTCCTTCCTGGTCTGGCATCCCTGTGCCTGGGTCAAAAAGGTCATGTGAACGACTCTCTGGCAAGATTCCTATTCTCTAGGCACACACTGCTCCAGGGAGACAGGAAGGTGCATTTATCACCGACGATCTCTTCTGAGGGTCCAAGAAGGAAGTCAAGCTTTAGGGCCACTGTTGCCTGCTATCAACTGCTGACCTGTCACCCCTAAGACAGTTCCCACCTTCTGACTAACTCATACAGATTTATTTTCACTATCCTGTTCTTTTTTCAAGGAAATCTCATCTGGGAACACTGAAAGAGATGGACAACTAGTTTAAATTCTCTTTTATACATATTAAAAACATCATTTTTAAGAGTTTAGAAGCAAGAATAAGTAAGGTAGAGGTTAGAATTAAGAGAAAAGTTTACTTGGGGAAGAAGTCAGCTTTGTTTTCCAGCTAGAGCCTAAGGCAAAAAACGGGCTTCTGGGCTGGCTCTCCATGGCAGCAGGAGATGGGAGTAAGGACTTGACAGATGGCACTACAGAAGGGCTTACACAAGCTAAGCTCACAAAGGCTCACACATGTTGCTTCTCTAAGGCTATCCCTGAAGAACATTCAACAAATCGAACCACTAAGTTTCCTTTAGAAAAAAACAATCAGACACTCTCTTTCTCTTCCCCTTTCATCATTATAAACCAATGACAATCGAGGCTTCTTCTGCTGGTTGGGCAATCACAGCCGTCCCCAGTCTCTGACAATGGAGTTCATTTTGCCAGTTACCAGTTAATAGACCTAATCATCCTATTGGTTGCTTTGGGGAGAAAAATCTACTTCTCTGAGAATCCCATGCAAAACAGTACTCTGAACAGAAGGATCCCAGCTGCTGAGTAAACGACAAGCCCCACTGTGCCTGAAAGCAGCAAACCTTACACCTATTTCTAAATACCATGTAAACTCAAGGCTTGGGGAAGAAGTCCTGGGCTTTGACTGGATGACTACAGAAATCTGAAAATCCAATGATGTGTGTGCAGTGTGACTCTGTGGCAGAGGCAGATCCAGGCTCTAATGCAGGGATAGAGCCTTAGGGTGGGGCTGGCCCTGAGGTGGTGGGGAACTAACCTTCTTTATACATGTGTGACAGGCTTACTTTCACACAGTTTCTCTTAACTTCTTTTTATCACAGTTTTAGCAACTACCACTATGCCAACAATTACCTCAAAAGTTACTGAAGAGATACCACTTTTAAAAACCACACTCAGGAGTAGTAACTCTACTTCCTGCCCCCTCCCAGCTATGCTTCTGCTTCTTCCAGTCTCCTGGATGAGCTGCCTGGCTTCCCTTACACCCTTACTTCCTGATCCCACCCCCACTGAATTATAAACATGAAAGGCCAAGAAACTCCTCCAAGCCAGGACCACAAAGTCAAAGGAGCTCTAGAAAGTTAACTGCAGATCTCTTAGTATAAAATATTAATTCCAGCTGAAGATGGAGAGCATCTGATCTTCCTCTGAATCTCAGAATACAGAGACAAATTCCCAGAAGCCTCCAAGGAATTTGAGCACAGGCTCTTAGAGGAATCTAGCTGTCCCTTTACAAATAAATAGACTCCAGGTTCAATCTGCCAAAGACTCTAAATTTCATGAAGTCAATGTGAACCCACCCTTATAGATTTCTTCATGCCCCTCCCCATACTCTACCTGCCCATTCGCGATCCCCAATGATGATTCGATCACAGAGGTCACACAGGTGATAACTTCTCTTGTTCTCAGCTTCATTGTATGGCATCTTTATTGGAGTGGCTGTAGGCTTGTGGCCCTAAAAGAACAAGGGTGGAAGGGAGTATTCAATTCAAAGAGATCTGGATATAATTCTCTATTAAGGGAAATGGGATTTTCCTAAAATTCCTTTTTCTCAACCCAGAGAGCAGATGGGCTGTATACAGATTTTAGCAACAACCTTTCTGAATGTAAAAGTAGAAAAGCAGTCTCCAGGTATTAAAAAGCAGCCAGCCCTTCTGCTTTATTCTATGGAAAAGAAGGCCTGGTTCTTCAATATAGCAACAAAGGTGTCAGCTAATGAAAGTGCTCTGAAAACCAGAAAATAGAATGTATCATGATTCATAATTACCTGGATGAAACTTTGCACGATTTCAAGAGCAGGTTCAAGAACAGACTCTTCCCACTTCGAGACATCAGATACCTCTAAGCCATAGACAGGGGGGACAATGGGACCAGGTCCTAATGATGACAAAGAAAGGTTGTGAGAGGTCAGCCTCAAACCCAATCTATTCTGCAGCCAGGACTCTGAAATCCTCCAGGGAAATACACAGAGCCAAAGGAGTAAACATTCTGACCATGCTGTTAATTCTAACTAAACATGAACCACAATCCAAGAAAGACCTAGAGGTTTAACTGCTCTGCAGCTAGTAAGACTAGCTACATAATCTGGATACATGGGTGCAGGATCTTCCAGATCAGCCAGAAAACCAGAATAGAGTTAACAGCTCAAGTGACCATTGTGTGAGCTACAACACAAAGACAGCACATCGTAAGAAGAAATAAACTAACAGCTTTAAGTAAGTGCCTATTCTAAGTTCCATATCATCTTACAATGATGGCGATCTGTGGCAAGAGAATTCACAGCTTTCTTTAGGAGCAGATACTAGTCTCGGGTTTGCATATATTCCCTCAGCGGCCTGGGACTCATGAAATGCTCTGAAAGCATGGGCTGGGAACAGAATCATATCAACCAATAAGCCGCAGAATCTGCGAACCAGAAAGAAGTCTTAGAATTGATGTAGTTGAGCAACTTCTTTTAAAAACCTGATCTAGAGGGTATTCAAGAAACACTCCCTGGCAGACACTTTTGAATGAAGATGAGACTGAAGGTAGCAAAGAGTGCAGCTACAGGTATTTCACCCACCTGAGCCAACCATGTTGCAAGAGTTTAGTCTCTGTGGTTAGCTTCCCTGCCTATATACACACTAAACTGCCTTCCACAACTAGGTTAAGTCAGTTGCCTAAAGGCAAAGGAGCATCGCCCATGGGCAAAAACATCAAAGGCCTTCGGATGCCAACGACTGGCAGGTGCTGGCCTTTTGATTGTGCCAACCCCAAATAAGATTCTTCATAAACTGGACTGGGCTGCACCTGCTACCACAGGAAAGGTGAGACTAGGAGGGTGCAGGCAGCATCCACAGCACACCTGGCCTTGGCTAAGCTCTGCACCTGTTTCCAGGCCACTCTACATTTTCCTTTCTCCTCTAAGCCCTTTGTTGGGCTTCTGTGCCCTGTCTAAGCACCTTTCAACAAGTTCTCGGCTCCCAGCTGCTATTTCTGGCTTGGGTCCAAGGCCATGCTGGGGTGGGGAAGTCCCCCTGGCTTCCTGCCAGAACCATATCCCAGCAGACCAGCCCTGGCCAATCACGCACAGCTCCTGATTTACAGGGCAGCTGTGCCTTTCACTCCAGCACCAGGACGATGCCGGCATACACACGAATGAGGAACAGGCATATGACACACTGTGCCATCAACTCCTCCTACCACAGAGATGGAGGAATTATTGTGGTTTTACTACAGGAAGAAGTTCTAAATTATTACCCAAAAGTCTTCTGTTAAAGGCTTATTGTCAGACATGGGGATAAGAGAAGCTGCATTAGAAATTTGTAATACAGCACTGAGCTTCAACTTCAGATGACACTAAGACTTCTATCTACCAGGACATGCAGAGAAAACAGGATAAGTAGAGGAAAGCACAACAAGCCTCTTCACACCAGAACTCCACTGGAGAGCTCAGGCAGAGAGTGGGAGCTGGGAGAAAGAATGTTAGCAGTTTAGTGGTCAACAGCAGGGATCAAGGTATGTATTTTCAGAGGCACCGAGTGGGGCAGAGGCTTCAGCTGGCCCTGTCTGTAATTGAGAGCAGAAGTCTACCAGCAAAAGGTAAACACAAGATGATTCAGAAGCATATTTAAAACATGTCCACAAGATAAAACTGAAGTTTCACTTATGCTTAAATTAATCTCCTTTAGCTCATAACCACATAGTTTTTACCCATGGTCCAATACTAATGCTGTCTTGCTAAAGTTACAGCTAAAGGAAGTAAGAGTAGTATAAAGGAGTGTGGACTCTGTGTCAGGCCTGCATTCAGTTATCTACTGCCGACTAGCTGGGTGATTTTTGGCAAGTTATTTAACTTCACTAGGCCTTCATTTTCTTATCTGTAAAAATAAAAGAATAACACCTACCTTGAAGACTCAATAATATATGTATAACACCAAATTTAGTGCCAAAGACACAGTACAGGGCCAAATCAATGAGAATTTCCTTTCTTTTCCCTCAAAAATGCTGTTCAACTAAAGTTTCATTTGAAGCAATCTGAAGCACCATGTGGAGACGCTGGGAGAAATGGTGAAGGTGTCTTTTTATACAACTCATCTGGCCCCCCAAAAACACTGTAATTAGGAAATCTTCCCTACAGAAATCTGACTGCTCTTCAGGTACAAAACTGAAGCTAAAAATCAGCCCTGAACACCAACTCTCCAAAAAAGATGCTGCTGTTCTTCTTAGCTGTTTGCAGCCAGTATCCATCTGTTCAAGGCAGAAGGCAGACTCCTCAATGCAAATAATTTTTTTTTTTTTTGTGACATCCCAAGAAAATATCCCTGGATAATCATTTATGTTATAGAACTTCCCTTAGGTCAGATCCAAAATCTTAGAACAGGCCCAGAATCTAAAATTCATTTTCTGGGTGAGCTGAGGACATCTATATTCTATTGAAAACAGACCCATAGGATAAAGAAAAACATGAGACTTACTGCTCAAAAAACGGTTTTTAACCCATCGGTTTTGTTTCCGGGCATATCTCTTAGTTACTTGTTTCAGAGCCTCAATACCTGAAAGATACAGTAGATTTAAGAACATCTAGGTAAGCACTCCTTACCCTGCAGAGAGGCAGGCCCTCCCAGCCCAGCAGGAAAAAGTCAGCCACGGCAGTGCAATGTCAGACTTGGTGGACAAAAATCTCAGTTCTGAGCTGAAGGCTATTTGGGACGCTTTAAGCCTTGGCTCTTTCTCAGACCATACCAGCAGAGTACCCTGCCACCCAAAGATGTCCAAGACTAGATTAGATGGAAGAATTCACACCTTTCTTTAGAAGCTGGTTACTAGTCTCCAGTGTGCATTTTCCCTCAGTGATCAGGTACTCGTGAAATTCCTTGAAGCCAATTGATTGGAAGATACCATGTTGATAGTCCTGGCTGGGAACAGGAGGGTATCAGCAGATAAGCCATTGCTCCTAAAAGCTAGCAGGGGCTTTGGAGATGGACCTAGTTGAGCCATTTCATCTGTCAGATAAGGAAATTGAGATCCTGAGCAGTTACTGATTCTCTGAAATTTTCCCCTCCCCTACCCACCAGGTTACTTTCTTGAAAAGTTAACTCCTGGGACTGTCTGAAAGATTAAAAAACTGCATCTGCAAAGAAGGCTGATAAACAAGTAGACCCAAAGCCAGTATTAGCGTTATGGTCTTTTGATTGTCTGCAAAATATGGACAGTAGGTCAGAATAACAGCCAAATCCTCACCTATTTTCCGAAACATTCTTCTGATTATAGCGTCTGTGAAAATCTCTTAGTTCCTCCAAGAGCCCAGCAGCAAGCATGTCATCCACCCTCTTATCCAAGCGCTCATCTAGAACTTGAATCAAATTAGCCCATCAACCAGCAAGCAAGTTGTAGGTACCTACTATATACTTACATGACGAGTGAACAGGTGGTCACAAAAAAAGAGAATTTGTCCAAACGGAAGAAAGAATTCAGATTCCAAAGATTATTATAATAATTCATACGTTACTCACATTTAAGACTTTGCAACTCCAAATAAAAATGAAGCATAGTCAGAATGAAGCACATGCCTCCTCATTATATAGAGAAAGCATACAATTACAGCAACTGTGAAGGACAAATATTTTATTCTCATATGGAATGTGTTTTAGAGGTGGCTGAGGATCCCCTGGTTTACCTTTCTTATTTTTAATTTAATATGTCATTATACTGCAACTTAGTGTTACTTTATGTTTAAGAACCCCTAGATGACACCTTGGATAAGAACATGGAACTTTAATCCAAAGACATCCTAGATACGGCCGGGCAAGGTGGCTCACGCCTGTAATCCCAGCACTTTGGGAGGCCGAGGTGGGTGGATCACGAGGTCAAGAGTTCGAGACCAGCCTGACCAACACAGTGAAATCTGTCTCTACCAAAAGTACAAAAATTAGCTGGGCGTAGTGGCGCGCGCCTGTAATCCCAGCTACTTGGGAGGCTGGGGCAGGAGAATCGCTTGAACCCGGGAGGCAGAGGTTGCAGTGAGCCGAGATCGCACCACTGCATTCCAGCCTGGGCAACAGGGCGAGACTCTGTCTCAAACAAAAAAAAAAGACATCCTAGATACATTCTAAACTACTGAGCCAAGCAAAGGAGCAAAGAGTGAGAGGTCGTAATTGTTCAGATGTGACAAACAGCTTTACTATGAATCAGATACCATTATTTTATGCTGCCTGTAGAGTAAAAGTTTTTGTTTATAAAATTTCATTATTGAAAAATTACCTTTTTTATCAATTTATGGCAGATTAATTTAACAACAGATTGTCACCATTTTAATTATGTTCTTCTACATCTCTATCATTGTGATTTATTGGCCTACAGCAACAGTAACCTTCCTAGAAAGTTTGCATTTATTGAGGACCCGTCATGTGTCAGGCACATTCTGAGCACTATATATGTATTAATTCATCTAATCCTTGATGAAGCTAGGAAATATGTGTTATTACTATTATCTCTATTTTACAGGAGAATTGGGAAACAGAAAGGTAAACTAATTTGTCTTAACAATTCACATAACTAGAAGCTAGTGGAGCAGGAATTTGCTATTAGACAGTCTGCCTCAAGAGCCTGTGCTCTTCAGTGCTACACTCTACTGTTTGTCCACATAATGATGTCATCTTTCCAGGCCTATCATAGGCTACCTTTGCAAACTGGTCTCTGACTCCCCCCAAGATAATATTCGTCATCCCTTCTCTGTGGCCCTACAGCACTCTGAAAATATATCTAGCCCAGCATTTATCACATAAATAATAGACAGACAGATAGTATCTATCTCCTTGTCTGTTGTCCCACTAGACTGGGAATTCCTTAAGGAAAGGCACTGTCTCTTCAACTCTGAAACCGAAGTACCACACAGAATACCCAGCACTTCATTGAATGCTTACTGAATGTTTGCTGGATGAATAAGTTACTACTATCACGGACATAATTATACTTTAGCAACAAAATACCATCAGGCTAGCAAGCTAATTATAAGGCATACTGCTTCTAGAACATTCTAGCCTCCAGCCAACCTTCCACAAGAGACTGCCTTCTTTTTCTCCTTTGGACCTTCCCTGGATGGCAGTCTCTTTCCCATTCCGTCCATCCCATCCCACTCTACCTGTGATGTCTTCTCCTAATGCCAGGGCTATCCTTTCTCCCTTTCCAAACAGATATCTAGGGGAATGGCACTGTGCCTAAGCCAACAAATAATGATAATGATAATAAAATTAATAGCTAATACTTGTTTAGTGTTTATTATGAGCCACCCATGGTTCTCAGCATTTTCTATACAGTAACTTATTACTCCAAGTTCCATCACAGATGGACTCTAGGGCATCAAAGGGCTGTTACCTGCCTGGTCAGCATGAAGCCAAAGGATGCAAGGGTTAGAGAACTTCAGAGGACCTCCAAGGGGACCACCACCTTCTTCCGTATGTTGACGATGGAGAAATTCACTATGAGAGATTCCTGTTTCTTCAAAAACTTGCAAGCTCCTAAGTAATTTAAAAGGGGAGGGAGGGGGCACACCCATAAAAACCAATAGAAAATATTCATTCTCAAGTAAAACAAGGAGAAAGGCTGTTTATTACAGAAAGCCTCTTTCTTGAAAGCCAGTCACGACAGTGTGCACATCTGTAGTCCCAGCTACTCAGGAGGCCAAACTGGGAGGACTGCTTGAGCTCAGGAGTTCAAGACCAACCTAAGCAGCAACAGACCCTGTCTCTTCAAAAAGGGGGCATGCAGAAAGGCTTATTCTCATTTTCACTGCATTAAGTTCCAAAAGACATGAAGGTCTAGGGTTACTCCAGTCCTACAGCTACTCAGAAAAGGGTACTAAAGAAAACTTTAGGTAAAGTAAGAAATAATATTATTTTTCTAAAGATATATAAATTATTCTGAAATCAGTTAAATAGGTTCAGAAACAACAGGTTTCTTCTACACAAACAGAATGGTACTCACTCACTTTCAGATAAACAGTAAAAGAGCTTGTTTGGGACACTTTGTAACAAGCCAACAAGTCTGGTCTGGCTGGCGTGCCTTTCCCACAGTACAAAAGCATGTTGTACATCCAGCTCATCAGCTTTCTTTTTAAATATGTCAAATTAATGAAGAATGCTCCTGGCTAATCCAGTGCTCTACTGGCACAAAGATCACTGAGAAAAGAACTCACATACTTATTCTTAAGCCACCATCCACTTCTGTCCGTATCTATTATGTTATGCAGCACTAGGTAATTTAACTCCCAAATCTACACTCTACCACTCTGGGTGATTGCAACTTATCAGCCTGAAAGTGATCTTTCTCTTCCTGACCCAATTCTACTTCCTGAAACCCTAACGCAAGAGTGTAGACCCCCTTGTCTTTCAGTATCACTGGTTTCTCAAAGAAGATCTATGAGAAAAAATGTAGTAATAGATATCTCACTTATCTGGAGTTAAAATACAGCCTCAAGCCAAAAGAAAGATTAAAAAAAAAGAAAGTCCTCATTCTCTAAATGAGACTCTAGAGCTCTTGCTTAGAACCTATTGACTCTTACTAAGAAAAAATTCTCAAACTCATTACTCGTTTAGACGCAGCAAAATGAGAAGTGATAAGAAAGAACTGATTAGTAAAAGGAGAGAATAAACACCAAGCTCTAGAATCATGTAATAAAACAATATAAAAATGAATGTTTATCATAATGTTCCTAGGTTTAAAAAAAATTGAATGTTTTCTATTAAAGTGTTTAAAATGTTTGGATACTGAAAAGTATAAACTTCATTAATCTAAAACATGCATTCTTAATGAGGTTATACATTGCCTTTAAGGGGGTGAAAAAACTTAGATATTACAATTTGTGCCCCACCCCCCTGCCGTGCAAAGGACAACCCTACCTGAAGAAATCCTTTTCTTGGCTGAGTACTGTGGCTCATGACTATAATCCCAGCACTTCGGTAGGCTGAGGCAGGAGGATCGCTTGAGCCTAGGAGTTTGGAACCAGCCTGGGCAACACAGCAAAACATCTCTAAAAAAAATTAAAAATTTAAAAAACTAGCCAGGTATAGTAGTGCACACCCGTAGTCCCAGCTACTCAGGAGGCCGAGGCAGGAGGACATCTGAGCCCAGGAGGTCAAGGCTGCAGTGAGCCATGATTGTGCCACTGTACTCCAGCCTGGGCAACAAAGTAAGACTCTATCTCTTAAAAAAAAAAAAAAAAAGTAATAATAATAATGAATGTTTTAAATCCTATATTCTAACATTAAGTTTCACTGAGGGGGGTAAAATTAGGAGGAAAAATATCAAATTCATTTGAGTGGAATACTTCACAACCCCTATGAATATGAGATGTTACTTTAATATTTAATCTGTATAACCATCAATAGAACAGGTCCTTCATTAGATGTTCTACTATGCTGGAAGTGGTATCACTCCTAATACTGCAGAAAAATAAACCTAACATGAGGCTGCAATTCCAAAACAACCTAAAAAAACATGACCTTGTGAGTTCATTCACTACCTCTCTTCCCTACCAGATAGTTTCCATGTGCAAAGGTGAGCTGATCTGTGAGACAGTTAATAAAATCCACCTCCCACTGGGAAAGCTGCTGGGGCAGAACACGGCATTGCATAATCAGTTATGAAACCCAAATCACAATGTAAACAAACTGCATGCCAGAAAAAATGTATATGAAAACTGTTATACAAGCAAAGATCAAATAGAAAATGAAGCAACATTATATAGGCCCTAGGGGAAAACGATATTGTACTATGCATTTAAAATGTAACAAAGTAGGCTGCAATTATTTATTGAGGGAGTTGAACTGAAGCAATAACTCAGGGCCTCCCAACCTGCTGAGCTAGAACAACACATCAATCTCCACTAACTGCTATTACCAAATCTCTCTCATCATCTGGGCAAACTGAAGAACTGACTGCTCTCTAGTTGTAAAGGAATTTGGGGTCAGCGCGCCAGGCTTTCTTACCTGGCCACTTTGCGTTTGTCATGTGGATGCAGCTTGGCAGCCATTTCTGGGTCCACCTGGCTTAGGCGTTTGTGAAGTACAAGACCATCCTCCTTTTCAAGCTCCACTTTTCGGTCAATCACTTTCTCAGTGCCCATCTCCTGGGGCTATTAAATGATGGTTTAGAAGTATATTTAATTCAACCAACACTGAGACAGTGTATGTGCCAGGCACTTTGCTAACTGTCAGGAATACAGAATAATCAGAAGATCTTGCCATATAGTGAGAGATCATAAACAGAAAATTCCAATATGCTGTGGTAAGTGCTATGAGGCCACAGCAAACAAAAAAGACAGAAGACTTACAGCATAGGGAAACACCTGGCTATTTGCTTCCCTGTCAGAAGTTCAAACAGGTACCAGGGCTAATATGTCTATTTTAGCATATCCAGGAGTCTAGTCTTCTCAGCAAGGGTGAACAAGGAGACCAGGATTGCCAGTGAATTACAGTTTACACAGTCTTACCCTACATAGTAGCACCTACGTAAATAAGGTCAGTGTTGGACATCTCCCTAATATACATACTGTGCTGCCAGCCAGGAAATACTGAATCAGGCTAATGGCTAACGTACTGGGTTTTTTTTAATATAATTTTTCTAAAGAATTATACATATTTTTTTCTTGAATCGCATCTGTTTTTTTTTTTGAGACAGGGTCTCGCTCTGTTGCCCAGGCTGGAGTACAGTGGCGCAATCTCAGCTCACTGCAACCTCCGCCTCAAGCCTCAAGTGATCCTCCCACCTCAGCCTCCCTAGTAGCTGGGATTACAGGTGCGTGCCACCATGCCTGGCTAATTTTTGTATTTTTAGTAGAGACGGGGTTTAGTAGAGATGGGGTTTCACCATGTTGGCCAGGCTGGTCTCGAACTCCTGACCTCAGGTGAGCCACCCACCTTGGCCTCCCAAAGTGCTGGGATTACAGGTGTGAGCCACCACGCCTGGCCTAATGAACTGTTAATTTATATGGAGATGCTAATTAATCCACACAGCAACATTTTTCCCACACAGAGCCCCTTCCCATAGACCAGCCTGGAGGAACACACTTCACACATGGAGGTGGCATTTGCTTGAGAATATTAAGTAGGAAAATTATAGTTGCTGGGTATAAGAAATAGGCAAGAGTCAACCTTTCTCCCACTGAAATTAGACAGCAAGAAAGAGCAATCCATTTCCTCAGTGAGTTACGAGTGAACTAAACTTACCTTGGTATTGACAAGAACTTTCCAGAGCAGAGATTCAATGTAATAATTGGTTCCTCCCACAACAATAGGAATTTTGTCTCGGGCAAATATATCTTCAATGTGAACATTAAGAAAGATATCACGATATCAAGAGAATCCTGACTCACTTTGGAAGGACACCATTAGCAAGAAACCACATTCATTTATCTGCAGAGCAGAGGAGAAAGGGTGGGAACCAAAATGCGTTGATACCAGCCCTCAGTGTTTCCAACAAATTTCCAGAATCATGTCCAATCAGTTCTGGAGGGACTTGCAGAAACCAGAGACAAATGCATAGTGGTAATTCCTTCCAGTTCTAGAACTTTCTAGGTCTTGCTGCTAAAAGTCAAAGTTTTATTAGTATTCCAAATCAGTTCAATAAGCACAAGCCCAAGGACTCTCACAGAACCAAGTGTCAGCTGCTCAGGAGGCCATCAAGGTGACATCCATTGCATGACTTTGCCTTCTAAGGCAAAACACAAGCTGGTTTCTCTAAGGTTCTTAGACTTAGTCAGTCTCTACCATCATGGAGAGACTATCACATTTTGCCACTTGAGGCTTGACCAAATTAAGTGAGATGCACAGGTTCTGAAGATAAATAGACTTCAATTTCCAGGTTCAGCTCTTGGACAATTACTCAGCCTGTCTGAGTTTCAGTTTTCTCACCTGTAAAAATCCCCATGAGCCTTAAATGTGACAATTCATAGAAATCCCCTATCACAATGCCTAAAAAATAGTAAGCACTCAATTTACTATAGCCACTATTGTTTTTTCATCTCTGCTACTTTAAATTTTTCTCTTTAGAATCTCCGTTGAACAGATAATTATCTGCTTTAAGGCGGCCTTTGCTCCTGAGAATAATTTTTTTTTTTGAGACAGGGTCTCACTCTGTCACCAAGACTGGAGTGTAGTGGCGCGAAAACAGTTCACTGCAGCCTCAACCTCCCAGGGCTCGAGTCATCCTCCCACCTCAGCTCCCGCCACCAAGTAGCTGGGACTACAAGCACATGCCACCACATCTGGCTAATTTTTGTATTTTTTGTAGAGGTAAGGTTTCACGATGTTACTTGCCCAGGCTGATCTTGAACTCCTGAGCTCAAGCAATCCATCCACTGCAGCATCCCAAAGTGCTGAGGTTACAGGCGATAGCCATCGTGCCTGGCCGAAAATAACTTTTTTTAAAAGACTTTCAATATCCAGGTAAATAATCATTTACACATTTCTCCTTGCCAGCCAATCTGCAGGCATAGAGACAGACCACCTCTTTTCTACTAGAATCCCACTAACCCTTAAGCGGCTAAGGCAGGGTGGGAAGAAAGATGTTACCAATCAAGGATCATAAAGAAAAAACACTGTTTGCTTTAAAAAGAGAAAACAAATTCTCTATTTCCCCCTTTAAATTAAGTATAGGGAGCATACAATTTCCACAGTAAGATAAAATGTCAATTATACACAAGTTAAATATCCCTTATCCAAAATACTTGGGACCAAGGAAATGTTTCAGATTTTGAATTATTTGCATTATACTTACTGGTTGAGCATCCCAAACCTGAAAATCTGAAAACTGAAATGCTCCAATGAGCATTTCCTTTGAGCATCATCTCAGCACTCCAAAAGTTTCAGATTTTGGAGTATTTTGGATTTTAGATTTTCAGATGTTCAACCTGTAGTATGATTAACAAAGGGAAAGTGAGCAAAGAAATGAAAAGGGGAAGGGAAAAATGTTAAGATTCCAGAAGAGGAGAGAGTGGAAAGAGGAAAGAAGATGGGATAGGACATACTTCACGGGAAAAGGTTTAACTTATTTGTGCAAGCCATGAAATGACTGTGATATTGAGCAAACACCCTTCTACTCTTTGGGCCTCAGTATCTAGTACCTTCACCTGTCGAATCAAGAAGGCTGATTGGGGCCAGGCGTGGTGGCTCACACTTGTAATTCCAGCACTTTGGGAGGCCGAGGCAGTAGGACCACTTGAGCCCAGGGGTTCAAGACCAGCTTGTCAACATAGCAAAATCCATCTCTACAAAAAATAAAATAGCCGGGCATGGTGGCTCATGCCTGTTATCCCAGCACTTTGGAAGGCCGAGGCAGGTGGATCACGAGGTCAGGAGTTCGAGACCAGCCTGGCCAACATGGTGAAACCCCGTCTCTACCAAAGATACAAAAAATTAGCCAGGTGTGGTGGCATGTGCCTGTAGTCCCAGCTACTCAGGAGGATGAGGCAGGGGAATCACTTAAACCTGGGAGGCGGAGATTGCAGTGAGCCAAGATCGCGCTATTGCACTCTAGCCTGGGTGACAGAGCAAGACTCCGTCTCAAAAAATAATAATAATAAAATGAAAATAATCAGCTGGGTGTGGTGGTAAGCACCTGTAGTCCCAGATATTTAGGACGCTGAGGTGGGAGGATCACCTGAGCCCAGGAGGTCAAGGTGGCAATGAGCCATGACGGTGCCACTGCACTCCAACCTAGGCAACAGAGTGAGACTGTCTCTAGGAGAAAAAAAAAAAAAAAAAAAAATTCACGTACCTCCATTTGAATCTATATCTGGGTTTTCTATTCTGTGCCACAAATATATCTAGTACTAAATAAGTTCCATGCTATTATAATTATTATGACTTTTCAATCTTTTAATATATAGCAATCCAGATACTAAAGGCAGTCTGCATGTTAAGACATAAGGGCAATCCCCCTTATATTATTCTTTTTGCAAAAATTTCTTGGTTTTACCCAGAACTATATTTTCCAGTCCTCTCCCATCTAACAACCCCTTTGAAATTCTAACTATAACTCCATTATATTTATAGATTAACTTCGTATCTCCATTTAAAGGATAGAAAACCGAAGCTCAGTGGGGTTAAGGAAATGCTTTACCCA